>NC_000014.9:36581409-36884440 GCF_000001405.40 Homo sapiens
GACGGCCGCTGCGACGAGTCTGGCGGGCTGGTCTCCAGGCTGCTCTCGTCCGAGGCTAGGGACAGCAAAGGAGACACGGGTGGGTGAGACGCCGGACCCTACGAGGGCCTGCTGCCCTTCTGGCGCGGGCGTGGAGGCACTGGCCAGAGGGCACGCCCACTAGCCCGAGACTTTCGGGATGAGGCCATTTCCTGAGTCCACATCTGGACATCCACCTCTCCGAATGCGGTGACCTCATTCATACCACAGCGGTCATCAGCGGGCCTGAGATCGTGCCCCGAAAAAACCCACCCCGGGGCCCTCTTAACATGTCCGCACCGGTAGTTGCGCTGGCCGACCAGTTTATCACAAGCTGGGTCACCAGCGCCGGCCTCCTCCAGGTCGACTGCACTGCAGTGTGCCGAGGTTTGCGGAGCCCTGAGTGGGAACGGGGTGGGGGTAAACTCGCCAACACTGGCCATCCCAGACGGAGGCCTGGAGATCGTGGCCGTGTTTTCAGGCATGGAGAGGGGGCGGGGGGTGGGGTGGGGGCGGCAGGTGGCGGCGCGTTTTAAATTTCAATTATTCCGACCTCTAGAAATCGTCAGACACAGAAACCCCAAATCTCGGAGCACCAGTGCCAGGCAGGGATCTGCTCTTAGGATGTGCCGACCGGGATGAATGCGTTAGGGGTTCGAGGACAGGGCTCCCGTTTCCAAGACTGAGGAAATCTAGACTCTGGGCTGGGATTTCGGCTTTCCGGCCCCTCGTGGGCTGGGCCCTTGATTCTGCTGCCCCACGCCTCCTACCTCCCACCCCGCACCGCAATCCACCACGCACTTACAAGGGTAGTGGCCGCGCTCCGAATCCAGCCAGGCGGCGCAGGGGTCGGGCTGGGGGGCGCGTGGTTCTGGCTCCCGCCTCGGCAGGTGTTGCGCGTCCTGCTCGGGTAAATCTAGAAGGCTGCGCACGGTGAAGCTCAGGCGTCCAGAGGTGGCCATGGCCGAGGAGGGGAAGGAGGCGGGGGCAGGGCAGGCTGGGAACGGAGGGGCGGCCGGGACGCCGCTCCTACGGATGGGCGTGGGAGGCGCTCGCCATGCGCTGGCAGCCGGGATATTAGCGCATTTACAGCGGAATCTCTGTTTATATAAACAGCTCTTCCCACCCAGGCCGCTTTGAAAGCCGAGGTCCGGGTCTCCAGGGTGTTAAGTACCTGAATGAGCACTGGACCAGAGCCGGGGCGAGCCCGGAAGGTGCCACCTCCGCCCCCGCCCCGCCCCGCACCCCGCCCCGCACCCCGCCCCTTGGCGCCCAGTTACCTCCCAGAGGCTGCAGGAAGCAGCATTTGGCATTAGCGATTCTGTCTGATTAGCCCAAAGTGGGGACAGATAATGGGGATTGTTACCAGTGAATAACATCTTGGGTGGCGAGCGGTGGCCACCACCCGCCTGACCCAGCCCCAGCTTCCTCCTCCTCCTCCTGGGCTGACTTGAGGCCAGGCCCCGCGGGAGCGCCGGGAAGGGTGGGGGTGGCAGGGGTGGGTTTATTAGCACCCAGGAATTTATTCCCTGTTTGCTTTATTCTTCGAGCTTGTTTGCTGGAGTGGTAGTTTCCCGCAATTATCCAGAAAGTGATTTACAAAGCGGCGTTAAACTCTGGCGCGCTCCCTTTCTCTTTTTGGTTGGGCCCCTCTAAGATTCAGGATGACAAGTTTCAGGAGGGCGTAAAGATTAGCCTGGCCCTGCCAGCATTGGCCCAGGGGTTTCAACGGCCGCTGGGAGCCTCGGATCACACCATACATCCCCCTAACAGCCTCAGAGGTGCTGAGGAAGGGCTGGGACAACATTCGGAGCCCCAGCTCCACGTCTCCACAGGCCGGCAAAACAGAAGAGGCTTGTAGCCAAGCTACTTAGGTCTACAGTGCCTGTCTCTTTGGCCCAGCTTCGCCCGGCCGCTGCCGATCTCGGAGCTCGGAGGCCGAGCTCCACAAATTTGGGTCCAGGCCCGCTTTAGAGCCCCTGGGCGGGGGCGCTTCTCAGGGCATCCTGTGAGGGCTTTGAGGCCTCCTTGGAGTCGCCAGATGAACTGGTGCCGCCTGTGCGCCTTGGCCCCATAGCCTCAACGGCACTCTCACTGCCTGGGCTTTGGTCTTTGCCCAGGAGCCTGCCCATGGCCTACGCTCCCCGCTCGCAGCATGGCAGACCCTGACGAGGCTGCCCGCCTTGGTCCGGGAATGGACCGATCGGGAGAATTAGGACAGGGCCTACCCGGCAGAAAATACCACCGGCCATGGGTTTCTCTGGGATCTTCTAGTTTCCACAGTTCCACCCTAGAAAATGATCAATGTAGGAGGCGCAGGGAACAGGCCGCCGTGGATACATTTTGTTGGGCCATGGCCTAGCTCTGGCCGCGCTTCAATCTACAGAGGAACGCCCTCTCAGAGGCCTCTCCTACTGAAGCTAGTAGTTTGGATATTTAGTTGCTAAATTGTAGCGAAGGGCTCTGTACTTGGGTGGCTGCACCAGAAGTCCTGGCTCCTCCCGGGCTGAACTCGAACCTGGCTCGGATGCGGCGGCGGCGGCCCTGTCAAGCCCCGCGCACCCTCCCCAGCAGCCTCCCTATCAAGCGTGCCCGAGGTGCCCGGAGCTGCACCGCGCGCTGGGTGGTCGGGCGGAGGCAACCCCAATACAGGCCAACTGCTAGGCCGCGGACAAAGGGGAAATGGAGCTCGACGCCCCGGACCTGTTGGAAGCATTTGTTCCAGTCAAGATTTTGCATTTGTTCAGTCCGGAATAATGCATGATTGACGTCTGCTCACAATGCGCTTTAACGCGCCGGGATAAATCGGAGCTTGTCCGGTGTTGTCATGGTTTTCAATGGGGTTCAATGGGATTGGGAGCACGATCGACTCTGCTGGCCGTCTTTCCGCGGCCCTGGCAATAGATTTATTAGTTATGTCTTTTTAAATAAGATTAAACTGAAATGACTTGGCTGTCCTCTCTGCAGACGGGGCCGGGGCGGGAGCCTGGAGTGGGCAGGGGACAGCGGAGTCTGGAAACCCGCCGCGCACCGCTCCTCAGCTCCCGAGCCCCCAGCGTCTAGAGAGTGGGCAGGTCGCAGACTGGCTCCAGGCCTCGTGGACTTATCTCTGGCCAGAGCCCGAGGCCTGGCAATCTCTGCCAGCCCACCTCCCTAGTGAGAAGCTGAGGCACTGACAAAGACCGTCCTGGGGAAGCAAGTGTTAAGACTGATTCCCAAATTCGGTCTTGAACTATGAGATTGTGTAAGGTAGAAGGAGCTCTGGCCTGGAAATCGGTTCGCATCCTCGCTCTGCCCCTACCTATCTCTAACCACCTCATTTCTCTAAGCTTCCTTCCTTCCTTTTTTTTTTTAAAATTAATCTGATACAGAAGATAGTAGGAGAATAGATTTGGTAATTTCTAAGGACCCTACCAGTTTTATGATTCTGTATCTCAGGAATTTTTCTAAACCTATCTTCATTGTAGCATTTACCAGCCGGATATTTAGACTCCCTCCTCCCTCAGGTTCTCGAATTCTTAGCCCCAGGACTGACTCCGTCTCCAGGATGTTCTAGGAGAGGAGGTGTCATCTTTTGAGTTTCCCAAGGATCCTCCACAGGAGTAGGGTGGGGTGGATAACAATTTAGGGAAGAGAACCAAGTCAGGAGAAGCAAAAGAAGAGTCTTTCCTTGAGTGACTGACCTCTCTTAGCCTTTTAATCTATTTAACATCCTAAGCCCACACTGACGTGTAGAAATAAGTAAATGGCGCTCTTCAGCTCTTAAGAGCTCTTCAGCATCAAATATTTGCTTTTACTCTTAGTGTTTGGCTTCCAAAGCAGAGATACAGGCCCCATCTAGCACTTGTGCTCTGGGAAGGACTTTGCTCTGGGATTCGCTCCAAATATTACTTCTAGCTTCATGTTCACGGGCTTCGGAAACAGTGTTCCTGGGCCTTGGTCTGCATTTTAGATGTCCCATGGAAACCCTGTAGCTCCTGGTTCTAGAAAGGGCTGCAGCTTACCTGCTTCATCTTGGATTCCCTCCTCCTCTGCCATAAGTGCCTCTGCCATAGGCCAACCTTCCTCTCAGCTCTGCTCCGCGGATTTAGCTGAATTATCTCTGAGAGCTAGAACCGGGGGACTCCAAGAAATTGTTCAATATAAACTGTGCCTTCTGAAGAAATGCAGGAAAGCCAGAATTAGAGAAAGGTACTTTCTATATTGCCTTTTCACATCAGATAAATTCACAGACATGGGAGGGGAAAATTATTTTGATATTGGGTCAATAGGAAAAGACAGTCAAGCTAATCTTAAGTTTTTTACACATTGGAGATATATACGAATTGCCTCCAATTCCCAAGAGATTCTTAGAATCACAAGTAAGCATTTAACTGGACATTATTTCCAGATTTTCATATATTATTTGGTGTTCTGGACAATTGAACTTCTTTGCAACTTAACATACCATGTGAATATTATTATTTAATTAGCTAAGTAGTTGTTTTCTTGTAATTGGATGTAGTATATCTCAATTCCAGTAAGAGTTTTTAATGTTTAGGCACCTGTAATATATGAGTATATTTAAGCTGTCCACAATAATCATCCTTTCAGAAGTATTATCCAGAGATGATTATCACTACCACGTGCTTAAGATTTTAAGACTAGAAAATTCTGAAATAAAACTAAAGCATCTTGATTTTGAAAAAAATGATTGTGTCTATATCTTGCATTCCGTTTTTAAATCCTTCCATTTTGGTTAAGTGTTTCACAAAATCCTGCAAATCTATACAGTATTGAAGAGAGGCAACACTGCAAATTCCCCTTGATAGATGGAGGGCCCTCAACTGCCAGGACATTTTTCTTTGCCTCATAGCAACTGCTCCCCCCTCTTTATCACTGTTGTGGTTAAAATAGCAAAAGGAAAATGAAAATGGGGTTCTGACACTTCCAAGAAGAAGTGGATGATCTTGATTGGTCATAGGATGTAAGGAATAGGCATCATTTAAAATCAGATCTCTTTGCCTTTCTTTCTAAAAACAAGTAAACATTTCCCTTCTAATGGCTAATAATCAATTGCTTCACAGTAGTCCAAGCTTGGCTGTGATTCTTTCTTAGTTATATCGATGATATATACACACAGGACAAGGAACAAACAGCAATTATTTTCAGGCTGGAAATTTAGTCTATTTTTGAAATGGCTTTAGATTTTATTGTTTAATGCCAAATGACAAGATTTGAATGATCCTACCTTCAGTCTCTTAAAATAATGACTTTACATTGACTTTGTTACTGTTCTTGATCTCTAGAGGGAAAGCTTTTCTTTCCTAATATGTTTCTCTAGTTATTTAAGTATGTACATGAAAAAATATATAGAAGTAAAATGGTTCAATTAATTGAAAAATAAACTTATTTTATTAAATATCCATCCTTACCATTTGCTAAAAAGCCAGCAAATAACTGTTTAAATTTTAGTTTATTAAATATTCTAGTCTTCCTTATGCCTTACAATGGTATAATAAGGATAGCTGTTATGGCATGATATGTAAGTTAGCAGAATAAAAATAGTAACACACCTTGGAGGAGGGGTGTCAGATCTTATTTGTCCAGAGCTGAACCTCTTATTTTTGTCTAAGCTTTTTTTTAAAGTACCATGTTATACTCCTTTGCTCAACTGATATAGATGTAGTTTCTATAACACAGAATTCTTATTGATGTTTACATAATAAAGTTCCAGGCCCTAAATCATATTTAATGCTACATGCAGACACTGACAGGGTAGATTGACCCCAGGAACATATTCGATGATCTCAGCCCCAGTATCTCACATAGGCCTACCCATAGTGCGTGCTTATAACTAACCATCAACACTTCAGTTCAAGCCAGTTATTATTTTTTAAATTGCCCAAGCATTATAATGGGGTCTTTTAAAATATACCTTTACTTTGTTCTTAGATCATCTCTGGAATTCTAAAAGAATCCCATCATTAAAGTGAGGTATTATTTCTGTCTTACTTGACAGAAATTTAAACAAAACACTAAACCAATCATTCTGGAGAAGTATTTGTTAATATTCCGTGAAGACAGGGATCCCAGTCTTTCAAAGGGCCAAAGAATCAGATGTTCAATTCTCTTATCGATGTCGACAATAGTAGTAATAAAAATATCACTTCATATTTTACACATTTGAGAATGTTTACAACGTATATTCACACTTAGTCTCAGTCACAAGAGATTATCTGGAAGATGGAAAACTTAAAGAGGGACTTAAAGGCGAGATAGACTGAGATATCCCTAGAATTGAAGAAATCAGTGGGGAGGATGAAGAGGACCTAAATAAGAGAAAGAGAGTCCATTGTAATAGAAGGTATTAGAAAAGAAAGAGTAAAAAGTGAAAGAGAAAGACAGCATGTGCTAGCTTAGAAGCTACAGGTTCAATTTGATCTCATCAACTCAAAGAGGATAAGCATGGATGGAAAAGTTCCAGTTGAGAGTAGCTTTTATATTCTTTCCCAAAGTCTTTATAATTCTAAAAATTACGACAATAGATAAGCTTTAGTTTTTAAAACACTTCAAATTTTTCTAGATCCTATCTAGTTTACTCTTAATTTTCCCTTGGAAAAATCTTTTCCCCTCTTCCAAGAGGTGGCACAAATACACAACAGAAGCAAGAAATGACTGCTTGTGGGAATTTCCCCACAAAAAGAGTAAAAGAACTATATATGTTTACTGCAGCCTCTGGAAATCCCTTAACCAGCAAAGGTGGCTGTCTTTGTATTCTTGATTAAATGGGTATTTGCACTGAAGTCACATACCACACAAAGGAAACAAAACAAAATAAAAATGTCCTCCGTGTTCTGTTTTTCAATCATTTGTGTGAAGGAGGTTCCTGGCCTTTATCACTGTCAGTGAAAAGTTCTTCATTGGCAGGAGACATTCCACTCACCCTGCTTCTTGTGCACAGGGAGCTTACCATGGAAACTACTTCTGGATCCATCAGACAAATATATAAACGACAAAGCTCCACGCTGGGCATTTTAGGTTTAGCGACAGGATATGAAGAAGGGCGTTTAGAATTTCTTGAGAAATTTATTGTTCTATTTGCCTTGCTCTGAATCTTAAAACCCATAAATTGAACTTGTTTAAGTTAGGAAACAACTAAGAAATGACTTTATCTAAGGAAATTCTTTCTGGCACAAAAATATATATGCCATGTTTAACACAACTTAAGTATAGTAAAACTGTGCTTTAGGTAGATTATTTTTAAATGATAGCTTCAGTATCCCCAAGATAATAAATTCATCCTAATACATGTTTGTATTTTTTAATCGGGTATGGCCTTTAATTAAGTGAGACAAACAAACAAACAAAAAGCCCCATAATTGTTTCTATGCTGACCACATTCCTTTTGTTAACAAGCTCCATCCTAAAGTGTCCTTGGCTTATTCTTAAAATGTAACATTTTGCTTTGTAACACAAACCTGAGGAAACAAGATATCATCTCAGAAAACTTTCATTGCATTTTTTGGATTCCACGTTTTGTCAAGCTCTCATTTGATTTATAACCAACCCCAGGTTACTTCCCCACGGTTTCCAGCTAGTCTGTTTCCAGCTTTCCTCTGCTCGTGGTCCACATGAACTCACCGTGAAGACCATCTGTGCTTGACACATCCACCCATGAGCAGCGTGTTTCCAGTGCTCATTTTCATTAGCAGCTCCTCACGTCAAGTCAGTTTACATAAACTCGACTGATATATTCTTGGATGGCTATGCCATCAGGATGTGCACATTTTTATACATAATGAAAACACAGTTTTTTTTCTTGGGCACTGGGAGTAAGGATATGTTCAGTCAGTTTGTAGTATGAGAAAGAAATAGATGGTCACAGATTCTATTGTAGTTGCTTCTTTAGGTTTGGCTACTTTAAAACCAAAACAAAACCTTCCTTTTAAAAATTTTTCTTACACGAAAGGACTGGGCTATAAGGCCGATTTAGACGGGGAAAATCAAAAGTATAAATATGTACCTAAAGTTAGACATTCTATTTCTTACGTATTATTAAAATGATTTTATAATGATAAATTTTGTGAAAGCTCAGATGCCAGAATGCAGGGGTTATCCAAGATCATTAGCAGGTCATCCCTGGTGAATTTAACCTTCTGGTTTTTTCTGTAATAAAAATAAAAAACTACTCAAGTTCCATGAATTATTTTAGTCATCTCTTTTATAGAACCATTAGGAAAAGTACATGAATATCTCCTTTTATGAATTACACTGTTTTTCTGTTATTGAAATTTTCTATTATTCAAATCCTAGGGAAGTCGGAGTGAGATCCTGATTCTCCAGGCAGCTGATTGATCACAAGAGCATCCCTAAGGGGTAGCATGGGGATGGGGATGAAGGGAGAAACCTACAAGTGTCTCTAACTGAATCTGAGGTAGTTTGCACTGAAGGGAGGTGGGTGGGACAGGGTGAAGGGAAGGAGGAAGGGAGGAGAAAGTGAGAGGGTGAGTGCTTGTCTCAGCTTAGGGATTCCCCATCTCCAGCCAGCCAGGGCTTTTACCAGTTGGAGGATGGTAAAGGGAAGGCAAGTGGCAGGGAGTCAGTTTCATCACCTCTGGAGTACCACACCACCAAGTGTAGAGGAGAAAGGGCTTGGTGGTTTGTTCAGATGCCAATTAAGGGACCCGAAGGCCTGTACATTTTAAAAGTCCATGTAGGGAACAAAGTCTGATATGTAGGGATCCTGTTGTGATTTGTTTTTTTGTTTGGTTGTGTGTGTGTGTGTGTGTGTGTGTGTGTGTGTGTGTATGTGATTTTGGGGGTTTTTGTTTTGTTTTGTTTTTCCAGCATCTCAGTGACTAGCAGTGTGGCTTTATCTGGTCTAAGTTGTATTTGTTTCCAAACAGCTTCATCTGTTACAATGCTAATTGGGCAGCACAGAAACACTTTGCAAGTCGAATTTTTTTAAAAGTTAACTTACCCCAGCAATGAACACAGATTGAAAATCAGTTAAAAGCCAGTGAGAACAAATGTCTCTTAAATCGAGGATGGAACAAAGGGAAGGTGGGGGCACATCCCTTAATGTCAATAGGCAGAAAGCTGCACGTGCACAATGGGCATGGGAGGGACCACCCAAGGTGACTCGTGTCAGTTCTGGAGACCGACAGAGACCTGGAGCCTGGGGGCCAGGCTAGCCACCCAGAGTTCTGCTCAGGAGGGAGCCAAGGTGGTGGGGAATGGTCATATTCTTGTTCCAAGCTACGCTGTATCCACAGCCAATTTTCTTCTTCCAAGTATGACCAAAATGTCAGGAGGTCTGCACTCCGGCTGCTGTGGCCAGCGATCACACTCTTGGTGGATCTGGAAGGCTGTTCATTGGAGTGGCTAATCACTAACTAGAGTCATGGAATTATGCAAAATGTACAACCCCCTCCACCCCCCACCACAAGACTGCCCACACACCTCACTTTATTGTCAGTAGCATGCAGGTCTCTCAAGGGGCAGAATTTTGAGAAAATTATAATCCACAAATATATGGTAAGTAACTCAGGAGCACCAGGCACTAAGCTAGTACTGAGGCTGATCTAGTCAAGTATAGTTAATAGTCCATAACAAGCAACCTGATTTTTCTTTCCAACATGCACCACATTTGGGGATCAAATAGAACCAGATCTGGGTTTGCCATCTGGCTCTCCCAATAGTGCCTAAATGACCTTGATCAAGTTTTGTAATTTCTTTGAGCCAGGGTTTCCTCATGTATAAATGGAAATAAAAATTCATACAGGGATTATGAGGATTAATGAGATATTTGTTTTGGTTGCTTGGCATAGTGCTTGCCCACAGTTAGTAGGTACTCAAGTGTGGCAATTGTTGCTGTAATAATAATGTATCTTGGGAGAAGTGAGATGCTTATGGAGAAGCTGAGTTTTACCCCCATATAACCAACTTGGAGCTGTCCTATACTAACTTTAGGATTATCAGTGACAGAGCTGTAGAGAACTTTATCTAGTTCTACCCCTTCCTTTCACAGAAGAAACGGAGGCACAGAGGGAGGTTGGGTGACTTGCCCAGCATCTCACAGAGCCTGGCTTGGAGCCCAGATTTTCCTAATGTAGGGTTCTTCTTACTTCAGCATACCCTGCATCATGAGTCCTTGAATAGCCTTTCTTCTCCTAACAGAGTAAGGGGAAAGCTGCCTATAGAAAAGGTGTCTTTAAACTCAGCAGCATTACTCAGACACTCCAGTCTCAGATTTTGGCCTCAGGCCTACTTTGCTCTCCTGGCTCTCAAATCTCTGCTGGCAATGCAAAGGCTCTCATCTCACTTTAATGGTAGGATAGAGACTCCCAAGCCCTAATGTTTTCATTTCTGGGTGGCTCTGTTGCTGCTTCAGGTTTTTTTCCCCTGGAGTCTCTGTGCTTCAGGATTCATTCTTTCTAGCATGTGAGTTCCTGAAGTAGCATTTGAATCCTCTCAATTCAGCCAGAGCATCTTGTAGTAAAAGTTCTCTCTCGTTAGCACGTGTGAAACACCACATAAGAACAGAATCAGACGCATTGGAAACAAATGCACTTACCTGGAAAGGACCAGAAACAGGCAAATGTTGACTGCTTTAGAAAGGCAAAGGAAAATGCTTTGAGCTTTTTTTTTTTTTTTTTTTTAAGGTATAATTCTTCGCCTACTGAGAAAATTAGAGAAAAGGGAAAAGAGAATGGCAAATTAAAGGAAAGCTGTGTCACATCATTGTCTTCCTGGATTTACCTGGAAGACAATGTGAATGTGGTGGGTGGGGGACAGGCTCCTGCATCCCTCATCTGTGCCAGCCCTACAGTGGCTGGAGAGTCCCCATTCTGCAGAGAGAAGCTAGCTGGCTCCCAGTCTGTCCTCAAAATCAAGGTCATATTATTTTGTTTTCCAAGTTCCTTTAGCTCTTACAGTCAAAATCATCTGATTTTCCTCTTAATTGCCTTCTGAGCATTTCAAATGTGCTAATTCCATCTTCCTAATTAGACTGTAAGCCTCTCCAGGATAGGCACTGTGTGCTCTGTATTTCTTCTGTATTCTTGAAAGAAAAACTTGATTTTTGGGGGGTTAACACAGAATACATTGGTAAATATGTGACAAATGGGCTTTTTGAGTGTAAAAATGCCTCATTAGAAGGGACATGTTTCTTCTTTGCCATAGTGCATCTAATCAGATAAAGGTATGGACTGGGATTAACTTCCCACCCAAGCGAAGTGGTATTAAAGCATTTCCCGCCAGAGGTATTGTGGAATGCCATGGGCAAGGGGTGTGTTGAAAGAGATCACCCTTTATTTGAAAGAAATGGGAGTCCTTCTGGTCTCAGATCAAGTTAAAAGGGATTTTGCTGTTTATACTCCGAAGTTCTTTTCCCTTGATCTGTATAAGACACAATAGATGATAACAGCTGATTGAGAATAGTTAGTCTAGTGTATAAATATGTAAACATGGGTAAGTATGTATTTAGACAATTTAAAAGTGTGTCTCATTTACCCAATTATAAACAGCTGTCTGAGAGCAATTACGATTTATCATGTAAATGCTTATTTGCATAATTCAAAATATGAATATTATTTGCTTCATAAAGACTGTAAATAAAAGGCAACCCGAACTTTCTCATGCTTAGAGTTTTATGCTAAGTTTTTGCCATACAGAGAAAAAGAGCGTTTTGTTGAAAGCAGTATTTAATTTTGATAGTTCTAGCAGGTCCAAATAATCACTAATTTAATAAGAAAAGAGCAAGACTTTGAAAGGTGGTTGGCTGAGAAATAATAAAAGAGGTCATACTACTCTGCTGCTTTTACTCCTGAAAATTTTCTGTGTAAAGCAATTCTGCTGACGAATTGTTTTACAACTGCTTTCACTGAATGCAAATGTTTAATGGTGAATTCACTTGCATATTTTATGTACTACAATTTGATATACACATAATTCTTCAATAATATATCATTATTTTTTAATTGTATAATTACCAAGTGAGTATGCTTCCAAGTGTATTAAGGAACAACTCTCCTTAATATATAACTATTCTACATTTATGAAAGCAAGTTATAAAATGTGGACATCAAAACTTCCATTCAGGTTTACCTAATATATTAATTTTCCAAGGGCTGTCATAACCAATTACTACAAACTTAGTGGCTTAAAACAACAAAAAATGTATTCTCTTACAGTTCTGGAGGCTAAAAGTCTGAAATCAAGATGTCGGCAGGGCTCTAGAGAAGAATCTTGTCTTGCTGCTTTGTAGTTTCTAGTGGTTGCTGGCAATCCTTGGTATTCTTAGCATGAAGCTGCCTCATTCCCATCTCTGCCTCCATTGTTCACATGGCCTTCCTCTGTGTGTGTTTGTGTCTCTGTATGGCCTCTCCTTGGATTTAGGGCCCACCCTAATCCAGTATGACATTATCCAAACTAATTACATCTTCAAAGAACCTATTTTCAAATAAGGTCAACATTCACAGGTACTGGAGGTTAGTACTTGAGAGCTCGTTTAGAGGTTCTAGCAGGGGAGTGCAGCTAGTCATAAACCCTTGACTGAAGACAGGTCCTCCTCTATTGGGTATGGTCCTCCTCTTCCACTGAGTGCACAGCTTCAGGAGGGACACACATGGAACAGTGAGGGAGGAAAGGGACACCCGCCTAGCCAGCCAGATCAGCCAAATCCACCCTAGTGATCAATGGGGTGACAGCTGTCACAGCCAGATTGCCCTCATATCCGGTTAGTACTTGAATATATATTTTGGGGGGACACAGTTCATCACACTACACCCAGTGAGGACTAATATGCAAAGTACGGTTCCTAACTACTAAAGGATTCTGAAATATTGTCTGAATTGCCATTCCCCTAAGAGTAATTTGTATTTTGCATGGTTTTTATATTATAGACAGAATATTATATTACATAATTTTAAAAATTGAGAATTCCTTTGTAATAAAGGTATATATAATATTATCATATGGTATATTAAAGAAATATTTATTCAATTTCCATTATAGGAAAACAATGTGAAGGGGATTCTCTCTTAACCAGACTATCCATTCTTAACCAGAGCACCTCATTCTTCCATTATTTTTGACAACAAAAAGTTCATGATCTTTCCTTGATATTAGTGCTTTTCTTCAAGGATCTGTTGCTATTTTTGGTATACTAATTGTGGACAAGCCTTCCCAGGTGGATTCAATCTTTCTCTGCAGCTCTTCCTTGAGGTTAGGGGTCAATTCCTGACTCCTTTATACATTTTTTTTCATGTTTTCAGAAAAGGAACTACTGTATGTTACCATGGTAAACATTTTATAAAAGGTAGCTCATTCAGACCTCATAACCTTGGGAGTTATGTTTTATGATAGTCTCATTTTATGGGTGAAAATACTGATACCCTGAAAGGGTCCAAAATCAGACAGCCATTAAGTGGTAGACACAAGATGTGAATCCACATATGCCTGTTGCTAAAGCCCCTCTCTTTGGAAGAAAGCACAGTGTGCCTGGCTGCATGCTGTTACTTCCTGGGCTCTCGTACTCCCCGACCTGTCCAGGAATGTTTTCTGTGCCGCTTCAGCTCTGCTGATTTTGCCATGTTTCTGCACCTCTACTGAGTGACTTCTGGTTCCTAGGAAGCATTGCCCACATGACTGGGTTAAGAACTTGGAAACCTGCATTGATCAGGAGAGAGCAGAATGTATCATCTCTTAAAAGACCCTTATCAATGGGTTCCTTGTGAAAATCAAAGCAGGGTACCACAGTAGTTCATATGTGAAAAAACAAGCCCTAGAGTCTGAGCACAGGCATAGGGGTTGGTTTTAGAGTTTGGTGAGCAAGATCAGAAATCTGAATGAGTTAATCAGGACTAAGATGCAGTGGCAGTTTAAGGGCCTATCCCACACCAGGAGGTGGCTGATGATACTGATTAACCAGGAAAGAAGTGCTGAAAATCTCATGCCTAAATTTGCAGCTATCATGGCCCAAAAGTATTGCATCCTCTCTCAGCTTAATTTGGGTAACGTTTTGCTTCTCTGCCTTTATCATGCGACTTCTCTGCTTCTCACTAGTTTTCTGAAAGCAGTTGAGTGGTTGTCTTATGTATGTGTCCTGTCAGCCCAACTAGACAGCAAGCTCATTGAGGAGGGTCTTTCTCCTACTACATTTTGTGTTACCAAAGGTGCTCGTGGAGCTCTTCATTCAATCCCCAGTCCTTGACACTCAGGGAGGGCTACATCTGATGAACACAAATGAATGGGAAATTTGTAATTGACAAGCTGGGTGAGTAATTTTTTCCAAGTTGAAAATTTTGCTTTGCTATGAAAAGACATGCTTTGTTCACACCCAACATCTTGTCGCTCAATAAAAGATCTCACAGCCTTTATAATTTATGTGATGCTCAAATGCCAGATGACTGGTTCATGGCCAATTCCATTGTTAGGAGATACATGCAGAATTGGTATTTAGTGCTGTTTAGCTGAGATTCCTGCTTCTTTGTCAGGATCTTTTTTTCTTTTCTCTTTTTTTAGTTCTAGCCATTGACAATCGAATCTGATGTGGAACTCAGACTTCTGTGACTCTAAAATCATATATTCTAAAACCTAGGCTGAAAACAAACGCACTTCAATGCTTTGTTTTCTAAGTGTCCTTTCCTTTTCCAATCAGAAAAAAAAGATGAATTAGCATTTTATGGTGTCTATTAGTGGGGGACCAGTCAGGTCATAAAAGTGCACCAGGCAGAGGAATTTCCACACTGGTGTAACAATGAACTTCCTCTGGGTCCTAAACTGTCCCAAGTGAAACGAGAATCAAGAAACTCCCGCTTGAATCACCATCCTGGCTCAACAGTGTCTAAAGGTTATGACCTTTACCAGAAAACCAGGTAGAGCAGGTCCTGCCCCTCTCTTGTCACCTGTCGATTCTGGGGTTACAGAAAGGGCTAGCTTATAGGGACCTATCTCCTCGTGTTACATTTAGCTGAGCTTCAGCTGCATGTACCACTTTCCCTAATGTTTTTCAATTATTTATTTCCTTTCTGGTTCTCATAGCAAGCCTATGGGAGAGGTTTATTTTGATAGCTCATTTATAGATAAATCGAAGCTTTGGTTGCTAAATATGGCATTCCAATTTAAGGAGAATCAGTCATTTACCCACTGAGGGCTGCTAATTTATTATTACTAGCTTATTCACCTATTTGTTGAATCAGCAAGCATTTATAGCATGCTTGCTATGTGACGGTAGCTGTGTTCTGAAAAATGATATTTGCTTAATGTTTTGCAGTTTCTAGAACATAAAATATGCTATTGTCTTTGTTTCGTTTGCGGTTCTTTTAGGTAAGTATGATTATCTCTGTTTTACAGATGTAAAAGCTGAGGTTCAGATCCCAAAGACTTGATGCAGGTAGGACCGTCGTTCAAGATTAAGCTAGGATGAGTGCAGAAGATTATCAAATACCTTCTGTTGGCACTGTTCTGAAGACTCAATAATGAAAAATGACCCAGCCCTGGATTTATGAGGCTAAATGTTTAATATGCACATAATCATAGGGTTTGCATATAACTTAGTATCCAAACGGGACCTTTTTTGTTGTTGTTGTTGAGACAGAGTCTTGCTCTGTCGCCCAGGCTGGAGTGCAGTGGTGCGATCTTGGCTCACTGCAACTTCCACCTCCGGGGTTCAAGTGATTCTCCTGTCTCAGCCTCCCGAGTAGCTGGGATGACAGGTGTGCGTTACCATGCGTGGCTAATTTTTTTACTTTTTTTTTTAGTAGAGACAGAGTTTCGCCATGTTGGCCTGGCTGGTCTCGAACTCCTGACCTCAGGTGATCCACCAACCTTGGCCTCCCAAAGTGTTGGGATTACAGGCGTGAGTCACTGTGCCTGACCAGGATACTTTTAAGAAGGAAAGGAGGTAGGTACTATAATTATAACAGGACAACTGGTGTCATCTGGGATGGATGGTTATTCTACTCCCTGCCACTTTCCCTTATCTCTCAGCCTGTTTGCTCAAGGAGACAACAATGAATCTCTAGAGACATTTGCCTTCACAGAACTGGGCATAACCAACTAGTGTGAAGGTAGGGGCACAGACAGATTGAGGCAGAGGGGCAGGAATGAGGGAGCATGGAACAGTATCTGGACTGACTTATGTACTAACCAAGTTGCCAGAGATGAACCCAAATGAAGGGACGGGGGCTGCTATGGAGGTGGGCAGCTGGGCTGTGGCTGTCTCCCTGTTGCTTAGTTGAAGCTGCAAGAGGAAAGAGGGAAAATGAGCAGACTGTCTCTCCTCTGGACAAAATCAGCCCATCTGGTTTCACATTCGCTTCCAGTGAAGCCCAGCCCTGCAGTGCGTGAAAATTCCCAAGATCTTTTTCAGTTTTTTTTTGGGGGGGGAGGGGGGCTGGGTGTCTTTTTAATACACTCCCCACCCCCAACCAGGAATTTATTCTCTAGTGAAACAGTTTAATATTATTAAAAGAATTATTCCCATGAGGTGAGCGTAAACCGTTAAAAATCCCAGAGGGCAGGGAAGATATCTGTCTTTGGTTGTTGACCCAAGGCTGAACGGAAGCAGTTGTGTTATTTAAGACTGTGTGTCCAAGATTGAGACTGAGTTTGTTTGCTGTCAAGCGGGAATTGTGTCTCAGAGCTGGAAGGAATTTGAGGAGATTATTGGTTCAGCCTCCTGCCTCTAGACAGTTAACTCCAAAACTCCAAACATACTTCTAAGGGACTTATGGGTGTGAGGGTAAAGTACATCCTTCTCAGAATGTTGCAGAAGGTCTTCATGAGCTCACCCTGTCTCCTGCCAATCACACATCTCCCACCACTTCCTTACTTGAACTCAGTGCTTCAGCTATAATGATGATAATGATGATATCGAACATCTTTGGAGCTCTTAGGATGTACCCCACACGTTTCTAACATTTTACCTGTGTTATCTCAATTACTCTTCACAGTCCTATGAAGTAGTTCCTGTTAGTAGTATTTTTATGGATAAGGAATCTGAGGTAACAGAGAGGTTAAGTAGCTTTTCTAAATTCAAATGGCTCCAAGACTACCCAGGAGAGTGTGCAGTTCACTCCAGGATATTTCCTCTGTGTAGACCACCATCACCTGAGGTCTTGTGTCTGGTGTACTCATCACCTTGGAAGCCAGAGTTTGCATTCTGTGCCTCCTGAAAAGCTGGCAGTGCCTCCAGAGGCTGAGTCTTTTATGCTAAGTTTGGGCATTCACAGCGCCCTATGCATCCAGTCAAGGGGGCATGAGCTACCGTGGTTTTCCTGGCTACCTCTCCCTCTATGCTGAGAACAACTTGAGGCTAAAAACTATTTTTTATCTCTTGTTTCTAGCGCATGGCCCACTTAGTCGGACTTCAAAACATTTAACCCCAAAAACTGTGTGTAGTCAGAAAGCAAATCAATAAAAGCTGGTGACCTACCTTTTCAGTGCTGTGGTGGGGACATGTCTAACCCATAGGGAGCACCAGCAAACTAAAGAAATGCAAGGCAAAGGGGGCTGTGGGTCTGGTTTGCAATTTTAATTTATAACTGGTGTTTAGCAACAACTATTTTAGACAATAGGCCATTCAAGACTAAATTGATTATAGAAATGAGATACTGGTTGTGGAAAAATACCCTAAAAAGTACTATGATGCCTGCTGATTCGTGTGTCTGTTGGCGTCAACTTCCAGGAAAACAACTGGCCAAAATGTATCAAGGGCCTTAACAATGTAAATAGCTTTTGACTCTTTTACTTCTAGGCTTTTTTCCCAAGAAAAAATTGAGAAATGTATAGAAATATGTATGCATAAGAATTGCAGCAGTAATTAAAAGAATGGAAAGTTTGAAGCAATCTAAATTCCAGGCTTAGGGTATAGTAAAGATAATTGTGTCACCATGAAATGAGGAACTCTATGTAGCTATTTGCATTATGTGTGTACAAAACATTTGTAATGACACAATAAAGGCTTAAGATATGGTAAACAAACAAAGCCCTAGAATATAAAATTCTATCAATAGCATGATTTCAACAATGTAACAAGTGTATGAAAACTAGGAGGAAAGGCCAGGTGCAGTGGCTAATGCCTGTGGCGTGGTGGCTCACACCTGTAATCCCAGCACTTTGAGTCTGAGGTGGGCAGATCACTTGAGCTCAGAGCTCAAGACCAGCCTGAGCAACATGGCAAAACCTTGTCTTTACAAAAAATACAAAAATTAGCCGGGCATGGTGGCACACACGTGTAGTCCCATCTACTGAGGAGGCTGAGGTGGCAAGATTGCTTGAGCCTGGGAGGTTGAGGCCTCAGTGAGTTGAGATCATACCACTGCACTCCAGCCTAGGTGAGAAAGCAAGACTCTTTCCAAAAAAAAAAAAAAAAAAAGGAGGAAGAAAACTAGTAGGAAATGTACTAAAATGTTAATAGTGATCTCTGATTGGTGAAATTGAGTATTTTTTTTTTTTCTGTATAGGTTCTTTTACTTTCCAGAGATTACACATTGAGTGCATATTATTTAAGTATTTGGGAAACAAATTTAGGTTTTTAAAATACTGTATGAGATATAAGATAAGTGAACAACGCTGAAAGATAACATGTAATTTCTTAATTAAACAAAAAATACCATCAAGATTTAAAAATGAATGAAATTAGATGAATATAAAAATAATTATAATAAGTAGAAGCTGGATGGTTTCATGGGGAGAAAAATGCATATTAGATATCAGAAGATTTAGTTAATAATATTTATGTTAGTAATTGTATAACCCAGGAGAGTCATGTAGCCTCTCTTTGTCTATGTTTCTTCATTTGTAAAAACAAATTGGTTGAATCAGATGATTCCTGAGTTTCCTCCTGACTCTAAAAAGTCAGGAGGACTTTATGCATTGATTTATCCACTATTTATCTCAGATGCATAACACCCTAATTTATAGATAATCTGGCAGCACTGCACGAGGTGCTGAGTGCGAATTTGTGGAAACCGCCAAATCAACATCAGCAGAAAGTTAGTGACTAATTCCTGAGCTTAGATTTAGTGCAATTGGGAGTAGAAAGAAGAAATTTTAATAGGGAAAGAATGGTGGGAAAGGCGTGGAGCTGCTGGGAGAGGCCATGGGCTGGGGAGGAAGACCTTTGTTTTGACAGAAATCAGCTCTGGCCACACGATAGGCAGTCAGGGTCGGAGGTTGATTGATCAGTGGTTGAGAGGCTGCCTGACAACTCACCAAAGGAAGAGCAAAGGCTAGAGGGGGTCTGACCTTTCACCCTCAGGCTCCCAGCACAGACTCCCTGGAGACTCAGTGTCTTATCACCCTGTGGAGTTAGAAGTGAATGACTAAAAACAAAGTTCCACCCAGGACATGGGCAAAGGGTAGGTTTTTGACTTGTGCTTAAAAACAAGTGAAAGAAATGTTTTTGACTAGAAAGCAAGCAAGCTTTGGGCCCAAACTATAAAAGGGGGTAAAGAGAAAAGAGGAGGACTGTGAAATTCAGGAAGCGCTGTGTCCTAATCCTGGCTTTGCTGTGGTCTTGCTGGGTGGCCAGCAAGCCATTCACCCTTTTGAGCCTCATTTTCCTCTCAGTAAAATGGAGAGAGCAATGCCTGTTCCCCACATCATGGAGGGTGTTAGGAGAACCACAGATGCTGTGAGTGAGTGTGCTGTATAAATCCAGTGTCCAAAGGCCTATTCGTCTTTCTCCTTGAGCCGGGTGGAACTGGTGGGGGTGCGATGAAGGGAAAGAGAGATACAGAGACAAAGAAGCAGAGAGACATCAGTGTCCTCTCTGCGAGGTACCTGTTCCTCTCATCACACTCCCAGATACAGCAGATGTTATATAATGGAAATCCTGCAGCCTAAATCGAACTGCAAATTCTCTAAATACTTCTGAGTCAAAGAGCATTGAAATTCTAGGAGAAACATTGGATACTTGGAATACTCACATCCTTTTCTCATGTGACAAATAGGAACACTATTCATTTCCTTCTCAATGTCATTATAATTTGCAGCTAGTTTTAGTTACTGTAGCACTTTATTTTGCCTGTAAAGGCTTCTAGTTTAGTGCTAGAAGTGTTGTAGTGCAGTGATGTTTGATTAAAATGTCATCAAGAGCAGAGGCTACATCTTTGGCTCGCCTTGTATTTTTAGAGGGACAAAAAGGAAATTCAAGTTTATGTTTCACTTAAAACTCAGCACATGCCTTCCTGTAACAATTATTCCCAGAATTGCATTTAGCTGTGTCCCTTCAGGTGCAGCAGGCCTGTTTGTAAACTCTGGCGTGATACAGGAACATGCTGGGTGGAGGTATTGGTGTATCCTTTTAGGGACAATAATGGCAGCTCATTTCTATTTATGGATTTAATTGATTCTAATCCAGAAGGCTCTGAAATCATGATTCTGTGCCAAATACCTCCCACAAAGGAGGATGGTTTGAAGACCCCTGTCAATCACCCAGCAGAGGCGATGAGTGCCCAAGTATTTCTGATTTTAAGGAGCCCCTTTAAGCCAATCAATTGCAGAGATTCTTACTTCCCCTGAGCCATGCATGTATTAATTCTATAAGAGCACCTTTCCCATTAAAGAAACTGATTGCAAACTTCCCTTCTAATTGTGAAAATGCTCACCTGCTCAAAGTAAACAGTTTGGGAAAGATACCTTCATTTTGCTTCAGTTATTTAAGTGAGGAGAGTGGAGTTTCAGCAGAAGTTTAAGAAGTTAAAATTCAACACCCATTCACAGTCATAAATACAGCAATTCATGCCTGAAGGGAGCACAGAAACTACAGAATAATCTTGTCGCCATCAGCCACTTTTCAGGGACCTCAGTTTTTTGGTTGGTTACAATCCCTAAGTAAGGGAGTAGTGGGAAGGCAAGTGTAAGGAGACATTGAGCTCATTATTGAGAAGGAATGATTATCAAAAACTGGAGACACTTTGGGAGGCCGAGGCAGGCGGATTGCTTGAGCCCAGGAGTTCAAGCAATATGGCAAAACCACGACTCTATTAAAAAAAAATACAAAAATTAGCCAGGTGTGGTGGTGTGTGCCTATGGTCCCAGCTACTTGGGAGGCTAAGGTGGGAGGATCACCTGAGCCCAGGGAGATTGAGGCCGCAGTGAGCTGTGATTGCACCATTGCATTCCAGCCTGAGCGATAAAGTGAGACCCTGTCTCGAGAAAAAAAAAAAAATGGAGACAATCTAAAAATGCAGAAGTTGGAGAATTATTAAATTAATTATTGATTTTGGTATAATTATATGCTGGAATACTATGTAATCATTAAAAACCATGTTTTATGAAGAACGTATAATGAGATGGGAAAATGTTCATGACACACTATGAAATGTAAAAAGTAGTATGCGAAATTGTGTGTATAATTTTTTAACAATTGGTATCCTAGAGAAAAGACTGCTTTGCAGCAGTTCAAAAGAATGAAGTAAACTTAACTACTCATGTGGGAAAATTCCTAAAGCATGACATTACATCATGAAAGCACATTTCAAAATAATGTACAGCACAATCCTATTTGGGGGGAATGTTGGATGGGGAAGGTTGAAAGGGGCTATAATGTCCTCTATATAATTTGAATTTCTGTAATAAGAATCTGTTTGTATATTATGAAATTTAAGATCACATTTTAAAAATTTAGAGTGGGAGAAAGAAGGGAGAAAAAATACTGGAAATGACTACAGTATTCACATCCCTTCCATTCCATATTGCCTTTCTAGTCACGTGTCCCTAGGTGCTATGGGGTCAGGTTCCTGTGAGGGAAAAAGGAGGGGAGAGCAGGGGCTGGGAGATGGCGTGGTTGTCTTTATTAAGAAACAGTACTTCATGTCCAAAACACCAAAAGCAATGGCAACAAAAGCCAAAATTGAGAAATGGGATCTAATTAAACTAAAGAGCTTCTGCACAGCAAAAGAAACTACCATCAGAGTGAACAGGCAACCTACAGAATGGGAGAAAATTTTTGCAATCTACCCATCTGACAAAAGGCTAATATACAGAATCTACAAAGAACTTAAACAGATTTACAAGAAAAAATCAAACAACCCCATCAAAAAGTAGGCAAAGGATATGAACAGGCACTTCTCAAAAGAAGACATTTATGCAGCCAACACACACATGAAAAAATGCTCATCATCACTGGCCATCAGAGAAATGCAAATCAAAACCACAATGGGATACCATCTCACACCAGTTAGAATGGCAATCATTAAAAAGTCAGGAAACAACAGGTGCTGGAGAGGATGTGGAGAAATAGGAACACTTTTACACTGTTGGTGGAACTGTAAACTAGTTCAACCATTGTGGAAGACAGTGTGGTGATTCCTCAAGGATCTAGAACTAGAAATATCATTTGACCCAGCCATCCCATTACTGGGTATATACCCAAAGGATTATAAATCATGCTGCTATAAAGACACATGCACATGTATGTTTATTGTAGCACTGTTCACAATAGCAAAGACTTGGAACCAACCCAAATGTCCAACAATGATAGACTGGATTAAGAAAATGTGGCACATATACACCATGGAATACTATGCAGCCATAAAAAAGAATGAGTTCACGTCCTTTGTAGGGACATGGATGAAGCTGGAAACCATCATTTTGAGCAAACTATCACAAGGACAGAAAACCAAACACCACATGTTCTCACTCATAGGTGGGCATTGAACAATGAGAACTCTTGGACACATGGTGAGGACCATCACACACCGGGCCCTGTCATGGGGTGGGGGAAGTGGGGAGGGATAGCATTAGGAGATATACCTAATGTAAATGATGAGTTAATGGGTGCAGCCCACCAACATGGCACATGTATACATATGTAACAAACCTGCACGTTGTGCACGTGTACCCAAAAACTGAAAGTATATAAAAAAAAAAAAGAAACAGTAAGGCTCTGAGTTCAGCAATGGAAATCAGGCACCAGGCCAGCAAATCAGGTGGTGAGGGAGACAGCACCATCAGCTGATTTTAAAAGGTCTGCAGCTTCTTTGCAGCTGTGGTTCACAACACAATCTATTTAGGAATTAAACAGATGGATTCCAAGGCCTACCCCGAGAGACTGGGACCAAGGATGTCTGGAGTGTACCCACAAATTCTGCATTTTTACAAGAAAATGTCCCATGTCATTCTTAGACCATTTCTTGAAGCACCTTGCTCTAGAGATGATAAGGAGCCAGAAATCAAATGCGTGAAGTGCCACCCTCTCCCTTCTCAATTTACCAGACCGCCCTCTGAATGCTTTTTTCTTTCAGAGTGGTTCATTATGTTCATTTAAAGCCAGTTCCACTAGATTAGTATGTTTGGTGGGGGTTGGAGGCAGGTAAGGTCATGCAGCGTGACTGGGCTGGGGAGAGTAAAGAAGAGGCAGAGGTGGCCCAGTGAAAAGGAGGGGCAGCTGCCACAAGAATGTTGTTAAGCTTAAAAATCAATAAAAATGCTCTTCTCTCCAGGTATGACCCTGCCAAACATATGACACAACTGGAAGACCTGTTAAATAACAGTCATTGTCACAGGATTATAGTCAAAATAATTATAGTATCTGATAAGTGAGCACCCAGGCCCTGATCATTAGCTTAGCTAAGAGAAAATGCTGTCAGTCTGCCTTGGGTCAAGAAGAACTGCAATAATCAGGTTTCTTCCTGAAGGGTTTGTCCAGTTTCCCTAGAAAGCAAAACGAAGGTCCTATGTCGCCACCTAGAGTCCAAAGCCTGGAAGTATTGGCTGAGGAAATTCAAATAGATCCGGCTCATTGGAGATCTCTGTCCAAGTTTAATGACAGCACCGGCTTCAGGCTTACCAATCCAGTCAGTCCTTTTTCATAGGACAAGAATATGAGTTTGAACTCAAGTCTCCATTATGACCAGATTGTTTTAGGATGAAAAAAAGTTGGCATTCTTAAACCTTGACTAAATGTGTAAGAGTTCAAGTGTGTGGGGGATGGTCAGGGAAGTAGGGTTGGTCTTAACTGCTGCTCTCTACCTGGATGACCTTAGGAAAATCATTTAACCCCTTAAAGACTGTTTCTCTGTTATAAAATGATAGGACAGAACTAACTTGTCAACACTACAAGCCTTCTAAGACCTCAAATTTTGTGATTCTATAGTAAACTAGAGTCTATTTAAACCGAGCCATTAGTCAAAAAAAAAAAAAAAGGCACAGTATGTAAAAAATATTGGTACCCTGAATTTGTGAATGTGACTTTCTTCATCAAGGAACCTATATCTTTTCTGCCCTCTAGAGCTCTGCCTGAAAACTGCATGGATTTTATATAAAAATCCTCCAAATGAGAGGCTTCCTTGCTTAAGAGTTGGAGGCTGGCAGCTCCATGAAGTTCAAGGCACACTTTTGTTCTGCAGCATATTCTTCATTCCTTCTATTCTTGCTTCATACACATATTCTGATACAATTCAGTTCAATTCAACCATTTATTCCAGAGTTCTCTCCCAACTCTCCCTGTTTATGGCTTTCAGCTGTTTGAAGTAAAATCCACACCATTTATTTGGACAAAGGGGCCAATTTTTCTAAAGGATCTTCTGCTCCATAAATGTTTTTCCTCTGATTAAGTTGTACAGTGGCACTAAGGAGGATTATCTGTTCTAATTTCTGGAGCCAATGCTTGTAAAAAGTAATCCCAGCTTCTTTTCTTGTGTCACTTCCAAGAAATGTGTGCACCAAAGCCCCCGCCCGCTGTATGACAGAGTAAGAACTCTGCTACAAAACTGCCAAAGAAACACAGGACAGCTAAGTGTAAGTTTAACAGCCTAGTGAGCTGTTAAACTTACACTAGTGAGAGGAGCCACATTTTGAGTCTTTCTTTTGGAGTTATGTTTTAGTTCTGAATTACCGCAGAACCATAGCCAAGCTGTGATCCATCCGATCTGCTGGGCTGTACCTAAAGCAAAGTTTCGAGAAAAGTGGCAACAGTGCCTTTTGCCAGCTGCATCTTTCTTAACTCTGGCAAAATCTCCATTTTAGGCAAGAACAGTACTGTTCAGTTGGGATTTTCCCTGAGTGGGACTCCTCCTGCTGTTGATAAAACAACAGTGTGAAACAGCAGTGATCTGTTTCAAAATTTATGCCAGAAATAAAAGTGGGATAGTGACCTATTATAAACCCAAATACTGAATGAGATCAGTTTGAAGATGCCTAGAATTTACGCAAAGGCCCTTTCAGGATTACTGCTGAAGAGGAGGCCCAAGACTCCTTACCTAATCTATAGCCTCATTCAAAGTCTAATCCACTCCAGGGTCAGACCCCTGCAGAGTGTGAAGCCAGGCACAGTGGAGACCACACAAAGTTTTTTAGGCACCAGTGCATCAAGAAATGAAGGAAGCATCAGAGAAAATATTTGCAGAGCTGTAAATGTTCTTTACTGTTTCTAGTCATAAAAGGACCTTACAATGTTTAATCTTAAGAAATTATTAGTATTTATTATAACTCTAAAAGGACTGCCCTTAAATTTGGCTTTTATTACTTACCCATAATGCAGCTAGTGGGTCAGCCTAATCATAGTAGTTTCCATTTTTCAGCTAAGCATATTTTAAATCCTCAGGGAACAGAAACTATCAAGTAACCTAGCCTGTTTGCAAGAACCTGCTCTCTGTTGCTGGCCATGTGTTCTGCTTTTATGCCCCAGTCCCACCCCCAACCCCACCAGAGTCCTGGCCCATTTTCCCTGGCACGGTCTAGGGGAACATCCTTCATTCTACTCAGCTAGACCATGCTGACTTCAGGAGAACAGACTGGAGAAGCAAGCCATGGACACAATCTGTCTGTGCAGAAAAGAGTGGAATTTGAACCCTCTGTTGACTGTATCTTTGCATTGTGCGTTACCTAAAACCTTGTTCCAAGCATCAGGAAATGTAGGTTTGTAGCAGACTTGGAAGAAGAGGCAGAGATAGAGATACCTTATGGCAGACACTGCTGCTACTTGTGATTTTTCCAGGTCTCCTCTTCTTCCAAATGCTTATGAAGATTGCCCCTCCCCATTCCCTCCAAGTCAAGTGACTTGCTTTGGCCAATAAAATGTGAGAGGACATGAAATCTATCTCTTTAGTGTGGAAACATTCAAGAGTTGTGTAAGATTCTTAGTGCCCCTCATCCCCTGCATGGGAGACCATGTTAATGCAGCAAGGCTACAAGATCAAAGTAACCTGGAATGTTGAGCCACCATGCAAAGGACAGCTTACTAGAGCATTGATGGGACCCATAAAGGACTTCACATGAGTGAGAAGTAAACCCTTGCTGTTTAAGCCACTGATGTTCTGGCACTGTTTGTTACTGCAGCGTACCTAGGCTCTCTTGATCAGTACATGCCTTCATGCTCCTGTAAAGTGAGCCTCTTCAGTCTGAACATCATTCTCCTTGACAAGGGAGACAGAAACAATCAGAAGTTCATATTTCTCTCTGATCTTGAGAAACATGACAACAGCCCAACTATTGGGCTTACCCACATCTTGCTCCAAAAATTATTTCCTAGCTCTAAAAATTAAATTCCCTTTTAGCGATCTTCTGTACTTTTTGCCAGACTTGCCTCACTGGGGATATCAGCTTTTCCAGCCCTGCCATTACATGTCTGTGCCACCCTCTTAAGTTTGTACTTAATATTATGTCTCCTCTTGCTGCGACTTTCCATCATTTGTACATGTTTTCAAGTCTGGGCTCACCAGGGTTTCCTTGTGAACTCCCCTTTATTCTGTGTCAGGGTCTGAACAACTGCATTTTTTAAAGTTCTCAACATTCTTAAGAAGCCTCCCTTTTTTTTTCTTTTTTTTTATTATTATTATACTTTAAGTTTTAGGGTACATGTGCACAATGTGCAGGTTAGTTACATACGTATACATGTGCCATGCTGGTGTGCTGCACCCATTAACTCGTCATTTAGCATTAGGTATATCTCCTAGTGCTATCCCTCCCCCCTCCCCCAACCCCACAACAGTACCCAGAGTGTGATGTCCCCCTTCCTGTGTCCATGTGTTCTCATTGTTCAATTCCCATCTATGAGTGAGAACATGCGGTGTTTGGTTTTTTGTCCTTGCGATAGTTTACTGAGAATGATGATTTCCAATTTCATCCGTGTTCCTACAAAGGACATGAACTCATCATTTTTTATGGCTGCATAGTATTCCATGGTGTATATGTGCCACATTTTCTTAATCCAGTCTATCATTGTTGGACATTTGGGTTGGTTCCAAGTCTTTGCTATTGTGAATAGTGCTGCAATAAACATACATGTGCATGTGTCTTTATAGCAGCATGATTTATAGTCCTTTGGGTATATACCCAGTAATGGGATGGCTGGGTCAAATGGTATTTCTAGTTCTAGATCCCTGAGGAATCGCCACACTGACTTCCATAATGGTTGAACTAGTTTACAGTCCCACCAACAGTGTAAAAGTGTTCCTATTTCTCCACATCCTCTCCAGCACCTGTAGTTTCCTGACTTTTTAATGATTGCCATTCTAACTGGTGTGAGATGGTATCTCATCAAAAAGTGGGCAGAGGATATGAACAGACACTTCTCAAAAGAAGACATTTATGCAGCCAAAAGACACGTGAAAAAATGCTCATCATCACTGGACATCAGAGAAATGCAAATCAGAAGCCTTCCTTTTTAGAGCTTCGTGTGATAGAACTATGCCTTTTTTTGCCCTTTTATGCATTAAAATCAGTTTTCCTTAAGAATAGGACCATGGCTCCAAAACTGTGTGCTGAGATGCCCTGGACACTACAGCAAAGTTTGGAGGAAAACACAAGGATACCAACATCTATCAGATATGGTAAGAACTACTGGCTCAAGATGGTTTACAATTTCAGCATTAGATCACATTCTATTCCTTTTGTCGACATCATATCTTTGGTTGGGTTTTCAGTGATTGCTGTCATAAAAAGCAAGTGTCATGTGGAAATCAATGTAGAGCAAGAAATGAGTGTGGCAGTGTCCTATATGAGTCCAGAATTTGAGAAGTTGTACAGTGCCAAACATGTACACTTAGTAATTGTTGGTTATTTAAAAATGAAATAAATACATTTTCTTTCAATTAATGTGTAACATTTTTCCCAAGAATGACTAAGTTGTTAGAGCATAAATACTTCTTAAGTTGTTTGATCCTAAATATTTATAATACATGAAACTGAAAAAATCATTGAGACATTGAGGGCATTATGAATTAAGAAAATGTGGTAACCTCTGGTCTAGGGACACATCAAACCATACTCAATCTTGTCCTGTTATGTCCTCAAAAATACACATTCAGTCGTTTCAAAAATCAGTGCTGGGAGAACTAGATAGCCACATGCAAAATAACAGTGTTGGACCTTTACCCACATGTAGAAATTAACTCAAAGTGGATCAAAGACCCAAATAAAGAGCTAAAACTAGAAAACCCTTAGAAGAAAAGAGAAGTAAATCTTCATGACCTTAGATATAAAAATAGTTTATTAGATATGGCACCAGAAGCATAAACAAAGACACATTGCATTTTGTCAAAATTTTGTGCATCAAAGGACACTATCAAGAGAATGAAAAGGCTCTTCACAGAATGGAAGAAAATATTTGCAAATCATATTTAGTCATATATCTAATAAGGGTCTAGTATCCAGAATATATAAACATTTCCTACAACTCAACAAAAAGATAAACAACCCAATTTGAAAGTGGGCAGAGGACTTTAGACATTTCACCAAAGATATAAGAAAAGCCAATAAGCATATGAAAAGATGCTGAATATGTTAGTCATCAGTCAAAACCCAGTGTGACAGCACTTCATGTCCACAAGTTTGGCTAACACAGTGAAATTCCATCTCTACTAAAAATACAAAAACAAAATCAGCCGGGTGTGGTGGCGGGTGCCTGTAGTCCCAGCTACTTGGGAGGCTGAGGTGAGAGAATGGCGTGAACCTGGGAGGTGTAGCTTGCAGTGAACCGAAATCGTGCCAGCCTGGGCGACAGAGTGAGACTCCATCTAAAAAGTAAAAAAATAAAATAAAAATTTAAAATAAGAAGTGTTAATTGCTACAAAGAGAATAAAATACCTAGGAAGACAGCTAACAAGGAAAGTGAAGAACCTCTTCAAGGAGAACTAGAAGCCACTGCTCAAGGAAATAAGAGAGAACACAAACAAGTGGAAAAACATTCCATGCTCATGGAGAAGAAGAATCAATATTATGAAAATGGCCATACTTCCCAAAGTAATTTATAGTTTCAATGCTATTCCCTTTAAACTACCATTGACATTCTTCACAGAATTAGAAAAAAACTACTTTAAAATTCATATGGAACCAAAAAAGAGCCTACACTATACTACAAGGCTGGAGGCATCATGCTACCTGACTTCAAACTATACTACACAGCTACAGTAATCAAAACAGCATGGTACTGGTACCAAAACAGACACATAGACCAATGGAACATAATAGAGATTTCAGAAATAAGACCACACACCTACAACCATCTGATCTTTGACAAACCTGACAAAAACAAGCAATGGAGAAAGGATTCCCTATTTAATAAATGGTGCTGGGAAAACTAGCTAGCCATATGCAGAAAATTGAAACTCTACCCCTTCCTTATACCTTATACAAAAATTAACTCAAAATGGATTAAAGACTTAAATGTAAAACCCAAAACTATAAAAACCCTAGAAAAAAATCTAGGCAATACCATTCAGGACATAGGCATGGGCAAAAATTTCATGACAAAAACATCAAAAGCAATTACAACAAAAGGAAAAATTGATAAATGGGATATAATTAAACTAAAGAGCTTCTGCACAGCAAAAGAAACTATCATCAGAGTGAACAGACAACCTACAGAATGGAGAAAATTTTGCAATCTATCCATCTGACAAAAGTCCAATATCTAGAATCTACAAGGAACTTAAACAAATTTACAAGAAACAAAAAACCCCATTAAAAAGTGAGCAAAGGACATGAACAGACACTTCTCAAAAGAAGACATTTATGTGACCAATAAACATGAAAAAAAGCTCAACATCACTGATCATTAGAGAAATGCAAATCAAAACCACTATGAGATACCATCTCATGCCAGTCAGAATGGCGATTATTAAAATGTCAAGAAACAACAGATGCTGGTGAGGCTGTGGAGAAATGAAAACCCTTTTACACTGTTGGCGGGAACGTAAATTAGTTCAACCATTGTGGAAGACAGTGTGGCAATCCTCAAAGACCTAGAACCAGAAATACCATTTCACCCAGCAATCCTATTACTGGGCATATACCCAAAGGACTGTAAATCATTCTATCGTAAAGATATATGCACATGTATGTTCATTGCAGCACTATTCACAATAGCAGACATGGAATCAACCCAAATGCCCATCCATGATAGACTAGATAAAGAAAATGTGGTGCATATACACCATGGAATACTATGCAGCCATAAAAAGGAATGAGATCATGTTTTTTGCAGGACATGGATGGAGCTGGGAGCCATTATCCTCAGCAAACTAACACAGGAACAGAAAACCAAACACTGCATGTTCTCACTTAAAAGTGGGAGCTGAACAAGGAGAACACATGGATACAGGGAGGGGAACAATACACACTGGGTCCTATTGTGGGGGGCAGTGGGAGAGAGAGCATCAGGATAATTAGCTAATGCATGAGGGGCTTAATACCTAGGTGATGGGTTGATAGGCGCAGCAAACCACCATGGCACACATTTACCTATGTAACAAACCTGTGCATCCTGCACATGTGTCCCAGAACTTTAAAATTAAATTAAATTAAAATGACAAGTGTTGATAAGGATGTGGAGAAATTAGAACTTTTGTTTATTGCTGGGAGGAATGTAAAATGGTGCAGCTGATGTGGAACACAATGTGGTAGTTCCTCAAAAGGCTAAACATGGAATTACCAAATAACTCTGCAATTCCACTTCTCTCGATATACCCGAAATAACTGAAAACAAGTATTCAAGCAAATACGTGTACAAAATGTTCATAGCAGTACTATTCACAATAACTAAAAGGTAGGAACAACCCAAGTGTTCATCAGCTAATGACTGGATAAACAAAATGTGGTATGTCTGTATAACGGAATATTATTCAGCCATAAAAAGGAATGAAGTACTGATACATGATACAACATGGATAAGCCTCGAAAGCATTATGCTAACTGAAAGAAGCCAGATAAAAATGTCACATATTGTATAATTCCCTTTATATAAAATATTCAGAACAGGTAACTGCATGGAGACAGAAAGCAGATGAATGGTTGCTAGGGGCAGGGGAAGAGGGAATAAGAAGTGACTGCCTAATGAACACAAGATTTACTTTTGTGATGATTAAAATTTCTTAGAACTAGATTGAAGTTGTCTTAGTCTGTTTTGTGTTGCTGTAACGGAATACCCAAGACTGGGGAATTTATAAAGAAAAGAGGTTAATTTACCTCAAGGACTTGCAGGCTTGGAAGTTCAAGGATATGGCCCTGGCTTCCGGTGAGTGCTTTTGTCCTGCATTATAACATGGCAGAGAAGGTCAAGAGGAAAGCAGACACATGACAAGAGGGACTAAACGAGGAGAATCTTGCTTTTTAACAACTCTTTCTTCAAGGAACTAATCCATTCCTAGAGAACTAATGTAGTCTCATGAGAGCAAGAACTCATTACTGCAAGAAGGACACCAAGCAATTCATGAAGGATTCACCCCCATGAGCCAAACACCTCCCACTAGGCCCCACCTCCCCAAACCACCACACTGGGGATCAAATTTCAACAAAAGTTTTGGTGAGGACAAATAAACTGTATCCAAAACATACCAGAAGTGATGGCTGCACATTATGAATGTGCTAAATGCCACTGAATTGTACACTTTAAAATGGTTTATGGTTAATTTCATGTTATATAAATTTAACCTCAATTAAATGTCCACACACACACACACACACACACACACACACACACACACACACACACAGGGAGCATGGTCATCTCTCAAGGTTTCTGTAACTTCTACTCTGCCAGTAATTTCCCACTTCCTGGTAGAATTAGTAAGGTCCATTATATCAGGGACATTAGTTATTTTCCTACCCTGTGAGACAGGGGTTCTTAACCTTTAAGTTCACCTTCAAGGGGTCAAAAGACCCCTTGAAGTTATATGTAAAAATTTAAGTCTATGGGCATTTTTCTGGGATGAGAGACCACACAGTGTTAAAAATGGAAGTTTCAACACCATGACACAGACAACATCTTCCAAAGTAAGGAAGAAGTCTCCCAAAGGAGATGCCCAAAAACTGGTTAAACAACTCTAAATCCTTCAGGCACATACAGAAGGTTGGAGGGTGATGGGTGAGAAAGGTGATATTAGGAAAGAATATTTGGAGATGCCTATTTGTGTGCTTTGAGGCACTGTTCCACAAGGAGGAACGGAAATTGCTTCATCTTTCATTTCAAATCAAGAGGGACTCCTTAAGAGAACACTCACAGAGCTGATCTCCCCAGTCTGAATCCTATCTGTAAGATCTACAAGGTAAGAGATGGGCTGGGTACCCTCTTGGGTGACAGCATAAAGGAGAGGGGCCTGGTTTGGATCCCAACATTGCCTGGGTTTGTTAGAGTAAACCTGTGTGAGTGTTTCCTGTGGCTAGCTGTGGGCCATGCAAAGGAGAGACAGCTGGGGCTGTCTGGAGAACTTCCTGGAGAATTGTTCAAACTCATCTAGAAGAAGCTCCTGGTATCCTGAAAACCTAGTGCGGAGGAAGGGGTGTTACCAGCCAGTGAAGAAGCACATGCCCTCACCAAGGGAATCCCAGGGAAGAGATCCCTAACAATTGGGAGGGACCCCCACAAAACCTGCAAAAATACAAGAGGAACCAGGTTTCTCACTGTTGGAGTGGGAGGTTACAGAGAAGCAAGGGGATGAGTCTAGAATGATTTGTGTGGTTACGGGTTAGAGTTGGAAACACTATAAACTATGTTTGGCTAAATACAGATGGTTACTGCTATCATTTGGTTTGTTGGAGCCCTCCAAATCTCATGTTGAAATTTGATCCCCAATGTTGAACATGGGTCCTAATGGCAGGTGTTTGGGTTATGGGGGCAGGTCCCTCATGAATGGCTTGGTGCTGCCCTGGAAGTAATGAGTGATTTCTCACTCTATTAGCTCCTGTAAGGGCTGGTTGTTAAAAAGAATCCAGCACCTCCCATCTCCCTCTTTTGCTTCCTCTCTTGCCACGTGATCTCTGCACATGCCAGCTCCCTTCCCCCTTCCACCACGAGTGGAAGCAGCCTGAGGTCTCACCAAAAGCAAATGCTGGTGCCATGTTTCTTGTACAGCCTGCAGAACTGTGAGCCAAATAAACCTCTTTTCTTTATAAATTACCTGACCTCAGGTATTCTTTTATAACAAAACAAAAGACTAAGACAGTTACATATAGAAATATTTATAGATATGTATATAAATATGGGTTAGGGAACTAGGTTTGGGATATATGGGAACTCTACTACCTTTGACATTTTTCGTATATGTAAAACTATTTTAAATGAAAAGTTTATTAAAAATCAATTGTGGGGCTGGGCATGGTGGCTCATGCCTGTGATATCAGCACTTTGGGAGACTGAGAGAGGAGAATTGCTTAAGGCCAAGAGTTTGAGACCAGACTAGAAAACATAGTGAGACCCTACCTATCTCTACAAAAATAAATTAACTGGGCATGGTGGTGCATTCCTGTAGTCCTAGCTACTTGGGAGGCTGAGGTGGGATGAGCACTTGAACCCAGGAGTTTGAGGCTACAGTGAGCTATGATTGCACCACTGCACTCCAGCCTGGGTGACAGAGCAAGATGCTGTCTCTGAAAACAAAAAACAAACAAACAAAGAAACCAGGCACAGTGGCTCACGCCTGTAATCCCAGCACTGGGGACTTTGGGAGGCTGAGGTGGGTGGATCATGAGGTTAGGAGTTTGAGACCAGCCTGGCAAACATGGTGAAACCCTGTTTCTACTAAAAATACAAAAATGAGCTGTGTGTGATGTCGAGCACCTGTAATCCCAGCTACTCAGGAGGGTGAGTCAGGAGAGAATCGTTTGAACCTGGGAGGCAGAGGTTGCAGTGAGCTGAGATCATGCCATTGCACTCCAGCCTAGGTGACAAAAGTGAAATTCCATCTCAAAAAAAAAAAAAAAAAAACCAAAGCAATTGTATGACTTAATATCCAAAATACATAAACAACTTTTACAACTCAATAGCAAACAAGAACAACAATGAATAATCCAATCTTGAATAGACATTTCTCAAAAAGAGACACAAATGGCCAACAAGTATATGAAAATATGCTCAGCATCACTAATCATCAGGGTAATTCACATCAAAACCATAATGAGTTATTACCTCACACCCGTTATGATGAACATTACCAAAAAAAAAACCCCACAAAATAACAAGTATTGGCAAGAATGTGGAAAAATTGGAACCCTTGTACACTTTGGGTGGGGATATAAAATGGTGCAGCTGCTATAGAAAACAGTATGGAGGTTCCTCAAAAAATTAAAACTCGAACTACATATGATCCAGCAATCCCACTTCTGAGGTATCCAAAATAATTGAAGTTAGGATCTTGAAGAGATATTTGCACTCCCATGTTTACTGTAGAATTATTCACTATAGCCAAGAGGTGAAAACAAAAATAAATGTCCTTTGATGGATGAATGGATATAGAAAATCTTACCATTATATACACACAGTGGAACATTGTTCAGCCATGAAAAGATGAAAATCCTGTCATATTCTAGCATGTGTCTGAAACTTAAGTACATTATACTAGTTGGTTGGTGCAAAAGTAATTGTAGTTTTTGCTGTCACTTTTGTACCAACCAAATAAGGGAAATGCACCAGTCACAGAAGAAATAGTGCATGGTTCCACTTACATAAGTTATCTAAAGTAGTCAAACTCATAAAAGCACAGAGCAGAGTGGCAGGAGGGAGAAAAACCAGGGAGTTTCTGCTAATGGGCATACAGTTTCAGTTATGCCAGATGAAAAAATTCTAGAGATCTGCTGTACAACATTTTGTTTATTGTTAATACTGTACTGTTCACTTAAAAAGTTAAGAGGTTAGAATTTATGTTAAGTGTTTTTTACCACAATATATATTTTTTAAGTTCTTTAAAAAGAGTCTTGCTCTGTTGCCCAGGCTGGAGCGCAGTGGCACAATCTCGGCTTAATGCAACGTCCACCTTCCAGGTTCAAGTGATTCTCCTGCCTCCGTCTCTCGAGTAGCTGGGACTACAGGCATGCGCCACCACGCCTGGCTAATTTTTGTATTTTTAGTGGAGACAAGGTTTCACCATGTTGGCCAGGCTGGTCTCGAACTACTGACCTCAAATGATCTGCCCGCCTTGGCCTCCCAAAGTGCTGGAATTACAGGCTTGAGCCACTATGCCCAGTCAGGAGATGAAGATTTTAGTTACTGAATTGAGATGGTGCTTTGTGCTTAAACTTATGCCTAGTGTTTCATTATTGGAACGTTAAGCATGTGGGAGTTATTTACATCCTGCCACTCAAGGTCATCGCCGAGGTCTGATGGCAAAAATTCAAAAAATTGCAACCCCAGGCATAAATGGGTTAAAGTGACTGCATGACCAGAAAAATCACAAGACCTTCCTGAATTTTCATCTTAGGGCAATGGAAGAAATAGCCTCAGAAGGTAGGCATAAAGGAAGGGAGGGAATACAAAGAAAGTCGCTCTCTGATTACATCCTGTAAGCCATGTTGCTGCATGTGTTTTCCTCTGATTCTCTGACTTAAGCAAGGGTTATATACTGCTGCTTCAAGAAATGAAACTGTCATGAGGAGGTCAAAAATATTTTCAGGACCAAAAGGCACTTGGAGCAGATGTCCCTAAAATTAAAAACAAAAACAAAAACAGAAAAACACCCACCACTCATCAGCACTGCTATGCAGGCCTCTCGGCCAGTTTTCAGATCTGTGTCAGAATTACTTCATTTCTTCCCCTGTTTCAAGGACCTGAAGAATTCTCAATATCACAAAGGCTCCTCTCGCCTTCACCCTCACCCTCACCCCAGTGCCTCTGGTGTGTCTCACTAGCTCACTGAATGCGTTGGACGAGATAGGGTATAATTGGAAAGCAACTCTTTTTTGCACCCTTGCTTTCTATGTAGCGACCTCCTACATAGGCCCATTTCTCTCTGCTCCTGATTGAAATTCTGAGTAGTTCAATAGTTTTTGCAATCACATTTAACTATTATAACGTCTGACACAATAATCACATAACAACAAAAGCTCATCTAATTAAAGTGCCTCTCTTCACCCAACTCAGGACTATCTCAGCCTTGAGAGCCTGCAGTGGGGAAGAAAATTATGGTTGATTCTTCATGTCTTATTATTCTACCTCTTCCCCCACTCAGCAGCCACTGTTTGTTCATGGCTCCACCTGGGCTGGAGCAGAGGGAAAGGAGGAGAGGCAGGGGCCAGGAAAAGTCTTTCTTGCCTAGTGTTGTAGGTCCCTGGGAAACAGACTGAGGTTTTGGCACAGGAGAGCTTTGTGAGGCATGTTCTCAGGAACACACCATAAGGGAGGGAGAGAAGCAGGTCTGGGCAGTAGGAGGTGGTGAACTGCAGTGCAGTTGCCACAGAGGTCGCAGCCACTCCCAGGGGAGCTCTGAAACTGGAATGGCCTTTCAAGTATGCCATGGGGACCAGACACTGCTTGTAACGGCAGTTGGGTTCAAGCGGCCTCTAAGGAGAGGACGTCACCATCTGCCAAGAGCAATTCCTGGGGAAGGACTCAACTGTGAGCTGGGGAATGAGTGCCTTGGGAGAGTCCGGGCAGGGAACAACAGCATTCACTACAACTGGTATAGTTGCAATAGGACATCGGTACCCTTTGGGTGTAATAGATTCCAAATGCCAATTCCTTATCTTGCATGGGGTTTATTGATTCTTTAGAGACTTGGGTGATGTCTCCTCTAGTTAAAGCTGTCTGACAGCTTTCCTTTCAAAGTCTGCTTCTCTGTTGGGGTCTCCTCACCCCTCCAGGTAGCCCTGTTGGGCTGAGCCTCTCTCAAGATGACTGAGTACAGCTCCTTCCAGAGATTTTTCTGGCATTACTAAAGTGGCCTCAACAAAAAAAAACTGACCCTGCTATTTAAATGTTGCCAGAAGGAAAGATCAACTACTCTAACCCAAATTCATCATCCTTGGCAGATGTGCTCCATGTTTCATGTGGCTGATATCCAACAATTCCCTGCCACTGGTCAAATCATTTCACTATCTGAGAATACTATTTGAAACTAATTCATCTTGAAGTGTTTGACCAGATCTACACTGCTTAAAATTAGAAATGCTATGTGTATTTTATTGAGTTTTTTTTTTCAGTGCCTATGGTGGGTGATTGCTAACATCTGCACTGAAAATTTGCCAGGCTGAAATCACGATGGCCTCATGCTATGGCTTAGAACTTTGGTTCTCAATGACGTGTTCCTCAGTGTGTCAGAGGCCCCAGGACTGTTTCTTATCTCTTTCAATCCCATGTATAATTTGTCCCTCATCTACCTCCCTGCAGTGGCAGGGTTTGCTTAGACTCCTTAACTTTCAGATTTTAAACCTACTGTTAGTCCAGTGATTCTTTCCCCTTAATTACTAATTAAAAATATTTGCTGCTCAGATGCTTGCCAGATATTACCATTTTCAACTTTCTGTTCTTCAACTGGCTTATCAAAAGCCAGTTTCAAGACACATTTATAGAGGCTGGCTTCAAAAAACAGGCAGACATTCCTTTAGATATTTTTAAATTTTACCTTAGGATTATACCAGATCACACGAGTCTCCAATATTTTGTAGAAGTGTAGATCCGTGCTTTGGCTGACATTGAAGGATTTTATGAGAGACTCATTGTTGAATTTATGAGGGCTGTGGTTGAGAAACCATCCACTTCTTGACTGTGCTTCCTCTGCATGAGATCTCTTGGGTGCAGGAAAAGACATGCTTCTCCTCATGACCCAATTTGTGGTTGTAGCTAGTGGGGAGTGGGAATCTTGAAGCTCAGTGTATATTTCTCTTTACTTTGAATTATCAAAAAAATTTCAAAGCCAAATTTGTGACTTACCCCTAGCGACTACCAATATCTTTGGATATGGATTTCTTGTTATTAATTCATTTCTTCTATTTTCTACCCATTTTCTTCTCAAAAGCTCCTTCTATTTATTTTTACCCTTTAATTTGTACATATTTTTGTTAGTTGCTTTAAATCCTTCATAGAACAAGGCTTGGTTATAAATAAAATTAAATAACCATCTCTACTCCAATTTCACCTCTTTCTTGCCTAACCACACGTTTCATTTGACTTTTTAGGGCACTGTTTATCAAGGCTGATTAAATGATTAATAATGGTGATGATGATAACAACTATTGGTTGAGAGATTCTATGTGCCATATTATTGATATATATTATCTCATTTAGTCTTTACAGCCACCCATCAAGGAAGATACTATTTCCCTATTTTACAGAAAAGGAAACCAGTGCTCAAGGGGTTTAAAGTATTTGCTCAAGGGCTACATTAGTAAATGACAGAGCCCGGACCAGAACACTCCAAAGCCCTTACTTGTTTCTCTGTGCCCAGCTGCCAATTCTGTGGGGTGGTGCTCTTTTACGCTTCCTCAGAGTCACTGACCTGTGGGTTTGAGCTGATATGACATGTACCCATAAGAATTCAGTGGTTCATTTCTCCAGTAGAGATGAGGACTTGGAAATGAGTGGGACCTTTTAGCCACTTAACAGATTATTGTCAGTCTTGCTAAATAAGTGAGCATAGCTCCACCATCATTTGCCTCTCCCTTTTGGAGGTGGAAGATAGAGCTTAGACAAGAGGTAGAGATGGAAGTAGAAGAATAAATCTACTAATCTAAAAAGAAATATTTTACTGGATTTTCAACACAGGGCTGAAGAAAGAGAAAGGAACTAGGGGTTATGTTTTCATTCGCTTGAAGACTGGCCAGTGTGGCTAGATTTCAGTTGAGTAACAGGCAGAAACTTGTATTTTATTATTTTTTCAAGTTGGGTTTACAGAGGAAATAAAATTTACCATTTTCAGTGTATAGTTGGATGAATGTTGATAAATGCGCACAATCATGTAACCACCATCACAATCAAAATGCAGAATATTCCCATCACCCCAAAAGTTTTTCTTCTTTCCCTTGGCAATCAATCCTCTCCTTCCAACCCCCAAATCCTGGCAACTACATAGTATTGCCTTTTCTGGGATGTCATATAAGGTGAATCACACAGTATGTAGTCTTTTGTGCCTGTCTTCTTTTACTTAGCATATGCTTTTGAAATTCACCTATGTTGTTGAATGTATCAATTGTTCTCATTCTTTTTTACTGCTGAGTAGTATTCCACAGTGGATGGAATTCACATATGTGAATGTAGCACAGCTTGTTTACTAACTCGCCAGTTGATGACATTTGAATTTAATAAATAGTTTCTGCCAAGTTTTGCCTGCACGTTTTTTTGGGTAAATATCCGGGAATGAGATTGTTGGACTGCATGTTAAGTGGACGTTTAACTATTAAACTGTTTTCCAAAGTGGGTATACCATTTCGAATTGCTATCAGCAATGCATGAGTTTCCTAGGGACACCACATTCTTGTCTGCACTTGCTATTATCAATCATTTACATTTTAGCCATTCTAGTGGGTATGTAGTGATATCTTACTGTGATTTTAATTTTCATTTCCCTAAACACTGAAGATGTTGAACACCTCCTCATGTACTTTTTTTTTTGCCATTTATATATCTTTTTTGGTAAAGTATCTGTTCAAATATTTTGTGTTTTTTATTAGATGATTTGTCTTTTTAATATTGACTTGTAAGTGTTCTATGTATTTATGATGCAAGTCCTTTATCAGCTATGTGTTTTGCAAGTAGTTTCTTCTAGCCTTTGGCTTTTCTTTTCCTTAACAATGTCTTTTAAAGGAGAGTTTTTAATTTTGATTAAGTCCTTTATAGATTTTGCTCTTAGATTTAGGTCTGTAATCCATTACATTTTAATTTTTGTATGATGTAAGGTTTGAGGTTTTTATTTTCATGTGGTTACCTAATTCTTCCAATTATTCTAGCTCCATTTGTTTAAATGTCTATTCTTTCCTGTTTTCAATTACCTTAGTACCTCTGTAAAAAAATCAATTGCCCAGCCAGGCGTGGTGGCTCACGCCTATAATCCCAGCACTTTGGGAGGCTGAGGCGGATGGATCACCTGAGGTCAGGAGTTTGAGACCAGCTTGACCAACATGGAGGAACCCCATCTCTACTAAAAATACAAAAATTAGCCGGGCATGGTGGCCCATGCCTGTAATTCCAGCTACTCAGGAAGACTGAGGCAGGAGAATTGCTTAAACCTGGGAGGCGGAGGTTGTGGTGAGCCGAGATCGCGCCACTGTACTCCAGCCTGGGCAACAAGAGTGAAACTCCATCTCAAAAAAAAAAAAAATCAATTGACTATATATGTGTGGATCTGTTTCTGAACGCTCTGTCGGTCTGTGTTTACTCATACACTAACACCATACTGTTTTTATTATTTTACTATTGTAGCTTTAGAGTAAGCCTTGGAACCAAATAGTATGAATTTAACATGTTTCTTCCTCTTTTTCAAATTTGTTTTGAATATTCTAGAATTTGCATTTCCATATAAATTTTAGAATCTGCTTGTCAATTTCTAAAAAAAATAGGCTTCTAGGGTTTTTGTTGGCATATGTTGGAGATACAGATCAATTTAGTGGAGAATTGACATCTAAACAATATTGAGACTCCCAGGTCATAAACACAGTAAATAACTATTTGTTTAAGTCTTCTTTGGTTTTTCTGAGTCATGTAAAGCATACAAGTCTTGTACATGTTTTGTTAAATTCATTCCCAAATATGTCATTTTGATGCTATCATAAACAGTATTTTTTACTTTAATTTCCAATTTCATTGATAGCTTATGGCAATTTAATTCATTTTTATACTGACTTTATATCCTGTGACCTTGCTAAACTTGTATAGTAGTTTAGTAATTGTTAAACTCCTTGAGATTTTCTACATGAATAATCATAACATCTGCTAATAAAGATAGTTTTACTTCTTTCTTTTCAAACTGTATGGATCTTATTTATTTTTCTTACCTTATTGCACTGGCTAGGACCACCAGCATAATCTGACTAGAAGTGATGACCTTGTTCCCAACCTTAGGGTAAAGCATTCAGTATTTCACCATTAAATCTGATGTTAACTGTAGGCTTTTGTAGATGCCCTCTTTCAGGTTGAAAGTTTCCTTCTATTGCTAGTTTATTGAGGGTTTCTATTATGAGTGGATTTTGGACTTGTCAGGTGGTTTTTTTCCCCTGCATCTTCTCAGGTGATTGTATGATTTTTCTTTGTGAACTTGTTAATATGGTGAATTGCATATATTGATTTTTCAAATGTTGATCTAATCTTGCATTCCTGTGATAAATCCCCTTTATTAATAGTCCTGATCATTATTATTTTTATATATTACTGGATTCAATTTGATAATATTTTGTTGGGGATTTTGCATGTATGTTCATGAGGCTTATTGTTCAGGAGTTTTCTTGTAAGATCTTTTGTCTGGTCTAGATATCAGGGTAATACTTGCCTCATAAAATGAGTATTCTCTCCTATTTTTTGGAAGAGTTTGTGTAAAACCTGCATCAGAAAACTCATTTATTTCTATTCATTTTGCCCCTGCTCCTCCATCCTTACCTCAATTCCTTTGTACATGATTCTTTGAAATACTTTAAAATTGTCTTTACTGAACTAAGAAGAAAAAGATTATCTACATACAGGAGAAGTTCAAAGGCCCTGAAAAGACCGTGTGTGTGTGTGTGTGTGTGTGTGTGTGTGTGTGTGTTTGTGTATGTATGTGTGTGTTAGGGAAGAAGAGCTGCCCAGATTTTCCATGAGAACAGATGAGGAGAAGTCATAATTCATCTTGGAATAAGAGCCCAGAAGCAGAGTGCCTGAAGGAAGTAGACCTTTTGCCCAGGGAAAGATACAAACATGTCATTCAACCATAGGAGACTAACGTCTAGAAAACTCGTGCTCCACAGGTCCTGTGCTTCTTTTCAGGAATGATTTTATGACATGAGAAAAAAATAGAGAACGGTGTTTAAGCCTTGAAGGAAACCAACAAAAGGCACCATGTGTCACAGCTTCACAGGGACAATGGCTGCTTATTACCAGAAGGAAAGGAAGTTATATCAAAATCTACTTATTTAAGCAAGACAAGGGCTTGTGGTACCAAAGAAAAACTTCATATCTGCTCTCTAAGTGTGATTCCATCCACTCATGTTACCCTCAAGAGCCTTCTCCTTTGAAATAAAAAACTTTCTAGTGAGACCAAACCCTTCAGGCTTGGAACAAACTTATATTCAAAGACGGATTAAATACACAGGCCAGTCCTTAGAGAATCCATCTGTTTTTGCTATTGTCTCAAAACTTGGTAGAGATGAGGCTAGTGACAGCCACTGAAGAGGATCAAAAGGGAAGGGGCCTTGTATAAGCCTTGACTTCACCCTCTTTCACCCTCCTGCCTCTCTCTTCATGGTAGAGAAGAAACCCATGGAGGAAAGCCACATACATGGGATTTCTTTTTGGAGATTTGCTGGGCAGCACATGGGAGTCCAGCTGAGATTCATTTAGGGGGACAAATACTACAAATTACCCTTTCTTGGTGAAGGCAGAACAGCAGAATAAGCATTAATAAATACATATGCCCTCAAGATTCTTTACCAATGTATGTCTAAATTCCCTAGGTCACCCACAGGGACCAACATGGGCCTTAGGGCTCAGGCCAGGGAAAGAGCACTTGCCTTCAAATCAGAAGATTTGGTTTCAGTCCTAGAGTGGCTCTCATCTAGTCAAGGGAAGGCGTGTCCTGCCAGAGGTGAGGGGATCTGGGCCCACTCAACTTCACTGATGTAGGCAGTGGGGTCCATCCCTTCCCTCTGGCATGAGGAAGTATGCATCTTCTCTGTGCACAGCATTTCAGGCCCCTATTCTAGCTGATTCATTTCTTGCTTCCAAGGAGAGACCATCTTGTTCTTAAAGATCTGGTTAGGGTAGGATAGCTGTATTCATCAAAATTCTTGCAGGAAACAGATGGCACACTCAAATTAGGATAATCTGAGGAGAGTTTAGTAGATGCAAGCAGGGTGTGTGGATACCATGCAAAGGCTAGTACTAGTGGGGTTTCATTATTGCCCCAAGCCTGAAGGGAAAAATAGGAGGACATGGCTTCTAGAACCTATATGGAGCATGTATATGTATATGTATATACAAAGGAGATCCCATGGTATGGGACCCAGGGAATAAATACACCTCCTTCTTCTATCTCCTACTGGTATACCACACTGGCCTAACCCAAAGGGAAATCAGAGGACCATGGAGCCAGTTGATGTGGTCCACATGTGGAGCCCCCTAAGGCCCAGAGCAGGGTGGGTGAGGGTGGGAGTGGATCCAGAGGACAAATAAAGGAAGACATCTAGTGAGTAGCTATGAACTTCAGGGCCTTTTCCATACCTCCAGGCCCTCTTCACTAGGACAAATGCATCTCTCCATGCCTATCTTGGCATCTGTTTTCTGGGAGGAAAAGCTCTTAAGTTCTCGCCCTCTCTGGAGTGGAGGCAAGGAGCCAATCACTGGGATCTGGCTCTGTCAGAACAGCTGGGCCACCAGGCAGAGCAGACCAGAAAGAGCTAGAAGCTATGCTCTTTCCCCAAAAGGGGGGAAAAAAAACCCAGGTCAGTGGAAAAGGCCAGTTGGCAGTGAGCAAAGTTCAACCCTGCTCATTTCTGTCAACATCCTCTGGTAGCCAGGGGCACTGAAAGTAGGCAGGAGTCAGGAAAATTCCAAGAAGCTTTTACTAAAAATAAAGCAAATAGCCATTTCTTACAAGATGGCCAGCCACTAATTAGCTGTAGTACTTTTGTATAAAGAGAGGCTCTTTAGCTACAGAATATGAATTTAAAAGCTAAGCTTCATCCAAAGTGGCAATTAAGGGCTTTTCCCAATCATAATAAACCTTGGTCTTCCTTTCCTAAGCCAGTTCCACATCTTGTTGCCAGAGCAAACCCATCAGCTCATTCCCGGCTTCCTTCTCCAAACAGAGCAGAGCCCTGACACTCCGCAGAGCAAATGCTGTCTGACTGCGCTCTCCAGACTCCCTGGGTCTCCAGAGCAGGGATGTGATAGGTGAGAGAAGCAGCAGAGAGTTGGGGCTCATTACATAAAGGAAGGGGAAGCGCTGAGCTAAGCTCAGTGTGGCCAATTGTTGCCAGGCAAGGATGTAGGCCCCATGTGGCCAGATCTAACCAGCTTTCAACTCAAGCCCCCAAGTTGGTAGTCTATACAAAATTTCTTGATGATCTTGGAAATCAAACAAAACAATCTACAGGCCGGTTGTGGCCCACGCCTGCCGGTATGTGACTTCTGGGCAAGAGGGTATGCATCGGAAGAGGACCCGGAAAAACACGGAGGGGGCAGCAGGGTAAAGAGCTACATTTAAAAGAATCCTAAACTGGGAGGGAATTAGGAGCAGCCAGTAGTAAAGAGGATTTTGAGAGTGGCCGAAATTGGGAGAGGTTTTTAAGATGCTTTGCGATACACTGAGAATGAATTCTGCATTTGGATATTACCTCGAGAAACTGAATAAAGATTTATATTCTCTGTTATTCTTTGGTTGGCAGACTCTGATGCTTGGAGTTGAGCCTGTGTCACACAGAGCCATGTGGCTGCCAGGCCTCTCTGCGGATGCTCACATTCGCAGGATTATGGTCTGTGTCCTCCCATCATACCTGAGGGCAGGGTGAGGGCATGCTTTGCTTCTCACTGGTTGTTGAATGAATGTCTCTGCCTTAGTCCTGCTTCCTTTTTCAAGAGAGACAAATTTGTTTAACTCACTTTCACTTTCCCCTGGGCCACTCAGCCTAATTCATCACAATGTAAATTAGCAAAGATAGAGCGGACTTCTCTTGAGGCTGCAACCCGAGCTTGCTCCAGCAATGCTGGTGTTCTAGTGACAGGAAACAGCCAGAAGAAGACACTTACCCTACTTCTTGAACCAGGGTTCTCAGTCAGCTATCCTAGTGGTTCCTCCTAGAGGGTAGGCTGTATCTCTTGCCTTCACACTACAGAAGTGGATTAGTTATCTATGTTGTGTAAAAGACTACCCTGAATCTTAGTGGTTTAGAAAAAGAAAAGTTACTATCTTAGGTTTCTCATTATCAGGAGTCCTAGCACAGCTTAGCTGGATGTCCCACTTAAGATCTCTCACAAGGCTGCAGTCATCTCAATGCTCAACCCGGGGAAGATCCACTTCCAAACTGGCTCTCCTGTCTGTTGCCAGGTCTCACATCCTCCCTGGCTGTGGACTGGAGACATCACTCCTTGCCACGTGGACTTCTCCAAAGGGCAGCTCACAATATGCGGCTGCCTTCCTTCAGAACAAACCCGTGAGAAAGCGTGTCTTTTTGTAACCCAATCTCTATAGTGACATCTCACTGATTTTGCCCTATTATATTAATTAGAAGCAAGTCCCTTTGTCCATCCCACATTCAATGGGAAGGGATGTCACAAAGCTTGTATGCCCGGAGGTGAGGACCATTGGCAGTTTTAATCCAGCCTTGCTATTCAGTGCCCACAAGGGGCACAAGCAGCAATGAAATGGTCATCTCACTCTGAACATAACTCTGGCTCATCTCTTTGAAGAAGCTGGGAGTACACATAATTTCTGATAGCTACCATCTTCCTCCAAAAGTTAAATCCTGATGTACTTACACGCATGTACCGTGGACATACACCTTATATACAAATCCTAGGGAAAGTTGAGTCCCATTGTAGCTTATCGAGAAGAGTGAGCCTAGAACACAAAAACAGAATATTTTCTCCATAATGTCCTGGTACCTGTGGGTTTCAGTTTTGGTTGTGCCTTTTCTAAGTTGTGGGACTTTGGGCAAGAAACTTCCTTACGTCTCCATTGCCTCATCTGTAAATGAGGGGTAATAATAGAATTCATATCACTGGGTTTGTGGTGGGATTAAATAACAGTGATTACATATACAAGGGCCTAGCAGAGTGCCTGGCACATTCTAGGTACTAAGGAAATCTTGGTGCCTATCATTATCATTATTACTCACTGCTACTCTTTAATCTAATGTATTGCCCTTCCAGACTTCTGCACTTAAAACCTGGCTTGCCTCCTTTTAGGATTTCTAAAAGCTGGTCAATGCTAAAAACTTATGGACAGCTTTTTATGGCACCAATATATGTAAATTATAATCAGTCTTTGGAGGCCTAACGCTGGTAATTGGCTTCCATCAAAATAAGGCTTCTCAAAATCTTTAATAGAACAGGTTATTGAGAAAGTTTGCATGGAACAAAACATTACAGATTGGGAAATGCAAAGTTGATCTTTCACATTTCGTTGCTTTAATCATCACACACATTTTAAAGGGACATTCTGTGAATGTGAATAACCAAGGGCTACTTGGGCACGTTTGGCAAATTTGAGGGAATCTGCACAGAGAAGGGGAATATGGTCTCAGATCTTCTTACTAGGGTTGGAGCGTCCAAGTGTTTTAGAGGGAAGACAGCCCACAGACACGTTGCTCCCCAATGTTATATTGTGGAGTTAAACAGAGCTGAATGTCTCTTACTACTTGCCTGAGGCAATGTTAGTTGCATTCCAAAAGTTTTGAAATACATGGGCAGATATATGATCTATGGAATAATTGCTGACTTTCCATGTGCTTTGAAAAAGGGCTTAGGAGGGCAAAGCCACTTCTTTTTCTCTCTCCCAACTTTTTTTTCCCCTGGGAAGCAACAGGATTTTGACCCACTTCACATCCGCCTCCTGCCTCTGGTTTTGAAATCTGCAGCCTGATGGCTTGTTTGCTTGTTAGCATGAAAGGCTTGCCCTGGGTCTGTGCTTGCTTGTTAGTAAAGAACCAACAAGCATTGCAGTCCAAAGGTAATCACAGAATGAAATCACTTCCAGATGCTAAACCCACTCCTGATGGTGAAAGCAGACTTTACAATTGCAGTGGACCAGGTATTCAATGGCTCTCACCCAATCCTATTAGGGTTTTGAACATGCACATGTGTTCTCCTCCTCCTTTTTTCTCTCTCCCTCTTCTTCTTTTTTCTTCCCTCTATCACTCCTTGGTTTCCTCAGCTTGGATCAATTTCAATTTGAAGAGCAAAATCAAAGCTGGATATAACCCAGCCTCAATTCTCCCATAAGTATCTGAGCTCCTGTTATCTTGGGATCTATTATATGACGATAGCTCCCTGTTAGAGCTCCAGTCACCAAAGACAGGAGTAACTCTTTCTTCCAGCTCCATCCTCAATGGCCTGTCCCACGCCAAGTGCAAACATGAAGAGTGTTGTTCCTTGGACAGCAGATAAAGTGGCCAGAGGGATCATTCTGCCTGAAGAGCTACAAAGCTGAAAAGGGATCACTGTCCATACTCAAATCAGAATTATCACAGAAATGAGACTAGCTGAACAGAGCTGGAACCCACAATGGTAGAGTATGTGGGCTCAGCAGTGACATGGGAGCCAGTGTTCTCATCCTCTGCATGCTGAGCTGTGTCAGAGCTTCTCACAGAGTTCAAGAAAAGAGGGAAGGAAAGAAGATAGAAGGGGAGAGGAAGAAAATAAGGCTAAAAGAAGAAAAGAAATCAGTACTAAAAGAATATTGTTATTTAATCATAGCACTAAAATCTGAGGAAGAATAAAATCAAGAAGACTTTCAAAAGAGGAATTCATAGGGGCTGGGCGCGGTGGCTCATGCCTGTAATCCCAGCACTTTGGGAGGCTGAGATGGGTGGATCACGAGGTCAGGAGTTCGAGACCAGCCTGGCCAACATGGCGAAACCCCATCTCTACTAAAAATACAAAAATTAGCCTGGCACAGTGGTGGGCACCTGTAATCCTAGCTACTCAGGAGGCTGAGGCAGGAGAATTGCTTGAACCCGGGAGGCAGAGGTTGCAGTGAGCCAAGATCGCACCACTGCACTCCAGCCTGGGTGACTGAGCAAGACTCCACCTCAGAAAAAAAAATAAAAGAAGAATTCATCATAGACATATTGATTTTCTCCTCTCCTAAAGTGAGTACCATGAAATCCAATTTCATGTCCTATCTCAGCCTTACCCCTGAAATAAATTAAGTGGCAGAATCTTTTCCTTCATTCGCCAATTAGACTCCTTCACCAAGCCTCCAATGGTAGATGTGACAATTTGTGAAGACAAGAATCTGTATGATTTGATCATATGCATGTAGATAAAACACACATAAAACATTTGAATACAGCTAGTAGAAGAGCTTTTTTTAAAAAAATATTTTATTTGGCTTATTGGTAGTTAGTATACTTATTAAATTATTACTTCCCTTGCGGATAATTCATTACATTTTAAATGCTGCACAAATGTATTTCTTCCCTGGCAGAATAGCATGTAGCTTTGCTCACATTCAACCATTTATTCCCAGATGTTTATATCCACAGGGTCTAAGAACTCCATAAAACCTAGGATAATAGCACATTGAAAATATCTGGCCACAACCCATAAAAGAGTGTGCATAATAAAACTGCTCCCACCCGCCAATCCTCCCTTCAATGCAAACCTTCCAAATGTTTTAAAGTAATTTTCCAAAGGTGCAATGGGGGTGGATACCCCAAATCCTATATTCTCACATCACTGAGACCTGAATTCAAGATCAAATTGAGGAAGTACATGTATTCAACCCCTTTAAAAATAATCTTTTAAAACAAATCCAGAAAAAAATGTAAGTTTTAAATAGCTAGTGAACAGCTAGTGTTTTCTCACAAGGAAAAACACAAGGTCTCTCTCTCTCTCTCTCTCTCTGTGTGTGTGTGTGTGTGTGTAAATATATGCCCAGAGTGATGAATGTCTTCTCCAAATGGCCAGATTCTTGTCATCCTGTTTACATTTAGGCAATGGCTCCTTCTCCAATCATTCGCTAATGCTGTTTTTTAAAATTTAATTTTAGAAATAGAAATTATTTAATGTCTAACTTTCAAACAGCTATTCACTTTTGAAGTATGATAATTTATGCCTGACAAATAGCAAAATTCCCTAGTTCATTCATTTTTAGATTTCTATTAGAAGAAAAGGGCATCCAAAATGCTGACAAGTTAAATGCCCAGTGAGTCAACAACAACTGCTGGGCCTTGTCTACTTAAGAGGTTAGAATTAGGCATACGAAGGAGAAAACTCTGCTTCTGCCTCAAGGGGGGTAGTGGGCAATGATAGGAAACTGGTTGATGTGATATAAATGGGAGGAAGATGTAATATATGAACACACCAACACCCACCATGGCTACCCAGAGAGACATGAATATACTTGGGGACGTGGGAAAAAGAAAGGACTTGAGCCTGTACAGTGGAATAAGGCAGGGGACAGACAAGGGAGCAGTATAATTGGTTGTGTAGTAGAAACCAAACTACACTTGAAGTCAGAAAATCTGGGGTCTAGTATAGGCTTTTCATCTTAGTCATGTGACTTGGACTTAGTTTCCTCATCTTCAAAGTTGAGACAGTCACTCCTACCTTGAATGGTTGCTGAAGAGACCAAATGAGCTAAGAGGCTTTGCAAGTTGTGAAGTAACATGCATGTCTGCCTTATCAGAGTAGGTGAAGTTGTGTAGAGAGTTAGACATAGATGGAGCTGGAGGCCATTATCCTTAGCAAACTAACACAGGAACAGAAAACCAAATACTGCATGTTCTCACTTATAAGTGGGAGGTAAATGAGGAGAACACATGGACACATGTGGAGGGGGACAACACACACTGGGGCCTTTCAGAGGGTGGAGGGTGGGAGGAGGGAGAGGATCAGGAAAAAATAACTAATGGGTACTTGGCTTAATACCTGGACGATGAAAGCTCTGTACAACAAACCCCCATGACACAAGTGTACCTATGTAACAAACTGCACTTGTACCCCTGAACTTAAAAAAATTTAAAAAATGTTTTTAAAGAGACAGTTGATGAGATTAAAACATCCTGGAACCTAGGCTCACTTTTTTCCAGGCCTAACACATAACTGAGTGATGCTTCTCACCTTCTTTTCTTGTCTGTTAAATGGGAATTACGGTATTCGTTTTATGTGGTTGTTGTATGATCAAGTAAAAGACTATACACAAGAGATTTGTAAAGAGTGAGGAGCTATTCAAACTTAAGGTGTGGTCACACTTTGGTGCAACACAACATGCACTCATTCATTCGCCATTTATTCAACAAACATTTGAGCATTAAGCTATGCCAGACCCTGTCAAGGCCTAGGAATATTATGGTGAATAAAACAGACATGACCTTGTCTTCGTGGAACTTATAGTCAAGTCTGTTAACAAAGTATTTGCAAAGTGAAATGAGCAAGCCCACTTTTTGAAACCATATATATGTACAACATTCTACCATACATACCCTTAACACAAAAAACAAGAGTCAGGAAAGTTTAGTTTAAAAATAACAAGATAAACACTCTGGGCACAGTAGCTCACACCTGTAATCCCAGCACTTTGGGAGGCTGAGGCCGGTGGACCACTTGGGGTCAAGAGTTTGAGACCGGCCTGGCCAACATAGTGAAACCCCATCTCTACTAAAAATACAAAAATTAGCCAGGCATGGTGGCACATGCCTGTAGTCCCAGCTACTCAGGAGGCTGAGGTGGAAGGATTGCTTGAGCCTGGGAGGCAGCAGTTGCGGTGAGCCAGATGGCGCCACTGCACTCCAGCCTGGGTGACAAAGCAAGACCCTGTCTCAAAGAAAACAAAAACAAAAATAACTAGATAAACAATTAGAGAAGAAGATTCTGTTTCAGATCTTCTTAGGTAACCACTCAAAGTCTTTGTGGCCCTGTTTTTCTATCAGTAAGGTTGTGCTAGTATAGGTTCTACCTGCTTCAAAGGATTTCCTTTTAAGATATGTGGGGAGGTGGCCGGGCGCGGTGGCTCACGCCTGTAATCCCAACACTTTGGGAGGCCGAGGTGGGTGGATCACCTGAGGTCAGGAGTTGGAGACCAGCCTGACCAACATGGTGAAACCCCAACTCTACTAAAAAATACAAAAATTAGCTGGACATGATGGCATGTGCCTGTAATCCCAGCTACTCGGGAGGCTGAGGCAGGAGAATTGCTTGAACCCAGGAGGGGGAGGTTGCAGTTAGCCAAGATTGCACCATTGCACTCCAGCCTGGGCAACAAGAGCAAAACTCCACCTCAAAAAAAAAAAATGTGGGGAGATGCCCTATTCTACATCTGGCTGATTAAAACTACTGCAAGAGGGACTAGTGGATCATTGATCTGATTTATTAGACAAGTCAATGGCATAAAGAAGAGAGGGAAAGAAAGAAAGAGTATTAGCAGATACTTAAGAGATAAAACCACCAAATAACACGTGGACTTTGGATATAACAACCACTCGTAACATAATTTTAAGATAATCATGGAAAGTTAAATATTGTCGGTGTTTTGGATGATACCAAGGAAATACTGATAATTTTGTTTGGTGTTATAACAATATACATTTATATAAAATGTCCCTTTTTTTTTTTAGCACTTGTAGAATGAAATGACTTAACGTGGCCAGGCATGGTGGCTCACACCTGTAATCCCAGCACTTTGGGAGACCAAGGCAGGTGGATCGCTTGAGCTCAGGAGTTCGAGACCAGTCTGGCCAACATGGTGAAACCCCATCTGTACCAAAAATACAAAAATTAGCTGGGCATGGTGGCACGCATCTGTGGTCCCAGCTATTCGGGAGGCTGAGGCAGGAGAATCGCTTGAACCCAGGAGGCAGAAGTTGCAGTGAGCTGAGATTGCACCATTGCATTCCAGCCTGGGTGACAGAGTAAGACTCCACAAAAAAAAAAAAAAAAAAAAGAAGAAGAAAGAAATGACTTAATATTTGAGATTGCTATAAAATAAATACTAAATTAAAAAGAATAAATTATATATAAAAGGAAAAAAATTGAAGTCAACAAAAGTGTGCACATATAGACATATTTTACAACCATATCTTAAAGCCAGCATTACTCATTTTTCCCCTTTCCTCTGGTACACAAAATCGATTACACAACTCTTTGAAGGTGAAACATTTCTTGTAATTAAGTTCATTTTGGGGTGAGGAAAGAAAACTGTAAACATAGAATATCGGAAAGGAAGCTCCCACACTTATTTCTCTGTAACAACATTTCATTAAATTCATAGATGCTAGCCTTGAACTGAGTGATTGAGGAAGCTTGGGTTCTTCTGGCACTGCATCTGGCTTTTGTATGGTTGCAAGGTTGTGGTAGGGGCAAAGGATAAGTGGGTGGAAAGGCGTAAAGGAAGTCAAACCGCTTCACAAATGATTTGATGCCTTCAGACTTTGCAGATTAAATCAGTACTGAAGGGACAACCTTCACTGCACCAAACCAGGTTATGAGATTTCATTTATTCTGCTAAACTCTATTGTGATATTCTTTGTGTGGTGACATTTATTAAATTAGCCACATAGCTACCAGCTCTCTACTCCACTTAAGGCTGAAGGACTTCTCCAGTCTGTTTCTCTGTATTTTAAAATAGATGAAGCATAACATAAGTAGACTTAATGACAAGAGTTCAAAATTAATGACAACAATGCAAACCTGATCATTTGTGTTATAGGAAAAAGCAAAACCCTTCTTAAAATGCCTCAAGTCTTTTGTTTGCTGTGGTCCTGGAAATCTGGAGGTTTGAATGGTGAGTATAATAGGAACATCCTAGGCGCCATAACAGCCCCATAAATATCTCCTCAGCAGAGCTGTGTGTCTCCCCCTGGACTTGAGGAGCTTTCTTTGAAGTCACAGGGCAGAAGCTGTGCACGCGGAAGAGGTATGCAACTTATTGTTATCATTATTTGCCATTGCTTTAGAAGCTTTTAAGTAATACTAGATTTATCACATTTTTCTTAGCAGCAAATTTTAGTTTCATCTAGAGTTTCTTCTGAAGCCTGAACCAATAAACTGACTTGTCTTTGTAGTTGATCTGCCACAGTAGTTCCCATATTTTTCTGCCAAGAAGCCCTTTTAGAATCTGATTAAACGGGTAACATGACATTTATAGTTTCAAAGATTAGAACACCTGGAAGGAGGCCCAGAACTTACCCAGTCTCTTGGGGACCTTCTAGTACAAAGCAGACTGGACGTTGTTGGATGGATCTAACTCAGAGCCAGCTTTTGCTCCCATCTCCTCCTGAGGTCCACCCCCATCTATGGCAGCCCCCTTACGTTGCACTGCCTAGCACTGCACATAAAAAGTGCTCAGTAAAGGTTTCGTATTCTTGATTTAATTTTGCTGAGGAACCTAAAGGTAGTGTGCTTTGCATGTGATATAAACGATTTGATTTGCACTGGATTGCATGATATAACCATTGCATGGAAGGCGGGCAGACAGTTACAGAACCAGTTGAAAAACCTCCATTCCTGTTTAGGTTTACACCGTTGCTTTCTATCTTCACATAATAAACTCCATCATTTATTTCTTTAAAACACACACCCACACCTTGTTTTTTTTAATAATTACAAAAGTAAAACATGCACATAGTCAAAAAATTTAGTAAACATAAATAAGCCTTTTCATACTACCTATGATCATTGGTATTAAGTTTAGCTGCACTATCATTCTATTATTTCTGTGTGTGTGTGTATATCCATATTATCTTGTACTGTTCAGTTAAAAATGTGTCTTGCATTTCTGCACACATCTGCCCACTGTCTCTAAGCCTCCTTTGAAATGATTTTTAAAAGATTCATTTTTAAATTCAAACCACTGTAGTAGTGAAAAATGGAACTGAGAGTGGTCAGTGAATCAGAAAATTTGAAGGATTATCATCCATAGAAAAGAAAAGGCATCTGGTAAGTGGAGAAGTTGTGGCAGAAGTGACAGAAGCCCAAACTCCAGAGATAAAGACCAACCTTTGCAAGCCCCACCCCCACTGCCCCCAAAACAATCCTAGTTCAGAAATTACAAATTAGCCTGAAATGTTAAAGAATTGCATTTGGGATAGCTGGGATGGGTGGGGTCTGTCTCTCAATAGATAGAATAACTAGTGAGGCAGCTTTTGCCTTCCAAAGGATGTAGGAAATACGTCTAGGACGGCCAATGATGAGGGAGTTGTGGGTCAAAAAAAGGGACTTAAGTTTGAGATAATCTGGACCCCCATAACAGCTCAGGAAAAAAGACAGAGCCACTCAGCATTGATAACCCTGATGACCTTCACCCCAGAGATAAGTCATCCTGACTCTGGCAACTTTTCAGGAACCTCAGCCTGATTACAGACTCACTCCAAAATTGTAGAGCTCCAGGAGGCAACAGAGCAGTGTACCCAAAGGTCTGAGGGAAAGCAATTTTGAACTTAATTTTCTATATTCAGCCAAATTTCAATCAAGTATGAGGGTAAAAGACAGCACTTATAGACACATAAGAATTCAGTAAGTTTAGTAACTATACACACAGTAAGAAAAAATTACTTGTGAAGTAACCCAGCAAAACCAAAAAATAAGCCAAGAAAGCAGAAAAAGATGAGGTACAAGAAGCTTCAGTTACCTGAAATGACCCAGAAAGATTTACAGAAGTAAAAAAGAAATTTAAAGGTCATCCTTTAGAGAGGGATACACGTACTATCCTTGTTTGAGTGACAAAATATTTTAAATTAAGGATTATATTTTCTTCTCTATAGGTTCAATCATATTTATTTCTAGAGAGATTATATTAAGGTAATAGTTATTTTAATTCTTTTTTGAGACAGAGTCTCACTCTGTCATCTAGGATGGAGTGCAGTGGCATGGTCATGGCTCACTGCAGCCTCAACCTTCCAGGCTCAAGTGATCCTCCCACCTCAGCATCCCGAGTAGCTGGGACTACAGGCACATGCCATCATGCCTGGCTAATGGTAATAATGTTTATAAATGTTTCACATAGGTTTTTTATTATACTCAACCTATAGACAAAGAACAGAATACTAAATTATTGTTTTAAAAGCTTGTAATGACTATAAATGCTGATACAATAAAAAGTAGGAGTTCAACAGAAGGAAAGATGAAAAGCCACTCAAGTTCTAAATTCCTCACATTTTGTACCTAGAGGCCAATGGATAATGCCTGAATTTGATAAAAACAAGAAATAGAAGCATAATTATTTTTGAAAATTACAATTAAAACTGTTAGAATCAGAAGCAGAAACCATTAGCAGCATAGAGAGGGGGCAGTGGGGATTAGGGAAAGGGAAAACTTAGTTTTCATTTCACATATCCCTATACAGTGTGATTGTTTTAACCATGTGTAGCATTACCTTCACAGTTACATATCTTGAACCTATTTCCAGGTGTAACCCAAATGTTACCAGCTTGTGGACATAATTGAAATCACATTTATATTTATGCCCAAATTGTAATGGTGCTAAGTCTTCATTTGCTCATGCAGGAACTTAGCTCCCAGTTAGTGCCTCCCAGTTATTTCTTTTATATAAAAATATATATTTTTATTATACTTTAAGTTCTAGGGTACATGTGCACAACGTGCAGGTTTGTTACATATGTATACATGTGCCATGTTGGTGTGCTGCACCCATTAACTCGTCATTTACATTAGGTATATCTCCTAATGCTATCCCTCCCCCAGCCTCCCACCCCACAACAGGCCCCAGTGTGTGATGTTCCCCTTCCTGTGTCCAAGTGTTCTCATTGTTCAATTCCCACCTATGAGTGAGAACATGCGGTGTTTGGTTTTTTGTCCTTGCGATAGTTTGCTCAAAATGATGGTTTCCAGTTTCATCCATGTCCCTACAAGGACATGAACTCATCCTTTTTTATGGCTGCATAGTATTCCATGGTGTATATGTGCCACATTTTCTTAATCCAGTCTATCATTGTTGGACATTTGAGTTGGTTCCAAGTCTTTGCTATTGTGAATAGTGCCGCAATACACATACGTGTTCATGTGTCTTTATAGCAGCATGCTTTATAATCCTTTGGGTATATACCCAGTAATGGGATGGCTGGGTCAAATAGTATTTCTAGTTCTAGATCCCTGAGGAATCACCACACTGTCTTCCACAATGGTTGAACTAGTTTACAGTTCCACCAACGTGTAAAAGTGTTCCTATTTCTCCACATCCTCTTCAGCACCTGTTGTTTCCTGACTTTTTAATGATCGCCATTCTAACTGGTGTGAGATGGTATCTCATTGTGGTTTTGATTTGCATTTCTCTGATGGCCAGTGATGATAAGCATTTTTTCACATGTCTGTTGGCTGCATAAATGTCTTCTTTTGAGAAGTATCTGTTCATACCCTTCACCCACTTGTTGATGGGGCTGTTTGTTTTCCTTGTAAATTTGTTTGAGTTCTTTGTAGATTCTGGATATTAGCCCTTTGTCAGATGAGTAGATTAGTGCCTCCCAGTTATTTCTTGGGGCCCCTAAAAGAATCACTCTCACATAGGCATAGAAATATCTTTCAGCTCCAGCCACCATGGTCCCTTTTGCTGCGTTCTTTCTCCTCTGCTTCTTGGCACTTGATATATTCTTGCACATCATTTTTAAAGACAGTCATCATTTCTTTTCTTTAAAAGATCTTCAAGTACTTCTTGTCTCCCACTCCAGACTTTCTTTTTTTTCCACTCCACACTTTCAAATCAAAAGTCAAACTTCCAATGTAGAAAATGCACAGGAGGTATAGGAAGAGGGTAAACAACATAATGAGGAAACAACCAAGCACATCCCGAAGGTGTGACAGCCTGCAGGACAACTGGTTTCATCTTTTCAATTAGTCTACGTTGCAGTTGGTGCTACGTTCAAATTAAGACTTAAGGGACACAACAAGATGCCACAGCGTTCTGCGTTAGATTCTGTAAAGGACATTTTAGGGTCACTGGGAAATTTGATTTTGATCTAGTTGTTGTATGGGATAAAAACTGAAAATATCCCAATGGAAAGGTGGAGCTTATTGACTGATATAGTTTGGCTGTGTCCCCACCCAAATCTCATCTTGAGTTGTAGCTCCCATAATCCCCACATGCCATGGGAGGGACTCAGTAGGAGGTAATTGAATCATGAGGGTGGGTTTTTCCCATGCTGTTTTAATGATAGTGAATACGTCTCACAAGATCTGATGGTTTTTAAAGGTCAGATCCCCCGCACAAACTCTCTTGCCTGCCGCCATATAAGACGTGCCTTTGCTCCTCCTTTGCCTTCTGCCATGATTGCGAGGCCTCCCCAGCCATGTGTAACTGTGAGTCCATTACATCTCTTTTTCTTTATAAATTACCCAGTCTTGGGTATTTCTTCATAGCAGTATGAAAATGGACTAATACAATGACTAAAAAATGCAAGTATAGTATGAACTCATTTAGCAAACACACACACAGAGGGAAAGATCTGGAATAATATACACTAAAAATTAATGATAATGGCTCTTGTTGCTTAGGAATATGATGTTTTAATTATTAAAATATGTTTGTCTTTATTTTCTAATTTGCTGCCATATGGACTGCTTTTGTAATAATAAAAGAACTATAAAATTCCCCTGTGAATTTACTTTGTGAACTCTTGTCTCTATTGCCTTTGCCTTGATCTTGGATTCCTTCCTCCTCTATCAACATTTAATGCATGAGGAACAGAATGGGTCCTCCCAACAGGCTTCCCTTCTCTCCATCAGTATTTTGTTCTTGGAAATACAGAGGCTGTATAAATAAGCGAGCTGGTTGGCTAAAGCCAGTGAGTCACACAGCTGAGAGTCTTCCCAAATTCACCCTGTTTTAGGTAGACTCCTATACCACATGCGCATGCACACCTTGTGTTTTTAATTTCTCAGCATCACCATGGGAGATACATGACTATCTGAGGGTCGAGACATAGCACAGTCATTTTTCAGACCATAACAACGCACCCAAGTTAAGATGAATATTAACATCTCCTGTGCTCTTGCTGGCAAATAGCTGATCAAAACCTTAAGGCTTCCTCTGTCACAAAAAATAACACGAGTTCTGAGTGGCATGTGAGACTTAGCAAGAGGCCCCTCTCGCCTCACAATGTGAGCTGCACATGTGCACCCACACTTGAGTCTGACCCCTAAGCATTTCCAACACCAGGGATGTTAAAGGTAAGCTTTTTTGAAACAGCTCTTTCCTTTGTATCTTTTGCTCTTTACTCACAAAAGACAAAAAGAATAAGTGTATTTATAACTCTTTGCAACCAATGAGAATTCCACATGGGGCGGGGGAAGATGGGAAAAAGTGATCTGTAACCTTTCATGATATCCTGTTTGCCCCTCTGGGAATTTGTGTAAGCGAAGTCATGTCAGTGGAAGCAGCAACACATAATGATCCCTGGACCATGTATGTTGGACAGCTGGGAGACCAGAAATGATAGAGAGGGTGAGAATGAGCAAAAAATTTTAAGAAATTTAAGTCCAAGTGAAAATAGGCATTTCAGATGAGAAAGAGTAATAGTAAAAGACAGGTTTTCCAAATCCTCATGTTTAGAGAAGCTCTTGTACACCATAGCCCTTGTCTGCAATTGTAACATACAGTTCCAAAGAATTAAGAGCTAGGCAAAATAAAGTTAATTCGGATTCTTTTATAGCTTCACCGGTTGTGCCATGATTCAGGTGTATCGTGAGCCAGTCTACTGCAACTAGATCCAGGAAAGCCTTGGTAGAACAGTTCATCCACACGGATTACCACAGATAGCAATCTGATCTCCAGCTCCTCCATCTTTATCTCCATTCTCAACGTGAGTAATCAAGTCTAAGGGCCTTACAAAATAAAAATGCCTCTTAGTGAAAAGCTTCACTTTCCCTCATCTTTCTCCCCAAATAATCTCAGGACATTAGCACTCGAAGGGTCCTTATGAATCATTTGTTATAAGCCTCAAGTCTTACAGATGATCCAGGGAGGTAAAATGGCCTCCCAAAGTAACTAGTGACAAAATCTAGACCTGAATTCAGCTTTCCTAAATCCTAAGTCCAGAATACTTACAATGAGCCGCACACACTAACAATCGCTTATAGATGAAATATCTTACATTGTGCTTAATTTAGTCCTCTTCTGAGTAAAGGAAAGCAAAATAAAACAAAAATGAACAAAATCCCAAGAACACGTACCTTCCACCCCACCTTCTTACACAAACCAACCAACCTTTCCCTTGAGGACAACCATAAGGCTCTGCCACAATAATCTGTACCAATAAAAACTTAAACATGCCAACATCCTTAGAATAAAGTATAGAGGTCTTTGATTTTAGCCTGACAGAATTAATGATATCTTCCTACATTCTCTCACATAAGCACTTAGCATATTAATAGTTTGTATCTTTAATATAATAATTTCATTCTTTATCATCCTAAAGTTTTGCATTCCTCATTGCATTATTTGTAATTAGTTTTTGCATGGCTATTCCTTCCCATGTGTTGTAAGCCCTTGGATATTAAATTTATCTCTTTGCTCTTTTACCCCCTGCACAGAAGAGAAAGAACATATGACTTTAGATCAACGAGTAAATTGGCACAGTCACATTTTTTGAATGGCTCTTTCTTCCCTTTCAAGGGGATAATCTATCATGTTCACCAAGGAATTATGTTACTCAGAACTCCAGATTAGAACCTTTCATTTGCCACTAAATATTCCTAAAATGGATAAGATCTAGTAGAGATTTTGCAATTCCTGGCTTAGAACTGCAGTCAGAAGTGCCTGGCATAAGGCAAGCCCTATATAATTGCTAGCTATTCTTATTATTAACAAGATGTAGGTACTATTTTTAGGATTTGGAAGATAAACTGGAAAGCAGTCTGGCTGTCTTATAGCCTTTCTAACTCTATAATAATGACCCAGACAGAATCAGATACAAAATGTGATTAACCTAGATATTATTTGATCATGTTCAACACTTTCTGGACTAAGTATTACAGAATGTTGTTTCTCAAGGCAGCTGGATCACCAAGAAATCTAAGTAATTGAAACCAATTGAAGTAAAAGATGAACTCTCCTAGGCAAAAATACCTTTTCACAATAAATTCTTAAATAAAAGTAGTGCTGGATAAAAAAATAAGTTGCATTCCTTTGGTTTCCATCCCTCCATGATGCTAGCATCAGATAAGAGAAATAAATCATGTAACTGTACCTGGCTATGAAGTTGCTCTGGATTATGAGTCCACCACACAACACCTATGTAACTTCAAGCAAGTTACTTAACATTCCTACATCAGTTTCTTCATTAATAGAATAAGGATCATAATAGCCTCTCATAGATTATCATGAGGATGAAATAAGGTAAGAGATGTTCTTAGCACAATGCCTTGCACAGAGGATATAATAATAATTATTACTATAAGCCTTCTTATTGAGATATTTACATGCAACATTTAAGCAATTGTTCAGATAACTAATTCTATGCATGGAGGGGTAGGGAAGGAGAGGACAATAACTTATTTCCTCCTCAGCAAAGTAGCAATAATGATGCCTTTCCTTTCTCTTCCTTGAGTCTAATGTTAATCCACAAGTATTTTGAGATGTTCAGTAAAAAGAGAATGCTATTGCTGTAGGCAACAGGCAATGAGGGGACTGATGTGTGGCTTCTTGATTATGGAAAAATTAAGTATTCTAAAGGCCAGAGTTTGGCATCCTTTGGCACCTGAGTGACATTCCTCATCATCTCTCATTTGTCTTCATGAGCTCTAAGAACTAGCAAGCCTCCAATATCTGCAGACCAACGTATATTATTTAAGGAAGATGCTACTTGCTAAAACTCTGGATACAGATCAGTAGACAAAAAACAGCAAAGTGTAATAGATGACTTAAAAAAATTAGGAGTTTGGGGTCTGATAAGAGCTGGAAGTCATTCCACATAAGCTTAATTTTGTACTGCGGTTTGGTCAGGGCATATGGCCATCATATCTGGGGTAAAACAGGCCAGCGCTTCAGGGACTGAGCCCTTCAGAACCCTAGGGCTACTCAGAGGTTCCACAGTTCCACAACTAGGGTTCATTGCTATCTTCTTTATACAACATGCGGGTGGTCCCTTTGAAAAAGTTCAAAACCCACTGAACTAGCAAAGAGCATAGCCAAACCCCAACAACATTTTGGGGTACCTAAATGACCTAGGTACTCTAGGGACCACAACTTAACAGATCTAAATTGCAGCTAAAATTAAATAAGATCTGATCTAGCCCCTCCTCACATTCCTCCCATGCTTAAGAACCTATGTATAGTGTGTCCTCCAGTTCTCATGGAACTGACATGCCACCTAAGGGCCATTAAAGCCCATGTACCTCTTTAGTTAGCATCATTTCTGGAAGAAAAGGTTTAAGGGTAATAAAAGCTTCTTGCTGAACAGGTGAGCAAAGGTTGAAATTAAACATCTAAACAGTGTATCTTTATTTACACCAATGATCCTAATTAATAGCCAAATTAGTTGGGTTCATTTGTCATCCAACTCTACACTTTTGCCCTTGAGTCTCAGTTCTCTCCTTTGAAACCACATGGAATAATTTATTGATTCATTCCTACATCAAAATTTCATTGACTTCCACCAGGTACGGTGGCTCACACCTGTAATCCCAGCACTTTGGGAGGCTGAGTTGGGCGGATCACCTGAGGTCACAAGTTCGAGACCAGCCTGGCCAACATGGTGAAACCCTGTCTCTACTGAAAATACAAAAAATAGCCAGGTGTAGTGGCAGTCACCTATAATCCCAGCTACTCCGGAGGCTGAGGCAGGAGAATCCCTTGAACCCAGGAGGCAGAGGTTGCAGTGAGCCAAGATTGTGCCACTACACTCCAGCATGGGTGTCAGAGTGAGACTCCATCTCAAGAAAAAAAAAAATTCATTGACTTTCATCTGGTGAGGTTGCTCATGTCTGTAATCCCAGCACTTTGGGTGGCTGAGGTGGGAGGATCACTTGAGGCCAGGAGTTTAAGACCAGCCTGGCCAACATGGTGAAACCCCTGGCCAACATGGTGAAACCCCGTCTCTATTAAAAATACAAAAACTAGCCGGATATGGTGGTGCACACTTGTAATCCCAGCTATTCAGTTGGCTGAGGCACGAGAATTGCTTGAACCTGGGAAGTGGAGGTTGCAGTGAGCCGAGATTGTGCCACTGTACTCCAGCCTGGGCAACAGGACTCTCTCAAAAAAAAAAAAAAAAATTAACTTCTATGTGCAAGACACAGGAGTTTCAGAGTGAATCAGACCTGTTGGTTCCTGCATTCATGGAGCTTAGAATCCAGCAGGAAAGGACAGTCAAACTCATAGAGGATGACTTTGCTCCATTAGGCTCTGTATTATAAACCGAGAAAAGCTTTGCTGAGCTCCTCTGACAGAGTAAGTTCAACATCTTTTCTACCTGGGAGCCCTTCAAATATTTGAGGACAGCTATGCCATACTTTCTAAGCCTTCCAGTCTCTATCAAAAATTCTAGTTCCATAAGCCATAGAGTATGACTTTGGTTAGAATCCTTTACCATGTGTGGCTTCCCTTTGCACGTACATACCATCAACCTATCAATGTTTGGGGAGACCAGAAACAAGACTCGCTCCCACCCCGGTAAAGAAAATAACCCTTATGCTGAATACTCCACTTCTATTTGCACAAACTAAGAACATTAACATTCTAGGCTCATGCTGAGTTTACAATCAACTGTAGGCCCTGAGATTACCTAAACTGCCATCCCTGACGGTATCTTCATACACTGGTTCAATTATTTTGTATCTGAGTGTAGAATTCTATATTTACTCATATATTGATTAGTGTTATTTATAGTCAATTATTCTGCCTATTAAGCTGTTTTTGTATGATTGCGTCCTTTTTCTAATTTCTTTTTTCTTTTTCTTTTCTTTTTTTTTTTTTTTTTTTTTTTTTTTTTGAGACACGGTCTTACTCTGTTGCCCAGGCTGGAGTGCAGTGGCACCATCATGGCTCACCACAGCCTCGACCTCCTGGGCCCAATCCTCCTACCTCAGCCTTCCGAGTAGCTGGGACCACAAGTATGCACCATCATGCCTGGCTAATTAAAAAAAAAAAAAAAATCTGTAGAGAAAGAGTCTCTCTATGTTGGCCAGGCTGGTCTCAAACTCCTGGGGTCAAGTAATCCTCCTGCCTTGGCCTCCCAAAGTTCTGGGATTACAGATGTGAGCCACCATACCCAGCCTTCAAATTTCTTATCCTTTCTAATGTCATGTTTTCTACATATGAGAGCATTCCAACAAGCTCTCATCAGCCTAAGACCACCCTTTGGTGCTCTCTTGTATTCCATAGCATTTTGTATCTAACTCCATTACATTATATTATTGCCTTACTGTGATTATATTTTTACGTGTCTCTTCTCTCACTTATCTGTGAGCTCGTTAAGCACAATAGCTTATCTACCTTTGTATCTCCACTATTAAGCTCAGTTCCTGACACATAGGCTATGCTTAAAAGAAAAGCTGTTTATTTCAAAGAATGAATGAATGGGCCACTCAACCATTATGTCACCCAGGCCACATCGGTCCCAAGGTTACCATAAAATAGTTTATCAAATGCCTTATTGAAACACAAGTCTGTAGCTCTCCCAACTCTGCTACCTTCCACTTTAGATAAAAGTCACTTTATTTCTCTGTGTCTCCAATTCCCCATATGCAGACAGTGAAAGTTTATCAAGATTAATAAATGAAATAATATATGTAAACATGCTTTGCAAAACTGCAACATGTGCAAAAGTAAGATATAAGCATCCCCTCATTCTAGCAGCCTTATCAAAAAAGAAAATTATGTTTATTGGCCTGGCAAGAGCTGTGATTTGTGGCTTTCATTTAAGGGCAGGAAGCAAGCCCTCTGAAAAGAGTGACAGGGAAAGGTTAAAGGGATAAAGCCTGGAGCCAAATCCACCACAACCCCCTCCCCAGGCTCTACCGCACTTCCCACTCCTCTCCTCCGGCCCCCCACCCCATATGAAAGTTGATGCCTGTTATCCAGGACCTTTCCTTTTGGCTGGCCTTTGGGGTTTTCCAAATTCTGTGTTGAAGGGTCCAGAGAGGGTCTCCTGCCAATCCTTGTTTGAGTGGGCCTGTTGAACATCTTCAGCAGGACATCAAAGGGTACACAGTGTGAATGGGGAATTGTCTTTAGGAAAGAAGGAAGCAGAGAGATGGACAGACAGGTGGCCCTGCCCTACTGACTGGGTAGCAGCACGTGCAGGGTTTGCTGTGTTACAACAGGGTATGATTGTGAAGTACCAGCTGCCTGCCACTATTTATGGACATCTCTTTTTCTGGCTGGGTATTTTTGCCTTTTGATGATACTATTGTCCTCCTGAAGCTACAAGGAAGGAAGGAAGCTACAAGAAGGAAGGAAGACCATACCACATCAGGTGAAACATCCAAACAAGAGAAGGGTCCTCAGCCACCTGGGTTCAGGAATCTGGAAGCTAGGTTTCAGCTCGGCTGGAAAATCCACTTCCCTTGTGGCCTCCTTCTCCTAGACTTCTAAAGAGGATTTGTATTTCCGTGTCCTCAAGCATGGAAAAGAAAATCTGCCTTTGCCAGCAAGAAACAGCCAGCCCTACAGAGAACCTGAGCTAAGAGGAGTATCCTGTCAGCCAGATGTTTCATCTTGTCTGTGAGGGCATGTCTTTCTCCTTTGTCATTGTACCCCAGCACCTCACACAGTGCCTGACACATACCAAATTCTCAATAAATATGTGTTAAATATATGAGCGTGCTATTCTAGACTAACGAAAATGGGTACTTATGGCTCCTTGGGCAAAGCTTTAAAAGGGCAGCTATGCCTCCTCAGTTCAGCATTAAAGTGGCTGCATAATTACAGCAAGAAGAAACCCAGAGTTGTTCTGCAGAGCTAACTGGACAGGAGGATCCATCTCCTGCGTTCCACACTGAGATTCTCCCTTCACAGCCTTAGCTGATCTTAATAAGATGGGCTTATAGCAGCTTACAGGAGTGCAGAGGCAGAAATTAGCTAGCACTCTGCTATTTTTCTATTCAGTGCTCAATGACAGAGAAGCCCAAGTTCTCAAACTGAGTCAAAGATGAAGCCATAGAAAAGAACTCCTGAACGAGGTTCCCCTCAACAGTCTTGACTGTTATTACCATCAGAAACCTAACTCAGAAAACTGTGCTTTCTATATTTCTGAGAAGTTTTGTTCCCTCTGTCTGATCTAATTTCTTTTTTAAATGTTACTCTGAAAAAAGAACGTCTAACCTCTTTGGCATATACAAGAGGAAAGGGTCTCCCCTTTCCAGTGGTGGTGTAGAGAGCGGCTGGGTTCGTCCCTGAGGCCGGAGTGGAGATGACCGCAGCCAGGGTGGCCCTGCTCAAGTTGGGTCAGCAGAGCAAGGTTCCTTCCAGAGGGCTTGCCCCCGGGACAACTTGGAGCCTGCTTCTGGGGAGCCACACACGTCCTCTCCCACTTCTTGCTGGAGACTTGGGGACGTGAAGGGGGGGTTCTGTGATCCCGGAAAAAAAGTAACTTCTCTTGGTAGGTGATACTAGGCAGTTGCGTCCCGGGGAGTCCCCGCCTTTCTGCGCTTCCCCTGACGGGGGCACAGGGGCCGGCGTGCGTGTGTGGGTACGTAGCTCATCCCGGGGAGCTGGGATCCTCTTTTCCGCACTTGGGGAAGACGAATGCCGACCATTGGCTCAGACACCATACCACACAGGCATTTCTGGAGGCATTTCGCGGCGTTATTATGGGAAGTTGCGCGGACCGGGGCCTTCGCGCTACAGCCGAGGAGTCTCAGCGCCTGCCAGGCGGGAGCCGCACTTCCGGCGAGGTGTCTTCGGGAGGGGGCGCCACAGCCCGTGGCAGTGCCGGCCTCCCGCCTTAACCAGCCCGACTCCCGCCGCGCCAGCACCGTGGGGAGCGAGTGGGTCCCGCCCGGCCGCGGCCTGGACCTGGCAGCCGGGCTTCGTGGGCGCTCTGAGCCGTGGCCCGTGGCGCGGGGTGATCCTTGTGCCTGGCGCCGGCCTCAGAACCCCGTTTACGGCTTTCCGCGCATACGGAGGTTGCTGGGGACCCCGACACCTGCGCGCCCTCGACTGGGGCCCGCTCCAGCAGTGAAGACCCAGGCCCTTCCCTGGGCCGTGGCTGCTCTTGGTGCCTCATGGGAGCGCCCGGGGTAGGGACTCGGCTAGTGACCTGTAGGACATGAGGGGCGAGCTGGGAGCCGATTCGCCCACGGCGTCTCCTTCGCCATGGAGGCCCCCCACCCATTCCACTCCGGGGTTGCGGCCACGCACCATAAGAGCACCTTCAGGTCTGAGCTCTTTAGGGGTGGGAGTAGGCAGTTCGTGAGTCCGGGAAGGCCTGCGGGGTTTCCCGCCTGCTGCGGACTTAGCGTGGGGCCGACCGGGGCTGGCGAGGGCTGGCGAGGACTGGCGGGGACCCGCGGGGCTGAGCCAGCTCTCGCGAAGCCCTCAAGTGAGGAACGGCGCTTGTGGCTGCGCGCTCTCCGCAGCCAAGTTGCAGGGTCCAGCAGGGGCTCAGGTCCTGTTCCCTCCGCAGATCCCGGATCTAGGGCTCTAGTGGTCTCGGCCGGAGGGAAGGTGACGCGCAGTGGGCGCAGACGCAGAGTGCGGGGCGCCGAACGTGGGAAGGAGCGGGTTCAGCGCGCTGGTGAGAGTTTCAGGAAATCCGGGAGAGGGCGGTATTTACCAGTCCCTTCCCCGAGAGCAACCAGGCAAATCGGGGAAGGTTAGAGGTGGGGGACCTGCCTGAGCCGGGACAAAAAACTTTGGAGCTAGGGCCTTCTAACCCTGGAGACTTGCCGACTCCGGGGCGGGCTCTCGCACTCAAGTCCCGAGATGGGATGATTTTCCAACTTTCGTCCAGCCTCTCCTTCCGCTCCCGCCGCTCTGCTAGCACTCCCGCACTCTCTCCCTGGGTCACAACCCTCGCCTGCGGAATACCTGTCTGAAGGGCGCGTCAGTAGAAGCTTCGTTTCATACTACCTTTCTTACTGTTCTCTTCATCTAAATCGCAGGACATTATTCTCGGCTTCATTTCCACATAGCATTCGGCAGTGGACAAGGAGTAGGCGGACCCGAACCTGAACCTGACAGCTGATGCCGTGAAGTGGACACTTGAAGTTCTTGGTTTGGCTTTAGGGAGCGTTTAGGGAATGTGTTAGGCAGCAATCGGGCAAGCATGAGCTGTAGCCCAACCCTTCCCTCCGTGGGAAAATTCAAGTTAGGACGCAATGCGAGGCCTCTTAAATCTTTAAGATCCTCGGGTCAGCTCAAAGAGTCTTTAGCAATTCGTTGTTTTGTCTTGAGACCATTATCGGTCCCTAAGCACCTAATTATTTAATGGCAGCCCTCTGGGTATATCGGGTAGACTGATAGGTCTTATCTAACATTCAAACACAAGTTTCTGGAGGAAACTCTCATCTGACTTCCTCCTTTCCCACCCGCCGCCCACTGTCATTTATTTTATTAAATGGAACCCATTTAAAATCCAAATTTATAATTATTAAAAAGCAGTCTTATTACATATTCTTGAAGATTTGGTTGTGTACGATCATTTAATCATGTAGTTTAATTTCTGTGTTGTTCCCACATTGCCAACTTGATGGAGGAGAGCAGACCCGAGGACTTTTCAACCTCCAATAAAAAAGAAGAGGACTTTATGGCTGGGGTGAAAAGGGGCTGGTGAGCTACGACAATGGGGCAGCATAGCTTTACTATGTGCAAAAGCATTCAGACACATGGCGACCCTTTTGCAATAAAACTTTATTGATGATCGTTTGAAAGTTATGGCAACTCCAAGGTTATAAAACTTGTCATAAAATACCAAGCAGTCATTAGTTTACCTGACCTCATTTCAATATAAACTTCCACAAAACATTTTATTTTGTTCCTTCTTATAAGTGGAGAAAAGAAGTTGAAGAGGTTAAATACAGCGGCCCATTATTGAGGATCCAAAATCTGCAATTTGACACTCTGACCTTCATCCCTGCAAATAAAGCAGTAAAATTTACATTTTATTCTTTAATGTTCCGTTATTGCAGAAAAGTTAATAGTGTGTAAATGTTATTGTAGAAAAGATAATAACAGCTATGTTTTAGTTCCAACTGCCCATTTTTAGCACATAACCTGTGTTTAATTTTGGATGGAGACTTTTTCCTCTTTGGAAGATTTGTAAGATATATTTAACAATTATTAAAGAATATTTGCTCCCCGAGCTATGCAATAGAAGTCTAAGAAGCAAATGGCCACATGTTGTCATGTGACCTGAAGAGTTGTTCAAAATATTCAATTAGTATTTACAGCTATTGAGAGGTTAGATGACTAATCACTACCTCTTGCCACCCTCAGTCATGAGCTTAAAGAAAGGCAGCTGCCCTGAGATTGGCACGTACAACTATACTACAGAAAATAACCCAAACTGATGTTCCAAGAAAGCTCCAGGAGATAAACTGGAGTTTGTCAAAATCATCATTTCTGGTCCAACTGTATGAGTGGACTTAAACCATGGATCAGAGAACAGCCACAGAACACTGATAACTTTGAGTGGCTTCTCATCGCTCCAAACTCCACTTTGGATTGGCTGAAGCTCGTGTTTCCTTAATGCTGTGTAGCTAAGGCCAATCTACCTGCTTTTGGGGATTTGTGAGCAAGTACAGATGGCAAAGGTTGACTTTGTGTTAGCTGCATGGTGATTTCTCCAAAACATGTAAAAGTCTGGATATACTTTTTCACGGATTGTTTAAAATATAAGCTCCAAGATTGATCCAGGCATATATGCATTTATGATGGGTTTAGGAATCTAGATGAAGAAAGCTAACTCTTTAGGACCTCGCTGGAACTCTTCTTGGTAATGTTATGCTTAGTTTCCTGGTGTGCTTTCAAGTATTTCATGGAATTTTAATGAGAAAACAACATTTTAAAAACCAAAATCTTATGTAAAATGCTGCTTTCTTCTAGGGAGTGTATGGGTGCAGAGTGTGTGTGTGTGAGGGGGGTGAGAGAGAGAGAAGAAAGAGAGAGAAAGAAAAAGAAAGAGAGAAAGAAAAAGAAAGAAAGAAAGAAAAAGAAAGAGAGAAAGAATCTCAGAGAAAGGAATAGGGATGAAGCTAAGGGAAGAGAGAAGTATTGGATAAAGTACTATAAAAAGCAAACTCTCCTAGTGTCCATAACTTTCTCTAGTTGGCTGGTACAGTTTGCAGTAATTTTCATTACCGTTTCTTAATGCCAGGTTCTCAGACACAAGTGATAATATGCATCAAAATAAAGACTTTGTGTTTCCCCAAGTCAGTACTGACTTCCAGGGAGGACAGGGAAGAAAGGGCCTATGGACCTACAATGCAGCCCATAGGCTGAACACATATCTTTAGCAGACTTAAGAAGCAAATAAGGGGTCTAAATTCAGTCCTTTGAGCTTGACATGTTTCTGAAAATCTCATACTGTGGGTTATCTTCAGAGATAAGTTGACAAATTTTTCTTATAAATGAATTGATTAAATGTATTGTGACACACATATATATGCAAACTTGTTGGCAATATTTGTTGTAGCAAAAATAGCAGTGAATTTAATTTACAATGTTTATATCCCTCTGCTATTAATCCCAGCATTCATTTGGGTTTCCCTAGATGCCTGGAGTGGTGGGAGTGGAGTAAGGTAAGGGAGAAAAAATGTCTTCTCTTTAATCTTTGACAAAAACAATTCCCTCTCCCCTTTTCATCTTCCTTCTCAAAATACTGTTCTTCACCCAAGAACCAGCTATTCAGACTCTCTATCTTGATTTTCACTGTTGTCACAGTAATATATAATGATCCCCATTCTGCTCTACCTAAGTATTATATTTACCAGAAAGTTGTGGTTATCAAAGAAGCATCCATTTGGATTCACCTTTCTGAACTACCCCTCTTATACTATATTCTGGGGAAGGCATGGAAATGACCTGAGTTGATTTCTAAAGTGTTTTTCATGTCAAAAAATCATAAGGGACAGTACATCATGCACACACTTCCTTTTCTTATATTCTGTTTTGTTCAAAGACATTAGAAAATGTTCACGAGACACCATGTCCTCCTTCAAATACTTTCCTGAGTTATCTGGTTAATTGAGGCTTAGCTGTATAATGAGAAGCATGTCTTCAGGAGGGCTTTAAAATATATGTTTGGGATTTTTTTTGGACAGCTGGGTGATAGAGTTGTGAAATCCCAAATTATGCCTTGAGTTCTGGTGACACGTCCAGGCTGCCTAGCTTTGCCTTCATCATTTTTATTGACACAAAAAATGTTCCTATAGAGGAAAAAAAGTGCAGCTTTTATGTAGTGATATCCAAGTGTATGTTATTCATTCCTTTTACAAAACTCAATGTATATTTTGCCCTAAGGGTATATATTTCTCCATGAGACTAATTGCTCTAATAGAAATAATGATGTCTCCTATGTACCTAATACCTTTATCCCCCAAAACCCTCATGTGCCTTAGCAGTTACATGATGAAACACACAGATCATGTGCATGTTGTGGCCAGAAGCCATGGCTCAACTTACACACAACTCTACCAGGTTAACCCTCTGTTTTCTGTGTGTGTGTGTATATGTGTGTGTATATATATATACGCTTTGATGTAAGAGAAACAGAAAGTCTTAAGTAATTTTGTTTCACAGCCAAAATATTATAGATAAGTCTGGTTGTAAAAGAAAACTCATACTTTTAGCTACTTTAAAATTGAAAGAAGAGGTAGGGAAGACTTTTTCTGGAAGTTATAATCCTTATATGAGCTATGTCTGAATTTTCAGAATACAATTTAAATAACACATCTTTCTACTGACTGTATTTTTTCCTCTTGGGAAAACTGGATGGATAAATGTTAAATTCTAAAATAAAAATTGGGGAAGGGTTGAAGAAAATATACCTACTTACATCAATTACCATTGAAGAACTTCATTTTGTATCAGAGTTGGAGAAATGTATAGCACTGATCTAGAATGCTACAGCTGGATTTAGAGAGTTTTAGGTACCTGGAAAATCTTCGAGGTATTTACGGTGTCTCTCTCTTGTTTTGAATTGCTTTTGGTTACCTATAAGTTAATTTGCTTTCTTTAAGTTTTAAATCCATTTGCCAATGCATGCAGTATAGTACTTTCATCTAGCAAGAAAGTGCTAAAATCTACTGGCATGAAACATTCAAACTGCAAATGGAAAATCTGCCCAGTCAGGTGGTGCTCCAGCATTTCCCCTTTAAAACACAGCAGCAGCAGTGCCTGGTTGCTGGAACTGGTTGTTGGCTTTGCTGGGGAGGCTTGTAAATGTACCATGCATTATACAGCCTGGGAAGCAGGGTGATTTGGACAGACTAAAAGAATTTTGACTTTTCTATGTTCTGACTTTCAGGGATTTAATTTTTAGCCTTAAACTGGCATTATGAAGGTTTTTTACATGGAGTAATGGGATCATTATTTCTTTTCCTAGTGAAAGGGGTGTCTCCAAGAATGGAAACATGTGGCAGGGCAGAACTCAATCCCAGAGGAATTGAATATGAATCACTCAGGCAATAAAAACTGCTAAGGGAATCTGTGTTGTCAGCTTGCCAGAACATCAGATTCACACCTCTGGTCCTGCAGGAAGGTGATATGGGGCTTTTCAAAGGTCCCCTGTGGCCATGACCTTGGTTTTCTATCCTTCTAAGGAGTGGCTCACTGGTCAGCCAATGTATTGGGCTGGCATTTTGATCCTGCAGGAAATAGAACTAGCCTTCTTCCCCAATCCTCTATATCCACCCTAGGAGTCTGACAAGAATGGTAGCCTCAGTGGTATGGCTGCATCATGCATAGGACACTGGTCCAGCATTTCTGGTGCTAATCTCTGGTTTTGCAATCCTTCCTCTCCCCCCTGCAGCCATTAAATTTACAGTCTGAATATGGCATAGAAACAGAACCCAAACTGTAGCACTTTAATGCGTAAGAACTGCAGTAAACAGAACTGTAGGAATTGGAACAATACACGAAGGATTAGTATTGTCTAAAAACCCTTCTTTATTTTTCTAAATTTTCTGCTCAAGAGATTTCTTTGTCCTTTTTGTCTACTATGCCCTTCCTTGCTAATTAGTCTGATTTTTATTAAATGTCCTGCCAGTAATATGATTTTTATTAAATGCACTACCAAAATGGATTACGCAATGACATTATGAACTTAAACATCTTTAAGATTTAAAAATGTGTAGGTAGCTTCACTGAATAAACAACACTTTACAAATTATTTTTTACCTCTGTGCAAAGGACAGTGCATCTGTTGAAGAAAACCAGCAACACTTGCTTGATTCCCGCCCCCACCAAAAAAAATGGGCTAATTCATATTAATTTAAAAACATTTTATTGATGAAAAATGTGAATCATATGCAAGCAGCCTTTTCCCCCCCTCTCTCGTTAGAAAAAAACACAACAGTTTGTACCTGCTGGCAAAATTGGTTTACTCTGCAAAGATGGTACTGTGTTTTACCCCTCCTGGCTTATTAAAGAGTTAAACACTTTTGAAATTATATTTATTTCATTTTTACATTTCTCTTCCTTAGCCTCTGTGTGTCCATTGAAAACATTGTTGGGTCCTTTAACAATTTTCCTAGAACTGCCTTCCAATCGTGTCCATGGAGAGGTGGTTATACTCTGTTCTCCCAGTGGCTCAGACACGCAGCTTGTCTAGAAAGCCACAGCCGCTGTGGAGGAGGTAAGAGGTCAGCTCTTTCGTTGGTCCTGGTGAGGGTAAAATTTTTAGGCAGGAGGAGCACTGACTGGCAAAGGGAAGAGGAAAGGGTTCGCCCTGGACCCCACAAATCCGCCTCTTGGAGCAAACAGCCTGCAGGTAGAGGGGCCTATTAGAGCCTGCCCAGTTCCCGGGAGGGCCAACCCCAGCCAGTAAGAAGACCTGAGGCGTAGGATCCCTGCGCAGGAGGTTGCAGGAATGCCCCCGCTAGCCGCAAGGTTCCTGCTGGCCTGTAGAGCTTTCGTGATCCCCGCCAAGATGCGAACAGTAAGGTCCTCGTATGGATCGCAGTTTTTGTCCGAAACCTGAAAACACTAACTTGGGATTTCGCAGTTCTGGCCCTCGGGCCCGCCTCGGAGGCGCACCCCCAATCCCCACGGAACGAATTCCGCGGCTAAAATGCATTTTCCCAAGGCAGTAAAAGTGACCCCTGCACCTAACAACCTTTGGGCTTTCTCTTCTCCTGACTACCACCTCTCGCAGGGTGCGCTGAAATCTCTTTATCGTTATCGTTTTTTATAAATGAAATGATTTATTTATTCGCTGTTTGCAGGGAATGAAAGGAGTTGATCCTGACTCCAAGATGCATTCCAAAGAAAGAAAACGCAACTGTAGCCCGGACTCCGCGGAGGAAGGCCAACTGACTCCACTACGTGCACTTCCGAGCCACTTGGGCCCAGCTAGCTGTGTTAATTATGGGTTCTAATTTTATTGCAACTCGGCACCTCCTGGTTTGTTCCCACTATAGTGGTCTTAAAAAGAAACACACACAGGCATACCCCAGAATGAATCCCCGGGAAGGCAAAGGTAGATTTTTTCGGTGCTTGAGTTGATGCTCTGAGAGCGCGCTGAGAGTCTCGGGCATGTCTTGGCACTCTTGGAAACAAATTGCAGCCAAGAGCACGGTTCTTCCGGTCCTCTCCTTGCTCCTCTGTGCGCCGCTCGGCCGCGGGACTCCTGGAACATGTTGTGCACCGCCCGAGTGGCTGCGGACCTCACCTCGACGCCCTGGATAGCCGGGGCCAGGAGGAGACGAGCAGGCAGTCTCCCGCCCTCACCTAGTCAGCTGCGACCTCCGCGGCGTGGACTCTTGGCCAGCAGTGAGGAGGACAAGGTTGCAGATCCTCTTTGCTGCGGGTTCTGGGTCCGGCCTTGGGCGGCATTCTGTCTTCTAAAGTGTGGAGGTGGGTAGAAGAGTGTCCACTTTCAGTGTAGACACCTGAGGTATGGGGGCTTCTTTGGGGGCTCCAGCGTGAGCTGCTCCTGCAGATTAGGGAAATGGAGAGAACAACAATGGGGACATGGTGGAATTCAGATTTCCCCCTGTTAATTAACAATATGATTTCGCTTAGTCCAAGTGTCTTCTGTGTTCTTATTTAATGTCTCTTGTAAAATGGGAACTAGAATAATACCTCCTTGGTATGGTTGTTGTGTTTGACGTGAGCCCTCAACAAATGGTAGGATGAACTGGAGAAGAATGGGTCCATCACTCCCCACACCCTTCCCTGCAGAGCTTCTTTGCTGTCTCCAGCTCTCCCGCCCTGACGCAAGGACAGCTCACAACCAGTGTCCTTGAGTAGCCCCTGGGGGCCGCAAGAGAATCCGCCCGGTAGGGCATAGAAGATGGGTTTTCGGTGAATCGTGAAAAGACATGATCGGGTTTCCCTTGGAGCATGGTGGAGAATGATGCGGAGCCTTGGGGTCAATGGAGAGTTGAGGGTGCAGAGGGATCTGAAAGGGGGAACCAAAAATATCGGGCTTTGAAATTCTGTGGATTTTCAAAGGCGGTTCCCAACCTTGTCAAAAACTACAGTGGGTGCGCGATCTAATCTGGCTCCTATAGGTGGCGCTGTGACAAGGTGCGGTGGCCGGGAGAGGCGGCTGGGGGACTCGAAGACTGCGGGAAATTTTCTGCGACTCCGACGCTAACCCGCTGCTCCCAGCCTCCGCTTCCTGTTTTCGAGGGATTAGCTAGGACTGTGCAACACCAGTCTCCGCTCTCGGAGTCGGCACGGGGGCTGGTGGGTGGCGGGATGAACTCGGGGAAGGCGACAGGCTGGAAACGCAGCTCCTCGACTTTGCAGCGCACCAACCCCCTATCGCCCCGTCCGCTGCTCAGGTGCGAGGATTCGCCAGACGCCACAGGACTGGGGGCGACTCGCAAGGGCATCATGCCACCTAGAGGAAACGCGCAGTGAGTGAGCCCTGGGTCACTGAAAATGGGAGAACGTTCGAGTCGGTCAAGATGACTCCGGCCTGCGAGTTGATTCAGACTCCTCGGAAGCCAGAAATTGGGTCTAGAGTGGGTTGGTCCCTCCGTCAGCAGTTCGGGCCCAGCCGAAGCTTGGGGCCTAGAGGGCAGACGTCCGGCTCTGATCAGAGTACAGCGGGCTGGGCCTGGCAGCCTGCAGGCAACCTGGACCTTGCAATAAAGCTGCATTCAACATAACTCAGACCACAGTGGGAGCCCCCGAAGGGCTTCATGTGAGTCCCGAAACCAGAGTTTAGAGGCGCGGCCTGGTTCTCGTTTATCTTTTCCAGACAGCATTTAGGCCAATAAGGTCTTTGAAAGGAGGCAGCCCCAAAGCCCTCAGGCCGACACCTGAGGGCAGGGTCTCAAACAGCTGTGCTTGAAGAACCGGCAATCTTGCTTTTCCCACACGCAGCTGCACCTCTCCTGAGCGCTGCAGCTGATGGCTGTATAGTGACCACGGACTGCGTCCTCCTCACGAAGCTGCGCAACTTCTGCTAATGCTGCAACCCTGGCAAGACGAAATCCCCCTCCCTCTGGCTAGATCAGCCCAGCCTCCCCTCAGGGACCTTCCTGCCCCTCCCTACCCCTCCCTACCCCTAGGCCGCTCCCCCCTTCCTCTGTTGGGATCCGATCCTTGTTCGCTCTTGCAATCCCGCAGCCCGGAGTTTTGCCCCGTGCATTAAAACATGTTCTCTTTCATTTGCAGATTTAATAAACAAACGTAACCATATCACATGGAGCTCCACACTGTCCTTCTGAAAGCAATTCCGCTGTTGAAAACTGAAAAATGGGTGTAATTTGCTTTCAGAAAGTAATGTTAGGGTCACGGCAATTTCTCGGGCCGTTATTTATTTTTACTTTAAAGTCTTTAGGAAAGATTTGCTTATATGCTCGGAAAACTTCCAAATGCGCGAATACCAGCAATCCCGCTCGCCTTCAACGCGTGGGGTAAGGGGGGGTGGGGAACAATTACTGAGTGACGCTAATATGGGGAAACTGAAAAGAAATGTCGATTGTTTTTATTGTAATAGAAGGAGTGAGCAAACAGAAAAACCAACCCCGGGTGATCGGAAACAGGCAGGCGGAGAATTAAAAGCGGGTTTCAGACAGCAACAGGCCCCTCCCCTGCTCTCGCAAGGAGAAAGCGGGCGACGAGCGCTCGCAGCCCGTGGGGCTGATCCCACCTCCCGCAGGGCTCCGGTCGTGTCGCTGTCGGACCGCAGAACGCCGGGACGCATTTCCGAGCTCGGGCCCGACCCAACCCGCTGCCATTCTAGCTACCTAGTGGAGCCGCGGAGAGACTCTTGAACCGTGAGGCTCCTTGATGAGAAGGTGGAGAGGCTGCCGGGCTATTCTCCGAGCATCTTCCGGCCGAGCTCTGCTCCTCTCCGTGCGCTTGCGGCTTCTCCTTGGGCTAGCGCGTCCGCAGTCCCTCCAAGTCCAGGCCGCAGGTCAGTGTGCGGGCGCCTCCTGTCCTCCTCTCCCACCAGAGGACCCCTGAGGGCTGTCTCCATCCCCAATCCCCGCGACTGCTCCTTTTAGCCGCCATCCCCTCCCGCAGCGCAGATCCTGCAGGGGCCAGCGGTCCAGGGCGGACCCTCCCTCGCCCTGGGCGCGGGGCGAGCTTCTGGCTGTCACTTGCCGCTGCAGTTTCAGGGAAACTCAGCTGGCCGCTTACCCTGCAAGACGGGGACATAGCAGAGGGCCGAGTTCTGGAGAAGCTGGGCTTGTTTTTCTCTCTGCACCGCGCGCAATGCCCCAACTGACCCTGAAGGGTCTTGCCTTTACTGCATTTGCCCCCAGACGGCTAGAAGTCAATGCACTATGAAAATCCCAGTCCCGGACCTCGGACTCTGGCTGTCTTACAATCCCTGCAACTCCTCCGAGTGGACAAGAGGCGGGCACCGTCGCCTGGGCCTCGCTTGGGGGGGGGGGGTCCTGTCCCCAGCAGGGGGCAAGTTGGAGGAATCAGCTCCTTAATATTTTCTGCTAGCTCTGCTTGTCATAACTGCAACTCGGAATAGAACAACCTCTCTCCCGTGCATACGCACCCCCAACTCTCGCCCTATCCTCCCATCCACAGTCATCACTGACCTGTAGACCCGGAGGAGCAGGCTTCCGGGGGTCGGTCCAGGTTGGGGATACAGGGAGGGGTCCTCGCGTTCCGCACAACCTGTAGTGCTTGGGTCTGACTTCGGCAGCCCTCGGGTACAGTCTGCCGGGCTAGATTCCCGTTGCTTCTCCGCGTCTCTCCGCGGGCCGCTCTAGCGCCGGGAAGGGGGCGCCGCAGGTGACTGCCCGCGGCACTGGGACGGCTGACAGATTTATGGAGACTTCACAGCATCTGGCTGGGGTCCGCGAGGGCAGGGCGGAGTCCGGTCGATCCGATGCTGGGGTCTAAAGCTTCCCCAGCCACACGCCTGGGCCGAGTCGCCCCCAGAGTCCCCGGCCCCTGCTCCCCTTGGGCGGGTGTACACAAGGATCCGGCCAGCGCCGAGTGTACTGGTTCCTCCCACCCAGTGTAGCCCCCTCCTTCACACTCTCGGCCCGGCTTCCAGTCTCCCACTGAGTAAATATTTATCCAGAGAGCGAGTCGCCCCTCGGAGGAGGCCTCGACGCGGCTAGGGAAAGGCTTTTTGGCTTCTCCCTGGCCTGAGCCAGCTGCAGGCCTTACTGGTGTTTTGGTTTTGGTCTTAAATTTCTCCTTTTAGTCGAAATTCTTCCGATCTCTTTGAGATCTTCTGAGTCCAGAGTGAGCAGTGTAACCAGGCGGCAGACTCCAGCTGACCCTTGTTCTTGTTCTAGGTCCTGCATCCTTACATTCATCGGGACTGACCAGACCTTAGTGTTCTCTCTTTTCCTTCCTTCATCCTCTTTCTCTGCCTCAGATCCGTCGTCTCTCGGTCGGTCTCAGCGGGTCGCTGACTACCTCGCCCTAGCACTCGGTCCGCGCCCCGGGAAGGCTTCAGCATCACCCTCTTCTGCTGGGATCCCGCTGACCCTGTCTGCAGCTTCGGCTTCTCTTGCTCCCAGAGCGGGGTCTTCGGCTTGCCGCGGATACTTAGTGGCCCAAAACACCTAAAATTGACTCTTCCTGCGCTCTTGAGAATGCCAAGAGCACCCAGTACCTGCAACCGCCGGCATGAGTGGGGCCTGCGGGGAGCCGCCAGAGCTGCGGACAGGCCCCCTGCCCACTGAGTTGCTACCCCTGGCACGCCCAGGGGATCCGCAGCAGCTGAGGCCACATGGTCACAGCCAAGTTCAGCAGGTGGAAAGGGAGAGATGGCATTGAACCTATGTGAGAACTGGGAAGATGTGTGGCAGCTGAAGGAGTTGGTAGGAACAAGAGGGAGTTGTATGTTACCTCCATATAACCAGAGCTCTAAACCATATCAGTTTCTGAACCAGTCTAGGCTGGTGCTGCAGAACTGCTAAAGCTCTCGCAGAGTCCCCAGACCCCCCGCGGGACATGAGGTCTTGCCTGTTCGTATGCGAACATCCTTGTACCCGCCTAGCAGCCCTGCAGACTGCAAATTTTCCCTGGGTGCACGGAAGTAGAGCAGATTTGGCGCAGAGGTCGATACTCACTGCCTGTCTGTGAGGGGGGAGGAGGATTCCTTCCTGGTCAAGTTGCCGGGCATGTTCATTCCCTCCCGCAAGCCTAAGGCAGAGTCATAAGCTCCCCTACGATGCGGCAAAGTCTCAACTAATTTATCTACCAGCCTTAAGAAGGAGCTGCTGCTTCTAAAATCTTTAGATTTCCGAAGGCTCTCCTTGTGTAAAAATGCCAGGCGGTGCCACACGATGTCACCCAACAGGTATTGGAGGTCAGACCAGGCTGAAATTGCTATCAAGTCAAACTTCAAGAAGATTTTAAACATTTGAAACCAACCAACAAAAAGGGACAAGTTCAAGTATGTCTAGTTGTGGGATTTCCCCCAAGATTCCGATTCTAAAGAGTGGTGTTTTAGTTCATCTTTACCTTTCACATCCTCCATTCTGTTAGGTAATTTTGAATTTAGAGTGCATCCTAACCATAGAAGTGGGAATCTGGAGATCTGTTCCTTTGCAGAAGCATGGCTGATCATAGTTTTTTCCTGGGTTCTTGCAACTTACTGACCTGAGATCTGGGACCAGTCAGCTTCTCTGGGTGTAGACCGCAGCCACACACATCCCTGGGGACTGTTGGGGAAGCAGCCTGAATCCTGTGTGCACAAGGAGCCTTCTGGATTGTCAAGTAGCAGTAACAGAGTTCACGACCCCAAGCAGTACAAACTCCCAAATTCACGAAAATATTTCTCTTCTTGTTTATTATTTTGATTCACATTCTCCACAACCCTAACTGCAAATATTAATAACTTTGGCTGCAAAAAAGCATACGGTACACTTTAGATTAGACTTACAGTGAATAAAAGTGAAAATTCAGAAGTAGGCAGAACGACAGGGCCTCTGGAGCTTAATGGAAGACGAGGGAATTACATCCATGTGCAGCGTCGGTGTCCACTGTCTTGGGACTAAGTCTCTTTCATATTTAAACAAAACTCTTTCGAGAGGGCTCGCTGGTTTGGAGAACCCTCACAAACGCTGCCACCGAGGGCCAGGGGCCCAGGACAGTGGCTGAATGTGGCAGAGCCTTGGGCTCCGTAGTGAGTGCCCCACGCACTGGCAATTGGTCGACTTGGGGCTGTGCGCTAGCGTTAGCCGCCTGTGGTTCAGTTCCCCGCACACGGCGTGGCCCGTGCCTCGAGCCTGTGTGGCTAGTGGTTGGCCGGTCCACCTGGACTGGGGGGTCGCCGCAGGAAGCTGGCGGTAGGAGGAACCTCCCTGGCCTTAACAGTGGCCCCCACCTGTGGCTCGGGCTCCCCGCAACCTCCTGGTTTCTTTGGCCGGCCTATCTTCTCACACCTGCGCTCTCGCCACCTGGCATGGACTGAAGTGAGGTAGAATCGGCAGGTGACACAGATCCTCTCCTGACAGTCCCCAGAGGCCCGCATGACAGATTTTGCTAAGACAACTCCCTCACCCCTGTGCACGGTGGCGCCCGCCTCCCACCTATAGCCTTAACTTCAATTCTGAGATGTCCATCGTTCCCCGGAGGAGGTCTCCTCGGGCCCCTTCTCCCTTCGAGTCATTCACATTCAGACCAAACGCTTTCATTTGTTTATTCAGCATTTTACCAGCCTGATTTTGCTGTCTTTTTGTGCCGCTTCTGGGAAGATGTCAAACACCCATTTTCATTGTATTTAGTCACCCAGGTGGGGAGCTAGCCTGAAAGAGACAGCGGAAGGAGTTTCCTGGACTGCGCTGTCGCTCACCGACCCGCACCAATCACCATGCAGCTTGCCCTCGGACCCGCCCCTTTTAGGGCGTGTCCCCAGTGAGTGATAGACGGAGCCGCCCTGCCCTGCTCAGCCCAGCCCACGTTGCTGCTTAGATTGAAATGCAGAACTCAAGCCTCTTTCATCGGGGCACAGACTTCCTTTTACTTCTTCCTTTTGCCCTCTCGCCTCCTCCTCCTGGGAAGAAGCGGAGGCGCCGGCGGTCGGCCGGGATAGCAACAGGCCGGGCCACTGAGGCGGTGCGGAAAGTTTCTGTCTGGGAGTGCGGAACTGGGGCCGGGTTGGTGTACTGCTCGGAGCAATGGGTGAGTGGCGGCGGGGGACTCTGTCAGAGCCGGGAAGGGAGGGAGGGAGCGAGCGGGCAAGGGAGGGAGGGAGGGAGGGAGCGCGAGGGCGCGCGCCACTAGGCGCTCACATTCTCTATTGACTTTGCTCGTGTTCCTACAAGTTGTAGGAACACGCTAAGGGTCAGCGGCGCACAGCAGTTCAATGTGAACGCTGGCTACTGGGTGGCTGTTGATGCCATTTTCTGATTTTAAGAGAAGGGAGCTGTGGCATCAGCGAGCCCCTCAGCCCGAGTAGCAAACCAAGTTTTGTTTCACACGCGCGCACACATGCAAACAAAACAGGAAAAGAAAAGAAAAGAAAACAAACAACAACAAATAAAACACCCTCTAGCTTCCCCTAGACTTTGTTTAACTGGCCGGGTCTCCAGAAGGAACGCTGGGGATGGGATGGGTGGAGAGAGGGAGCGGCTCAAGGACTTTAGTGAGGAGCAGGCGAGAAGGAGCACGTTCAGGCGTCAAGACCGATTTCTCCCCCTGCTTCGGGAGACTTTTGAACGCTCGGAGAGGCCCGGCATCTCACCACTTTACTTGGCCGTAGGGGCCTCCGGCACGGCAGGAATGAGGGAGGGGGTCCGATTGGACAGTGACGGTTTGGGGCCGTTCGGCTATGTTCAGGGACCATATGGTTTGGGGACAGCCCCAGTAGTTAGTAGGGGACGGGTGCGTTCGCCCAGTCCCCGGATGCGTAGGGAGGCCCAGTGGCAGGCAGCTGTCCCAAGCAGCGGGTGCGCGTCCCTGCGCGCTGTGTGTTCATTTTGCAGAGCCAGCCTTCGGGGAGGTGAACCAGCTGGGAGGAGTGTTCGTGAACGGGAGGCCGCTGCCCAACGCCATCCGGCTTCGCATCGTGGAACTGGCCCAACTGGGCATCCGACCGTGTGACATCAGCCGCCAGCTACGGGTCTCGCACGGCTGCGTCAGCAAGATCCTGGCGCGATACAACGAGACGGGCTCGATCTTGCCAGGAGCCATCGGGGGCAGCAAGCCCCGGGTCACTACCCCCACCGTGGTGAAACACATCCGGACCTACAAGCAGAGAGACCCCGGCATCTTCGCCTGGGAGATCCGGGACCGCCTGCTGGCGGACGGCGTGTGCGACAAGTACAATGTGCCCTCCGTGAGCTCCATCAGCCGCATTCTGCGCAACAAGATCGGCAACTTGGCCCAGCAGGGTCATTACGACTCATACAAGCAGCACCAGCCGACGCCGCAGCCAGCGCTGCCCTACAACCACATCTACTCGTACCCCAGCCCTATCACGGCGGCGGCCGCCAAGGTGCCCACGCCACCCGGGGTGCCTGCCATCCCCGGTTCGGTGGCCATGCCGCGCACCTGGCCCTCCTCGCACTCCGTCACCGACATCCTGGGCATCCGCTCCATCACCGACCAAGGTAGGGGCTCAGAGGCTGGGCGTGTGGATGTGCAGCGTCTGCCCCCGCACTCTCGCGGAGGTCCCAGTATCTGCAGCCTCAGGGACACTGTCTTTCCCACCACCTGAGGCTTTTTCCTTTGGAAACGTAAGGAGTCTTCCTAGGGGGTGTTCTGATCTCATTAACTTGAAACTCATGCCCCTGGTTTCCTTGCCACACACAGTCTTCTGCCTCATCTCAAACTACCAGACCCATAACATCCCCCCATCCCCAACACATGGTTCGCATTTTCCACCCTCCCCCGCCTCTCGCGCCGAGGCAGCCTCAGCCCGGCTTGCTCACTTGGAGAGTGCGGCCGGGGCTGGACTTGGGGCGCAGCCCGGGAGGCCCGAGCCTGCTTGGGGCTGCCGGCTGCAGACTCCGCTGTGGGCAGAGCAGCTTGCTTGGGGATCACTACGGCCGGGAGAAGTCTGGCCGGGAGGAGTCCAGCACGCCTTGGAAATTGAAGTATTCTCCGATTCTGGTAATCAGGCCAAATTTGCTCAGGCAGGAAGTTCAAATGTCACCTAATTGGTTTCGTTCTTATGCTTCACTTCATTTTCCTCGGAAATGGAGGTCCCGAAGTTACTACTAGTAACTTGCATGTAACTCATTCCCAGACGAAGTCATATTCACATTCTCTCTCTCTCTCTTTCTCTCTCCATTCACTTTCTAACTTAACAGACTTCACTGTATATATCTTAGGAAGGGAAGTGGCATCAGCCACTGCAGTGATGGAGATAAAATGCAGGCAATTCCATGCTGTCCTTTTACTGTTCTTTTCAGTTTTCCCTGAGCCTGCCACTTTCCTTTGGGGTCCCCGGGTCCCCGGGTCCCCGAGAATGCAAGTGGATATCTATCTAGTTCCTGCATGTTTTAAGCAGTGCCACCCCACTGTTTCTTTCCTTTCTCACCCCTGACCTTGCCTAGTCCTAAGCGTCCTTTCTGCCTTGTCAGAAGGATTCCCCGAGCCCTCCTGCCCAGTCCGGCTTCCGCAGGAGACCTGAGTTTGTTTTCTTTTACTGAGTTTTTTTTTTTTTTTTTAAGGCGTTAACTTTTTTCTTGGTAGGGAGAAAAGAAAGTCTGAATGACCTAGATGCAGAATTTAAATAATGTGTAGATAGTCCACTTTCTTAATTTCTCAGCCTAAAGTTTTAAAAGTGTAGAGGAAAAATTAAATAGGAAAGGGGGAAATAGTTTCTTTAATTACTTCCTGCCTTTCTTGGTTGCCACCACATTGGCACAATTATCTTTTTAAGTAATTAAAGCAGGGCTCTGATTTCTCATCTTCTTGTTTTCTGACTGCAAGTTTACAAGAGCCCAGTTTTGTCTTATTTGGAGCTACTTGGAGCCATAGTTGGAGAGAGTTTGCCCTTGATTTATAGGATAAACTGACCTCACTGACATTTAAAGGAAGCCCCTGTTCATGGGAAAGTGTGAGATCAGCAGAAATGGGGGCTCACAGGGGGATCTCAATTTCTTAAGATAACTTCAAGCTTGTGCCCACCGACTGCCTTTTGTCTGGGAAGGCAAAGACAGACAGGCAGTTCTGGACCAAAACACAGTTTCCTGGTGCAAATGGGACTCAATCTAATTCTTGGGGGTGGTAGAGGAGGAGACATAGTGAAAAAAAAAAAAAAAAAAAAAGGCTGACAGAGTTTAAAAGAAAACTTTTCCTGCCTAGGGATCCTACCATCAGAGCAAATGTCAGTTGGGAAAGTATTGGAGAATGGAAAGGAGCAACTTTTCCTTTCAGATATTATTGTGATTTTGGATGCCAGCTTTAAACAACCCAGTTTGTGACACATTTGTGATTATAAAAATGATCATTTCTACAAAAATGCTCACTCTTTTAAAGCACTGTGTTAGATGGAAGTGTTTAAAATCAAGTTACAATGGCTTTGCCAAACCACTCCTCCACCCATAGGACCCAAAGACAAACATACATTGTTTGTAGCCTTCACATATCTCTTTGAAACTATACCTGGTCACTGAAAAATGCCAATAATTCAATATTCTCAACCCCAGGTATTATAGTAATTACTTTACACCATACAATTTTCTTTGCATCTCCACCAAGAACAGAAAGAATAACTGATGGCATTACACCTTAACACTTAATTTTACTTTCATTTTCTTAACCTATTTCATTTTCTCTTTCTTGTATATACATTTTTTAAACTCTTTCAGGAAAACCCTGCCACTAACACCCATGGCATGTATAGTGGTAATTGCAAGATTTATTTTTAAGTCATATGCACATATCACATATGTAATGTGTAGAGGTAGTGTATCAAGGGGAGCCCTATGCACACACAAAGCAGAAATCTGTGCATGTATATTTTGCACTGTATCGTGGGAATAATTTAGTTATTTGTTTGCAAAGGACAGTGCAGGTCTTTTTGTTCTCTATTGACATAAGTACCAGATCCCCACAGTGCAGTGAGCACCAGTGCAGGCACCCTTAGGTCAGACGCTCCTCTCTTTCTTTTCAGCCAGCCCCACTGCCAAATTGTTGTCAACCCCCAGTCGGCCTTGGGTTAAGAATGAGGAGGTGGAGAACGGCACGTGCAGCCTTAAGGGTTCCTTCTCCGATTTAGGTTTCTTCCACTCCTTTGCCCTGGGAGAGCAAAGGGGCGAAGGGAAATCAAAAACCGGTTGAAAAAGAAAAAAGTGTCTTCCCTCAGGCGTGGGTCAGAGAATTTGGAAAGGCCTACTCTGAGGGGAGTAAAACTTCACCAGGCCCTGGGCTGGAAGCACAGGAGGTCGCGGCTGGGCCCAGCGCCCTCGGGAGGCCAAGGGCAGGGAGCCGACCCAAGGTCTAAGCCCTCCAGCTCTCCGTCGCGGGTTTGGGTCCCGTCTCAAGAGTGGGGCGCGCGGGCTGGGCCTCCGGCCTGACACCCTCTCTTCTCTCCATCAGTGAGCGACAGCTCCCCCTACCACAGCCCCAAGGTGGAGGAGTGGAGCAGCCTGGGCCGCAACAACTTCCCCGCCGCCGCCCCGCACGCGGTGAACGGGTTGGAGAAGGGAGCCCTGGAGCAGGAAGCCAAGTACGGTCAGGTGAGGAGGCGAGGGTCAGGCCAGGTGGGCCGCGTGGCGGCGGGGATTTAGGCGATGGAACACTTTGTGATGGGTCCCTTTCTGAGCTTCCCGCGAGAGAAGCCCAGGCTGGCGTCCCTTTGCTGCTACGAGCCAGATCCTTCGTGGACTGGGGCGAAGCAGAGGCCTGAGCCTTGGAAGGCGGAGCTGGGGCCTCGACCCCCGCCAGGGGCCGGGAGCGCTCGTCAGGGCGCTGGGGGTCTGGGGCGGCAGCTCCCCGGGGCGAGGCTCTGGGAAGCGCCTCCAGGCCTGTCGGCCTCCGGGAGCTTGGGGAGGCGGCTCCCGAAGCCCTTTCGGCGGCTCTCGTTGGGGGTAGAGTTAACCAAAGAAGGCGCTTCTGAAGGGCCGAGCGGAGCAGCCCTGGGGCCTCAGAGCCGCGCCTTCACGCCCGCGAAACGCGCGCCCCGGGTCTCGGCCCCACGGTGCGACTGCGGCTGCGGGGTCCTCACGTTCGGACTTTCTCTCCGGTGGCTCTCGGACAAACACGCTTGGCCAATCCTGCGGAGAGGGGCACCCAGATAAACGTAACAAAGCTACCATTTTCTCGACTAAAGGTCACATTGTAATCTCCCAAGGAAGTTAGTGAGAAAACCTCAAATTATACGGACTGGCTGTGGACCGTTTAATTTTTCTTTCCCTCCGTCCCTCCCTCATGTCTCCAAAGGAAAATTTAAAACACTCGTGTTTTTATTTTCCCCCCGAGAAAAGCTAAACAACCACCACAACAAAAGCCCCAGATTTAAGTCTAAATTCATCACCGTCCTGGAGTCAAGAGTTCAAAACTCTCAAAAAACCGGACCTTAAGGCAATGTAAGGTTTCCCCAGCAGACCCCAGTAGGTTTGCAAATCTCTTAATCCCAAACTCAATTCCAAAGCCTCAAGCTATTCAGTTTTCCTTTTATTATTTTGAAGACTTAAAATTTTTAATGCTTTTTTGTCTGTCAAAATCAGCTTTTAAAATTAAGTGGAATTTGTTCCTCTTATTCACTTGAAAAAACATCTTAGTCATTATTTTCTGTAACAAATCCCATTTCCACTTCCTCTTCCCTCTCTTATTTTGTTGAAATAGAATCAGAATACATATTAGTGGCTCTCCAATGGCAAATAACACAGAAAATAGCAAGGAAAGAGAGCCCTTTTCCTTAGTCTGTTTCTACTGTGAAGAATGTCAATGAGAAATGATAAGGAAGTTTGTCATTTTCTTTTACTAAACGACCCACCCTTAATTCGTAATTTGCAAAGAAAAGGCAGAATAGTACAATGGTTAGGAGCTCCGATCTCTGGCTGTACGACTTCTTAGGAAAATATTTAATTTTTAGTCTCTATTTCTTCATCTTTAAAACAGGGAAATGATATTCCCAACCCAGAGATGTTATGAGTATTCAATGAGATAATGCAACCATATGGCACATAGTAAGCATTTATTAAGTATTGTCTGTGGTTCTAAGTGGCAGTTAAAAAGACACGTGTAAAAGTAAGTAATATTTATCAGAGTATACTTTGTTCTGAGAGACCATAGTCAAAAAGCTTCAAGAGATTTTGTTACAAACAATAGAAAGAGTGTATATAAAGCACCTACCATAGAAGCAAGCATTTAATAGGCGCTCAGTGCTTTTTATTAGGTCATCATTGATTGGAATAACATTGTGAAGTATAGAGTTGAAAAAGTTTCTAATTCCCACATGTCATTGATGAACCCAGTTTATATATCAAGCAGTCATAATCCCAAAAAAAACCCTTTATACTTATTATTTATTTATTTATTTTGAGACGGAGTCTAGCTCTGTCGCCAGGTTGGAGTGCAGTGGCGCGATCTCTACTTATTGCAGCCTCTGCCTCCCGGGTTCAAGCGGTTCTCCTGCCTCAGCCTCCTGAGTAGCTGGGATTACAGGCACGCGCCGCCACACCCACCTAATTTTTGTGTTTTTAGTAGAGAGAGGGTTTCACCATGTTGGCCTGGCTGGTCTTGATCTCCTGACCTCGTGATCCACCCACCTCGGCCTCCCAAAGTGCTGGGATTACAGGCGTGAGCCACCGTGCCGGCCAGTAATTTTTATTTTCTCTTCCTTGAATTATAGATCTAACATTGAAATTTGTTTGGAAATGCTTAATTTATAATACACTTCAAAACTAAACTGACAAATTATTTAAAATAAAAAATTTGAAGTTTTAAATAATTGATATTCTGATTATTAAAAATAGATTACATTTTATATACTAAATTTTAAATCACTAAATTATCACATTTATAAAAGAATATAATTTAAAGAAATAAGTAACCAAATAAATATTGCTCTAAATACTTAATAAGCTATTTTTTCCAGAATAAAAATATTTATATGAAACTTACATTTGCGAAGTTCTTAATTGCAATATGCTAATCTTCTGCATTGCAATGTATTTAATAGTTAGATAATTCAAATGATGTAAAATTTCAAAACCTGAAAAGTTTCTAAGAATAATATAAATTAGTGGCTACTCTATGATAATTATCAAAATAGTGCTTAATGTTGAAGATGTGCCAAGTTCAGCCGTGCCATTTTTCTGAGCAGTTTTGAACTTTAGACATTGATTTCATGTAAGGTTAAATTGCACATTAATACTTGTTTATAAACATACAAAGGTAAAGTGTTGCCCATATATGTGCATTTCTCTTACCAATATTCAAAGGGCAGATTTATTTTTAAAAGTTATTTTTCAAAATGGAATCAGCATATTTCAACCAAAATGTAAACTCTGGTAACACGTATTTTTCCCTCTGCTTATATTATGGACAATAACTTGAATGTCTTTGGCCAAAAAAAAGCTTTAAAATTTTTCCCACTTTCAGGGCATTTGTGATTGTTATTAAATAGTGCAAAATTATATGATACTAGTTTAATTTTATTATACAAAGAAGGAAATTGAGAATTCAGAATCATAGAGCTTAAAGCATATTTTTCTTGAGGACATCTGTAGAATTACCAAAGGGCTAAACTATGCAACTGAGTATAGATACTATTGATTACCATAATCTAGAGTTTCTATTTTCAGCTTAAACTGTAAAGACAGATGTCCTGATTCCTAGTAATTAAAACTGTATGCACATTTCAGCTATGCATATACCTATCTTTTGTCTTTGAAAATTCAGTGTAGAATATTCTAACTTGTCTTACATATTAATATTACATTGTAATTAATATTTTGCAGTGCCATTCAGAAGTCCTTATTGTCTCTGAGGATAGAATATTTATTTTGGCTTTTTTATACCCACAGTTAATATTGGGGCTAGAAGTACTTAATTCCATTTACTTCTGAATGGCAACAATGTTCTCTGCTTCCTGATGGCCGGTTCTCTTCTGTTGAAAGCATAAAACTCCAATGGAATAAAATTGAGTGGCCAAAAAACCTTATATAGAGAATCATAGGGACTGGAATACATTTGCCCTTTTAGGAAGTATTTCATGAATTAATGCCTCAATTTTATTCAAACTATATATAAATAATTGTATAGTTCTTGAAAAATTTTCTACAAATGGGCATACTGTCTCAAGAAAGATACATTGCATATCTGATACTCTAAAGTAATTGGAGTGACAGATTTATAAGCTTTGGGTATCTTCATTTTGGGGTTGCAGATATTAATTTGGCAAGTTTAATATAACACTAGCTACAGACTGAGATGTCAGAAATAGAGAATAGTCTATAAATACTTGAACTTTTTAAAAGTTCAGAATTAAGTTGTGAAAATAGTTGAATTTAAAGATATAATCTGAAATTCTTATGAAGCATTTACTTGCACATGCATTTGAAGTGAAGATAGTCTTCTAGAATCCTGAATGTGATTTTCTAGTGTATTATTTTAAAAACTGGCTGTCCTTGTGGATGTACTATTCTCAGGAAGATATAAATGATATTGCACTAAATTTGTCTTCATATTAAAGTTAATTTTTGTAAATAAGTTATGATTTATAGACAATGAAATCTTAGGCAAATGCCAGCAGAGTGTCTTTGAAATTCATAATGTTATCTGTTATGAAAAACATTCTTTGACCTGGTTACATTTTAACCAGTAGTATTTCAAAATAAAATTAATGATCATGTATCAGTAAAATGTATTGTATAAAATAGCAGGGAAAGGTAATTGCAAATTTTTCAAGGCTATGTCAATTTTAATAATATTTTGGAAAATTATAAAATTTAGAAAAGCTTTTAAATAGCGGCTTTCCATTTCTTAGAGACATTTACATCTACAATATGATAAGTAAGCATAATTAAGATCTTGTTGGATGAATGTTGAAACCATATTTATAACCATCATTTCATTTTGTCAGGTATGTTTTACTAGGTCATTGCATAATGCATTAAAAATGGAAGAATGACAGAAAAATGAGTTCACCAAAAAAGAGAAAATCTTGTTTATTTTCAGATCCAAAACTTTTTCTTGCTTATGATATCGAGGTTGAAATTCTAGGTGAAGCACATCTCTATTTGTGGCTAAATCTACTTTATTATAAAGCCAAGGTAAATTCATTTTATCATAAGAGGACCAGGTTGAACTGATAAGTGAAAGCAGATTGTGGGTAGAGGACCTGGCACTGTTATTTGCATTTATCTTCACGATAAATAATGTTGAGTAGACAATTCCCAGAATTTGAATAATGGTCTATAACCTCTAACTGCCAGACATTTGCCATACCAGTTTTATGGTGGTCACAAGTGTTTTGATACTAACGTATTTTCCTTTACTTGGAGGAGGGAGGATAAATGGAATAACCATAAATCAAGTAATAAATGGCTAGGTTAGAACTTCTGTTTACTTTTTTCAACAGCTTTATTCATTTTGCTTGCTTAAAGTGTAATGCTTGTTTTGTGATAAACGGTGCCTACATTTTTGCTTTGTTTTTTAAGCTACAGTGTCACATCTTTTGCTTTCACAAACCTATACTAACTTAAATATACATATGGTTGTGGAATGCTTATGATGTATCCTGTTTTGTGGGGATACAAGATGATTAAGGCAAGTCCCTGTCCTCAGACAGTTTACAATCTAGCCCTCTGCCAATACAGTTCCTCAACATATTCACCAAAGTTACTTTTAAAAAATTGGTAAATCTGTATTTTGAACATTTGGAACAAACGAAATTAAAACTTGTACTTTCATTCTTCTTGTGATAACCTTAACTAGAAGAACTACATTGCATCTTATATATTTTTTTCTAGACTATTTCCGTTAATGTCAGTGTGATGAAGTTGGTCTTTTCCTAAAAGTATTAAAACAAAGCAGTAACTTACTTTTTCTAGGGTATGCAATTTAGTCTATTTTGCTTTGTATTAGTAAATCTCCTTCTCAAATTTAGGTAGAAGATAGTTTGCTATAGAGAGCACCCTTGCACAGTTCTTTCAGGGGAAAGAATTCTCATGCCTTTCATGGAAGATCCACATGAGAAAGGAGTTGATGGATTGAAGTCTTATTTATGGAATCTTTAGGTAAAGTCATTTTCAAAAATGAGATTTCCATTACATGCCCATTGCTGGGGTTTCATTTGGAAAATTTGTTTACTCTTCCCTGGGGATTCCGTATGTTGGTTGATTTATAAATCATATTTACAATCCAATTAAATAGAGTAATTTAGCATGTTTGCTCCCACTATATTTATAGTGTAGATTTGGTAGTCTCTACTCAGCCTAACTAGCTTTTCAGATTAATTACATGCCCTTCACTGAAAACATTAAACCGATTTGGGACGTTTAAGTCATGTACTCTTTTACTGGAAAGAATAAACAAACATCAATGCTACCTGTAGTTGTTTTCCTTTGCGGTGGAAAATTTTACTTTTTCAGTGATTGCTTCATAAATAACAATTACTTGACCCAGTAGAGATTTATATCTTTTACTAATGTTATGTGTCAAAATTAATAGTGAGAAAATTGATGTGTTTATTGAGTCACTAAAATGAATAAATAATGAAGGTGGCAGGAGGCAGGTAAATTTTAAAGCACATTTACTTGCTCCTTTTTTTTCTAAATTTATAAATCTGAGCTTCAAAAGTAAAAAGTAAAATTAAGACAAAACTCTCCAGACCCCCAAGCTAGGGTCATAATTTAACCTGAGAGAAAACTAAGGGCTATTTTTATACTGTTTAAGTTTAAAGATTTATGTTTGTTTTTTTTTTTAAGCAAACGTTTTAGCCTCTCCTTGCCTTTTTCTTTTTTCTTTCTTTCTTTCTTCCTTTTTTTTTTTTTTTTTTTTTTTTTTTTTTGAGATGAAGTCTCACTCTTGTTGCCCAGGCTGGAGTGCAATGATGCGATCTCGGCTCACTGCAACTTCCGACTCCCGGGTTCAAGCAATTTTCCTGCCTCAGACTCCCAAGTAGCTGGGATTACAGGCACCTGCCACCACACCCGGCTAATTTTTGCGTTTTTAGTAGAGACGGGGTTTCACTATGTTGGCCAGGCTGGTCTTGAACTCCTGACCTCAGGCAATCCGCCCGCCTCAGCCTGCCAAAGTGCTGGGATTACAGGCGTGAGCCACCGTGCCCGGCCGCCTTTTTCTATGAGATGAAATCAACCATCTCCGAGCTTCTCTTCCTACCCTGTCTTTCTGCAGTACAAAGGGATTGCATCACTAAAATGATACTAAATAAATATTGTGGATTTAAGAGAACTTTGAAATATTTAGTACTAAGAATAATGACATAAAGCAAGTTTGTGCATTAAGTATGAGAAGTTGGACAAACATGGAAAAATTTGCTCATTTTTTTACACTTGATAAATGAATGTAATCATGGAATAAATAAGGCACTAGAAGTTAATACAGGCCTAAATCCAATGTCCTGCCTGCCCCTAAATTCCAGGAACATTATCTAAGATAAAAGTTCAATGCAGCATGTCTCTGAGGGCCATCTTCCAAGTGGGTCCATGTAAGGGGACCATAGACATTGCAACAAAACAACTGAAGAGTCCAAGTAAATGGGGCAGATCAATGAGCAAGAGTTCCAAGGGCAAAGGTGTAAGAAAAGGGAAGATGACTAAGCAAGGATTTCAGAGAGAACTGTAATTTTGAATGATAGATAAAATACAAAGAAAAAAGAATGGGTAGGAAAAATTTAGCTGTGATGAAAAATAGAACTCGCCAACAGTTCTGTTCTGCTAACTAGAACATTGTTTCTGCCATGTATAATATTAAATTTTTTAACTTTATGTCCCTATATGATGTTGGCCAAAGATTTTTATTATTTTAGAAGTAATTTTAATGTTAGCATTCTTATTTCATTATTCTTAGTTCACATTGGCATCAGTAGTATAAAACATTAGTCAATGCTGGAAATGAAAATATTAGTTAACACCACATACAGATGTGAACACCTTTCCATAACTGAATTGGATTTATTTCTTTCCAAACTCATTTATCATAGATTATTGGGACAATTCTAAATAAAAATGATTAAAACTATAATCTCTATGCAAAACTAGATTTTTTCCCCTGTAATTTGATAGTTCTCTATCTTGATACCCATCTCCTGAGAGCCTTAAAGTGTGTCTCCTTTGAGACATAATCAGCCATTCTCAAAAAGTGGAAGAAACTATTCTTTTTTTAGAAGGGATCTGACAATGAGAATCATGTTCTAGGAGAGAAAAGAATTTGTTACCAGATGTTATCTCAAAAGATGCACTAGTTTTAAATTAAATTGCATCTATCTTTTAAGTGTTCAGGAAAAACAGTATGATATGCTACAGAGGACCCTGCATTGGGCAGGGGTGATAAATTTTTTTAACACATGGCCACTGGCTTGCCAATTGGTTGAGGGTACATGGCTAAACCTCTTAATCTATATCCTTGTATAAAAAGAGGATAAGATTTCATTTGTATTCAACAGTTATGTGCGGTAGTTTCTTGATTTAAAAAATGCAGCAGCATCATTCTCTGGGACCCTTAAAATACACTTTAATTTCAGTTGAACATTGTGTTGTATTTGTGACACACTATCTTGTAATTATGATAAACTCAATCATTTATAATGAACTATATAATTCATTAATACTCATTACTCAGTAAAATATGTTGGATATTTCTTGGTGCCTGGGACATAGGACACACTTAAGAAACTTTAGCTTCCTTTCTCTTTCCCTATTTTCAAAGAACCAACATTGAAAAACACAACATGAGGTGTTTGTTCTTACAGAGCATAGACACAAGGCTAACCCCTCTAATATTTTTCTTTTTTTGTCAGAAATGCATGAGTAATGTTGTCATACCCACGTATGTATTCTATTCCATGTACATATTCATTTACTCTGCATTGAGAAAATAGTTTTTGAGACCGCACCACTGCATTCTCATAGATGTAGAAGTGAAAACAATAGCCCAAATAAATTAAATTAGAAAGTAATTCCTGTGTTGCAATTGAACGGGAAAAAGTACCTAGCTAACATACATCTGATTAACTTAATTCTAAGGATTAAATCAATTTTCCTCATAAAATTCTAGTATTTACATCGTATTTTCACTAGGAAATATATTGAAATGGTAGTTCATTCATGTAACTATCAGGACACAGCATCTACACTTTATTTCTAAAGAGTATAAAAATTGAGGGGAAAAAATTAGACTACTTGAAGAAGGATGCCCAGTGTTCATGCCAGAATCAGGATTAAAAATCAGGGTGTTTTTAGTGTTGTTAATAGTAACGATACCAACAATAATTCACTGGATGCCAAGACAGCACTGGTTTCTCGGCAGGCTCGCCTGCCGGGACTGCTGCATTGTGTTTGCAAACAAAGATTTTAATTTCTAAATTCACTTCAAGAGATTTATCCACGTGGCTTTTAAAAACTCACATCACAGGACCCAAAAACTTTGCAAGCAAAATTTCCAGTTTCAAAACCAGGCATATGCAGTTCTTTTATATGGGGAAAGACAGTTTCCTTTCTGATAAAACAGTCCTGGAAAAGGCACTTGCAATATTCATTTAAAAATCCTTACAAGACAAAGTGCCTGATTTTTGTATGTCCTTTGTCCAACGGGCATTTTCAATATGATCTCTTAAAATATGGTCTATATTTTCTTTAACGAAGGTCGTGTTTGTTGTGCGTTTCTAACATGACAGGCTGCAGTCTGTGCCCTTCTTTACTGAAAATGAAAGTTATACCAACCAGGCCTGTCACAAGTGCCTCAACAAAAGAGCCAAACAAAACCCAAGTCCCAGGAAGGTTGACAAAGGCAATGAGGACAGCCGAACAGATTCTAAGAGTATTTAATTGCCATTAATTCTTTTCTCACCCTGCACCTCCTTCCTGTACTTCCAAGTGGCACAAGCAAATACTACGAATTTTCTGGTTGCAGCTTTCTCTAAATGTTTGTGGAAAGAATAATATCTTGTCATTATGTTTGTTTAAGTGGCAAGACTGTGAATGTCTTTAGAATATAATAAAGCTCAAATTTTTTTAAAAAGTTGGAGAGTAGAGTCAGAGCATTGCTGGCTTACTCAGACTTAAGTTCTGCTTCTTTCTAAGAACGTGTGAAATGTTCACTCCTATAATGTGATTATTTTTCACTTCTTTTCTACTCCTCTCAGGCACCAAATGGTCTCCCAGCTGTGGGCAGTTTTGTGTCAGCATCCAGCATGGCTCCTTACCCTACCCCAGCCCAAGTGTCGCCTTACATGACCTACAGTGCTGCTCCTTCTGGTTATGTTGCTGGACATGGGTGGCAACATGCTGGGGGCACCTCATTGTCTCCCCACAACTGTGACATTCCGGCATCGCTGGCGTTCAAGGGAATGCAGGCAGCCAGAGAAGGTAGTCATTCTGTCACGGCTTCCGCGCTCTGATGGGAAATTCCGTCTCCAGCAGCTTCACCCGGGTCTCCCTGTCTCAGCACCTCCTCCCCCAATTCCCAGGTCTCACATCCCACCCCTCCTGCCCTCCAACCCTTCTGCCTTGAAAGCTGGCTGTACGGACTCACATCCTTTGTGCTAATGACACTTACATATTTCTTGCCATAACTTTTCTCTTGCAGAAAAACTGACATGACTTTAGGATTTAAAAACAAGAGCAACAATAAGCATTGAATGAGACATTTGTGTTGCCCACATACTGTCTTAACATAACAAAGAAACCTACACCCCTCAAAGGGTTTAAGGAACTTTACAAACTAGTCTTTGGTAAAACCACATGTGTATATTTATTCTAAATCAACCTGAACTTTTGAAATGTGCAATTGTTGAGATTTTGCAAAATCAATAAAGGAAAATACTTATAGAAAAAATTATGCTACACCCTCTAATCAAATATGGTAACCAAGTAAGCTTTAATTCATCATTAGGAAACAAATCAATAAGTGACTTGTTTGAGTGATCCTTTGTTTAAGACATGACCTATTTTGTTGAAAAATATATGTAGAACCCAAGCAATATCTGAATCTAGCTCTCCCTGGTGTTTTGACTTGGTTCCAAATACAATAATGTTTATATTTTCTATTAGTTTGTAAATACGGACTCTGGATGGTGCATTTGTGTCTTCATTCCATAAGATATTCCCCTCCCCTCAGCCCCACCCCCTCTCTATTTTTTTCTTTCTTTTTTGCAAAGGTGACTTTCTGGCAACGTCTTTGTCTCTGTTTGGTGGTGGGCTGCTCGGGCTCCTGGACCTGGACTTGCCCCCAAATTTTGTGTATGCAGTGAAGGCTTCAACATCTCATGAAGGACACTTTATTTCTACAGCAGAGGACACGAAAAACAGATAAAACAAGCCAGTCTCCCATTTTGTACCTAATCAAACAACACACATGCTAAGCATATAAAGACAAGAGGGTGGAAAATATCTGAACAAGAAGGCTCTAAAGGAAGTCACTTAGAAACTTAAGTTTAATGTGAAATGTTTTGCAAAGATGCTTAAAATGAACTTTGTGTTAAGAAAACCACTGTGAAACTAAATTGTCCTATTATTGTTGGCTTACCTGTGTGTTCAGCAATCTCAGCCCCAAATAATGTTGTAATTTAAAGAAAATGGAAAATTCTGCTCTAATGAATGTAACAATGGCTTGCTGTGAAGTTTACATTGTTGTACAGAAGCATGTTTCGCATGTAGGTAAACTGGTGGTGGTACTAGAAATACAATGTTATTTAATTTTAACAAATTCCCTTTATTCATTTCTGAAATTACAGGACACAGTTTAACTCATAAACCTTTCTAGACCAATTTATTTTTCACTTTAATGTTAATAACAGTTGTGGAGTATATGTGTGTGTGAGCATGTGAGTATGTGTTGTATTTTAAAACAATTGATTTTCTGGGGCAAAATTCTACAGTTTTTAATCCCTTCTGTTTAGGAAGTTCTTCCTGTTTGGCAATATAGGCTTAAAAATATGTTTTTAGGACATTGGTACAATTCAGCTGTTGGAAAATTAATATATTGAGGGTTTTTTGGTACTAATTCTGTGCAATAACTAAAAGAGCACCTCACTGGATATGGATGTTGAAGATGGATTCCCTAGGTGATTTTAATTTCTTCCGGTCTGTGCTGTGCACAGTCTACATGGCAATGCGGTTCCACCACATCGGTTTCGTGGCTTCGTTTAAAACTCAGATGGCTAGATTAGTTAGGTTTTCAAATCACTAGGATGTAAACAGTAAGCAGATTTCTGACACACAAATTATGTTAGAGTGACTGCTTTTTTCAGACAGCAGATATCTTATAGAGAGCTTTGAACTGCATTTATTTCTAAAGCAACCGAAATTCAGTGCTACAAATAGAGGATTATAACTTCAGGAGAAGAATAAGCAGAAGGAGCAGATGAACTCTCAGGGCCATAGTCTTCCTTTGATCTTGTAAAACTTCCATTGACATCTGGAGTTCCCAGTCTGGTGAGAAAATAGACTATAAACTGAATGGAACAAAGATCCAATCCAATATTTTGGTGGAGACTTCTTTAAAACCATACCATACAGGGACTCTCCTGTCATCTGAAAAACTGATGTAAGGTACAGAACTATTCTTTATCAAATGTTTTTAGGTGGCTGTTAGGGGGCTTTAAAAAATATTACTTGCTTGTGTGGAAATGCAAATAATGTTATTTTCTTTATCTAAATTAAGAAATCTCTTGTTATTGTGCTATTTATAATTTTTTTCTGGTTCTTGTATTTTAAAAAATCTAATATTAATGGTATTGAAGTTTCCTTTTCTCCCTCTAGGTCTTAACAGTGAATTCACATGGAGTAATTTTTAAAAGATATCAGATACAATTTGCTATTCAAAGAAAATTATGATTTAAAGCCACTTTTTAAAATACGAGAAGGAAAATAGGATGGATTAAAGGGTTAACTTTTAAAGATTATTATTGGTTAATGTTGACATATTTCCTCTATCTCATAGATGGTAAAAGTGTTGCTTTTAAACTGGCAAATGCACTCTTCAGAAATCCTTTTCTATCTGATCCACATGGAGAGGTTAAAGGTTCAATTTCATGACCTCTATGCAGGCAGCGCTCTCATTGGATGTAAGAATATTACCTGCAAGGATAGAATGCAGTTGTGCAACAGAGACACATTCTTATTTCTTTTTTTTCACAATTTTGTTTTGTTTTTAATGACCCTTTTATTGAATATTGGACTGAAATATAAATTTTAAAAAACACGTTGGAAAGGATGTACAACAGAAGGCTATGTATGTATATACAGTATGTCAAAAGCCTTTTATTTTTATACTTCAAATGCTCTAAATTAATAAAAAGTAATAATTACCATGTTATCTTTTACTTTTTATTTTCAAAATGCTTTAGTGAAATAGCCCCGTAGTAGAAATAGCCCACGGTAGTAACTTAGGACAGGTGTCATATGGACTTTCAGTTATTCTTGTTGACTTTACTGAATCAGCATCATCTCTGGATGCAGATATAAAATCAAGTTTGGTTACATCAAGACCAAGGAGATATTTTTGTTGATACATGTTAGTATAGTAATCCTTAGAAATGCTAAGTGTATTTCTTTTTCAGAACATTTCCCCTTCATCATACATATTTTAATACTGCAGACAGCTGACTTCCCACCTGAAGTTGTCGTTTAAAACTAATAACCTGAAAATGCAGTTCTGTTCTATACATTCTTCCTAAAAATGGCACAGGTAGGCATGCTGAATAAAGGTATTTGGATGCAAATACTGATGGCTGACAAATGGGTCCAAAGGTGTTTCCAATTTGTGATTTAACATGACAATATCTCATCAACAAAACTTATCTTCAAAGAGAACTATGTGGAGGAAAGTAAATTTTATTTCATGTTTCCTACTTGTGTTAGAAGAGATTTGGAATACCTTGATTTAAACATGCTTAAACAACAGTGTTTTAACATTCTGTTTTAAACAATGTTTTAAAATACCTATTTATTATCTTACAGCAATATGAGATATAAAGTAGATGTAGGAAAATAGAGCTGATATGTGCATAGTTACTAAAAAAAACCAACAGATTTACATTTTAACATAGTATTCATAAAATTAAACATTCTTAAAAGGTCATTTTAGTGCACTTTAAAAAATTTTTCTTGTGCTCTTTAAATATTATTTATGGAATAATTTAATTCATTATAAAAACTGCTTAAATTTTGGCTTAACTTTTTTTTAATCCAGTCTTTGAATAATTTGATTTATTTTCAATAGTTTAAGCATTTCTAGACCTCTTAGGAAAAATGCTGATCAATACAATGAATTTTCATTGTGAAGCATTGAAGAGGAACACAGGAGACAAAGTTTCTATTTATTTTATGAAATAAATATATGATTTCTATGCTATTTTTCTATATTCACTTTAAATACCTCATTGTTTCATATTATTTTTTTCTTCTCACAGTTTTATTTATACAGCCAAAACTATAATCTCAAGTTGCCTATAGACATTTTTTAAAGTATTAAAATAGATTTTGTTCTTGAACAGTTTTCTCCTTCATAATTATACACCTGGCCGATCGATAGTCTCTCTTCTTCATGGTGCTGCATAGCAAATATCCATTATCTCAAGGGGGAAAAACACTTCATAGGCAATCACCAGTTCTCTTGAAGCCATGAATAGGTGTATTCATAAACCAGCAGCATCACTGCACCACCTAGAAAAGAAAAGAGCTGTTTTTTATTGCAAATCCTCTGGAATAGCACTGGCTTTCCCACTGGGTTTCTGAATCCATGATGTCTCGCACAGCCTGTCAGGCAGAGGCTGTTCGGAATCAACAGTTCTGGAGCTTCAATACCAAGATATAAACTACTGTGGAAAATTCTCAGGATAAAATCAAGACCATCTTGAGTCTCCAAATACATTTTTCCCCATGAGTTTTTGCAACTTTCATCATTTGTCATCAGATTCTTTTTCAAGCACTTTCAATTTTTAAAAGTAAATAAATATAGGCATATTTAGTCATGTAAGGGCATGTGGCTTTCCTGTGAACAGAAACCTTCAGATTCTTCATGTGTAGATAAAGGATTTATCTTTTTCAGTCCGTAATTAGCAGTCTTAATTGCATTCAAGAAGAAAATCTCTAAGATGGTGCTTGATGGATGAGTCTAGTTTTCTGTCATAGCTTTCAAACTGCATTGCTACGTGGAAATTAGATTCTGAATATTTAAAAAATCTGCATTGCAAAACCTAACAAAAGGAGGTTGAAAGCTAACCTTCATTCCTTTTATCTGCTTCAGTTGTATATGGATTTGAACTTGAAAATTTGGTAGTGGGGGTTGGATGGCATGAGACCACCATTTGTCTTGGAAGAAAAGAGCTACATAACTGGCTGTGAAGAGACATGCTCTGTATTATGTCAACAGGAATGTGATACAGAAAAGCAGGCACTGAGGCTGCTGAATACCTAGCCACTGGGAGAAGCATTTGTACATGGATCATTTTATGTTCTATTTGATGCAGTAAATAGCATGTGTCCTGTGCCCTTCAGGATAATCTCTTTTTATCCTTTTATGTCTAACTGTGTGAAAAACATCACAAAATCAAAATTTGGACAAATATCCTGAACACAACTTAGAGAAGACTTGGCTGCATGAAATAGAAGATTGACTTCTGATGGAAAGAAATAGAACTTGATTTGGGTCTTAGTTATTTTGAACACACTGCCATATACTTTTTTTTTTAATCTATAGGCTGCACATGTTTGTGTAACCATATACCAAAGATAATTATCTGCCTGTAATTTTCATTTTTAACCCATGAAGATACTCTATTAGTCCCTCTTAGCTTCTCTAGGCCTCTTGGAACTCTGGCAAACAAAAAGAGCTGCACTACAGAGGGTCATTAATGTGTAGGTAATCGCTGCATTTATTCTTACTAATCATTCACAATGTAAGACAAGAATATGCAGAGTTGGGTTAGTTTTTGGCCTAGTAACAGTTGAGGTTTAAATCACAGACTTCAAGATTCTTTCATGGAAGGTACCTGATTGTTAGCCACATTGAGCTGCTAAGGCTATTGTAAAAATGCTGGATGCTTCTCCAGAACAAAGAACAAAAATTCCAGGCTCACCTTTCTTTTCTTTTTTTTACTGTCTCTCTCTCATTCTTTTTTTTTTTCTCTCTCTCTCATTCTTTAAAGAAAAAAATTTCACCCTTCATTCAAAAGTCTTAATCTTTAACTCAGTGGTACCTTTCTTTCTAGGTTTCTTTGCTTTGAAGTCGCTGGGATGCACACATTTGGAATGAAGTGGAGGGCAGGTCTGTGAGTGGTTCCCAGATATTCACAGTTTGGCTTAGCCTGGACAGTCAGTTCACAAGAACCCTTTTCTTTGAGTCTAACACCACAGCAACTCAGGACCTCTCACGCAAAACATTTAAAAAGCCAGCCAAACATTTGCAAGCCTCTAACAAAACTTGGGGTCAGATTATTTAAGAGTTTTGGATGAAGGTTCCAGTCAATTACCATTTTAGCTAACCTCTCCCTTGTCATCACCCTTTTTAGGCCCATCCCTTTCTGAGAATGTTGGTTGAGGGCTGGTGCTGTGATTTCCTCTCATATTAGGTCTACTAGCAGGTTTTTACTCTGCGGTGAAGGAAAAACACCACATACTGGCAGAGATGCACAAAATTCCCCACGTTCTATTACTGCGTTAGCTTTTACACATGGGCCAATAACTAACGGAAGGTAGGTCTGAATCCCAAATATGAAACAAAATCCATGTGTAAAGGCCTATAAAGATTGGGATAGATGGGTTGGGAATTGTGGAAGTGTTTCCTAAATATATGAAAGTGTGAGCTGTTCACCAGCTTCAATTTACAGACTCTTGTTCTCTATCTTAGATTAATAGAAATGTTGGTTCATTGGGCTGAGATCTAAAGGTGAATGTGCATGTGTGTTTGTGTAGCAGGGTAGGAGGACAATAGTGTTAAAAGGGAGGAACTGCAAAGGGAGAGAGGGGAGGTGTAGGAGAAGGTTCTAGGAAATATTACCAGTATGTATAAGTAGGTGAGTGTAGCCTGATAAAAAAAATATATGTGTGGTCTAGAGTATACTTTTGTACTTATTCACAAGGTTGCTTATAATCTGAGACTATTTGCCCTGGCGGTTGAGTCTGCAGAAGTTATTTTCTTATCTATTTACATAGAGGCAGCCGATTCTCCCTGTGGGAATGGCAGCCGGTTTTTTTGTGGGTAGGCGTCCTGAAGTGAGGCCCTGAGCCAGAAGCCTCCAGCGTCATGCTGACAAAGCCCAGGAGAGGTAAGCAGCTAGTTACGGTGTCACCACTCCCCAGAGGTGACTGTAAAGATGAGTGGCTTTGCTGTTCATGGAGGCAAGCTGTCCTCCTTTTCTTTTTTTGAAATGAAGTTGAGGCAGGAGCAAGAATGAATTAGGAGCACGAGGAAACGTTTGACTGGGCTGGTCCCTCACTCAGTGAAAAGCCTCCCCTTCAGCCAGAAGCCACTGCACACACCTCGGCTCTCACTCAAACTCCAACTGCCTGTGGCTTCTTCCTATTGACTTAAGCTGGGTTTTGGCTTCTGTTAGCCTCCAGCAAGTTCATAAATAGTACTTAATAAACAAAGGTAGAACATTTCTAATGGATGTCTTCAGTATCTCAAATACTCATAGACAACTTTATATTCTCAAGGTTTCTGTCTTTTACAAAGTGGTAAATATTTTGTTGCTGATGGACACAAATATCAAAAAAAGAGACGCTAGAACAATAAAGAAGGAAGGATTAAATAATCAAAATTATCATTACCTGGTCCAAGTCTCATAATCTTGGGAAGCAGGCCTTTGTACAAAGCTAAAATCCTGTAATGGGAAGGGAAAGAGAAACGTTCTTATTCTGAAAATAAATGGAGTTGTACCTTAGCTTTATTGAGATAGGGACCCAGCATTTAAAAAAATAAATTATTTGGAATTACACACATCTCAAAGCAGACAGCATCTTAGTATTCTCTGCAGCAAACTGGATGCGGGGAAAGAGTTAATGAATTCTTTATTACCCAACTGTGCTGGTCCTGTCCAATCAGAAACATGACTTTCATCAGTGAGATGGTTTTTGCTTTCAAGACAGGTCTTACTTTCAAGACAGCTGTGTATATGGACAGAATGACTTTTGTAATTGAATTTAAAAGACCACAAACTCAGTCTTTACATTAGGAAATACGATGCAGTTTATATCAAAATAATAAAATATTACTTGTTTACTTGAGAAAAAGAGGGGCGAAGAAACAGAAAGTAAGATTTAAAAGAATCAGAAAAATGCACATACTTTAAATTTTTAAAAGTGTTTTTACAGAACTCTATAATTCTCCCAGAAGAATATAATTAGGTGGCAATTTAATGGGATTTACAGCCAGAAGACAATTATTCTTCTGCCTATATATTAGAAGGACATATACAATACTACATTATACAAACTGCCAAGTAGAAAGTTCACCTTGGCATTCTAAGGCAAACAGGCAGCATATTGTCACTTGATGGTGTAAGCACATGTTTACAACATCTTACTATTGTGTTGTCTTGGAAAGTTTGTCATATATATTCGCAGTTTCTTAGACACAAGCTCCACTTAGGAGGGCTTACTGGTTCTCATCTAAATGGAAGGACAATACGGTTCTAACAATACGTGAGCCTCATACATTTATTAAAATAAGAATGTGTTATGTTACCCTTCTTCCTGATAGACTGTTGCCATTGTTTTAAAACAGGTTCTGTACTTGATCTCTCCAGGAACTGGTTGAGGCCCTTGAATCCTACTTTTGGCAACATCAAAAGGGATGTTAATGACTGAGGCTATTGTCCCCGAGAGAAGACCAATCCCAAATTTTCTCCAAAACTCCAAGATTGGATCCTAAAAGAAAAGAAGAATAATATAACAGAAAGGGGAGCGGAAGCCCCTAAATCAGTTAAACACTATAAAGCAATATGTATTTAAGCAGAGCATTGCACTCCCGGCACCCTCCTGTTATTCCAGCGGAACACATTAGGATTTCCTAGGCTGGAACTTGTTTTCTTGACAATCCCATTGGCTATGTTTTTACACATGGTCTAAATTGCTGAAGTACACATTTCCTCACACAGGATTTATAAACACAGTTCATAAAGAAAGACTGGTATGGCATATGGGGATGATTTGTATAATTGGGCTTCACAATGTACTTAGTATTACTGTATCAAAACAGGAGAAATCCAAGCACACTATTAGCTAATTGGCCAGAATATTTTACAAATGACAGCAACTTCCACCATGAAGCCTACTAAAATGCTCATTTGTGTGTGGACCCCCAAATGTTAAATTAAATCAAGGCTACTCGCGGTCTGCTGCTATTGCCCGCCAGGTTTTTTGCATTTATTTTCACGTGTAGCTGATCCACTGTACTGAGAAGTGCTAGCTTCCTGTTATTAACAAACCAACTTGGGGCGGCTGCAAAACAGCCTGTGACATTCTGTGCATTATAAACAGTAGTAAGTCACTGGAGTAATTGGCTGAAGAATTTACAATCCATTGTTTTGGAATCTTGTTCTTCCTCCATGGCAAAGGAAGAAAAGGAGAAAGAGAGAGCGAGAGTGAGTAAAAGAGAAATATTTCTTCTTTCTGTTAGAATTTAGGCCCTTCACGTTGGTCTGATTTGATTTTCCACCCCTCCCTGCACTGCTTTCTGACATCAAAGTATTTAATTAGGTCTTATGTGGGAGTCACTTTCCTTTGGCCTATTTTTGTGCCCTGTGAGCTCACATTATGATTTGTTATAATGAATTTGCTGGGAAGTTCTCATTATGTTGCCAACCTCAGTTCTATGTTTTCAGTCTTCTGTTCTCTGAAGAGAGGTCATATCACATACTATAAGCTGCTGACTCCGACCCCCCACCCTATCTTTTCCCTGCCCTCTCTTTTGATCAATATTTTAGAGGGATCATCACAGAGGAACAATATAGGGCTGTGCCACAACACTATTTTATCCAGAGGGGAAGCATACCATGCTTCAGTTAAACAAGAAAATTCAGGTCTAAGCATTACATGCTTCCAGCCTCTATGAAAGAAGAAAACTTCTGAGGGCTCTGAAATTTTCAACTGAACCAAGAGCCAGTTACCATCACAGAAACTCCTATGTGGCTAAATATAAAAAGCAAGGGTTTGGTAATAATTCCTGGATCTGGGCCATACAGGTGCCGGGGAGGTTTAAAGGGATTTGAAAACCAACAGGGTGTTTCAACAGGAAAAACAATGCAGTGATTGCAGTATGAGTGAGGTGTGTTTAAATAATTCCCTCTCCCCCCATTTTTTCTCTTTTACAAGGAGAGAAAAATGCCTTTATGTTACTCCTCTCCATTATGGCACAGAAGCAGAACTGGAGCTCAGGAGGACAGTGAATTCTAGACCAGCTCTGGTTGTCTGACCTCTGATGAGTCACTGAATCACCCAGAGCCCAGTGTATCCAAGGGAAGTTTTTAACTCCTATCTTACCTCTAAATTGTATCATTTTTCTGAGAAATAAAAACAATAATATAAGTAAAAGTGTTATAAGTGTTGCACAAACCTGGCAGAAAATGAATAGTATTATTATGTAGCCTGTTTTCTAAAGATGCAAACATTCTGTGAAAAGATGCTTTCTTGAAATCCCCGTGACATTGCCAAGCTCTCTTTCTTTTTCAATTAAGGACAAGAATGGAAATGATGATTTGTATACACGTTGTCCTTCTGGGAAGTTTGGGAGACTGGCTGATGTGTTTGCTGAGGACCAGAGTTGGGGATGGAAGGTGAACAAAGAGACTCAATGATGGTCATTGTGCTTGAGACATGGCATTGGAAACCAAAAGGTTAGGTCTCCAGGCCATCGTATCATAGTGTTCACTAGCAGGAGTAAGTGTCCACCTTTGTTTGTATTTATTTATTTGAGATGGAGTCTCACTCTGTTGCCCAGGCTGGAATGCAGTGGCAGGATCTTGGCTCACAGCAACCTCCACCTCCTCGGTTCAGTGGATTTTCCTGCCTCAGCCTCCTGAGTAGCTGGGATTACAGGCATGTGCCACCATACCCAGCTAAATTTTTGTATTTTCAGTAGAGATGGGGTTTCACCACATTGGCCAGGCTGCTCTCGAACTCCTGACCTCAGGTGATTTGCCTGCCTTGGCCTCCCAAAGTGTTGGGATTACAGCCATGAGCCACCGTGCCCGGCCCACCTTTGTTTTCTATACATTTCCCAGCACAACAGTAAGATCCCACAGTGGTTCTCCAATCCAGCTGTGCTTCAGAATCATCTGGCAATTTTACAAAATACAGATGCCTGGGTCCCGCTGCAGACCCATCTCGGGGGTGAGAAGAAGGTGCCTGCAAGTTGTTTAAAAAGCTCTCCAGGGCTCCTGAGGCTGCCAGATAAGGACCCAAGTCTAGGAATCAGTGATTTTGATGTTCCACACTGGCAAAGCAGATGGTCAGTTGCTACCCCTGTGGGCATTCTAGGGAGGAAAAGAATTTGCTTGGGATGGCCATGAGGCTATCACTGACCACCAGCTTCTGGGCCAGTAGGCAGTTTCTTCCTTGACCACACAGCCTGCTTGAATCCAGCATCCCAGGCTGGGCCTGTGTGTGCGAGGACAACTGTCTCAGCTCGCCTCTGCTTTCTTTGTCACATGCCGCTAGCCATCCTCGCATGAATGCAGCATCTCAGATGCCTCTCCCGTTCATCCTCTCCTGGCCACTGCCACCTCTCTGGCTTTAGATCAAGTTCCTGTTACCTTTACCAAGTCTTGCTTCCTTCCTGCCTGCTAGGATCTATTCTTTGCAGTAATATCAGGGTTCTCTTTTTAGAAAAACAGATCTGCTTTTGGTATCTCCCTACTCAAAGACCCTCCATACTTCCTGGATGCGCAGAGAATAAAGACAAACTGCCTCACTTGGCCATTGATTTCTTTCCCACACCCACTATATGCTTCCAACTTATCTTTCTAGCTTCCACTTCTACACCCTACCCCGAATCCATACTATGGTCACACTGGTTAATTCATAATTACTCAAATATACCAAGCACTTTCCCAACTCCACGCTTTTCTTCAAACAATTCCTGCAGCCTAGAATGTCTTTCTCCATCATATTCACCTATAGCAATCTCACTGCCCTTTAAGGTCCTGCTTAAATCCCACTAACCCAAGAAAGTTTTACAGATCCCCTCTCAAAATTGATTTATCCTCCCCTCTACTCCCGAGATACTGTCTGAACAACAGTCCTCACCTTTGCTATGGCCCACTTAGTGTTCAGTATATTTTTGCGTGTATCTCTCTTCCCTGCAGGGCTCTGAGTCTGCACAGCATAGGAGCATGTGTTACTCCTCTTTGTGTCACCTGTTTTGCAGAGTACACTGTAGGTGCTAAATAAACCAAGATGCTCGGAGCTGAAGAAAGCAAGTTGAGTGGGGCTGTCCCCTCTACCCAGACCCCTGTTACCCCTGTGGATGCCTTTGCAAGCCCCTGGGCAGTACCCAGGCAGCATCAGGACGGCTGCCTGCCGCCTTCGGTCCTACCGCCCCACCTCCAGCAGCCCAGAACCCTACATTTCCAGCCTTTCTCTTGGCCTCCTCTCTTCCCACAAGCACCTCACTACAGGTTAAAACATGCCTTCCCCAGCTCACAGAAGAGGTAACAATTTTAATAAAAATAAACGTTGATTGAAGTACATATTTTGTGCCAGATACTGCTAAGTGCAAATGTCTAAGCAATACATCTGTTAATCTTCACAACTTTTGAGGTACGAACTATTATTATTATTCCTATTTTACAAATGAGTTAACTGAAAGGTTAAGTATAAGAAGGGATTTTTTGTTACATCCGAGTGAACCCAAGACTTTGCCTCAAGGCATAGTTTTTCTTCTTATACTCCTAAGAGTTAGTGGGTGGGTTGGTGAGGGAGGTGTCTAAGAACCTTCTGAAATTCGAAGCAATGCTTCTGTATTAGTCCGTTTTCACGCTGCTGATAAAGACATACCTGAGATTGGGCAATTTACAAAAGAAAGAGGTTTAACTGGACTTACAGTTCCACATGGTTGGGGAGGCCTCACAATCATGGCAGAAGGCAAGGAAGAGCAAGTCACATCTTACGTGGATGGCAGCAGGCCAAAAAAAGAGCTTGTGCAGAGAAACTCCCGTGTTTAAAACCATCAGCCTTCATGAAACCCATTCACTATCACGAGAACAGCATGGGAAAACCTGCCTCCATGATTCAACCATCTCCCACTGGGTCCCTCCTACAACATGTGGGAATTATGGGAACTTTAAGATGAGATTTGGGTGGGGACACAAAGCCAAACCATATCAGCTTCTGTGTCTGTGTAGATGAGCTTTCCTGGGGAGTGTGTCTGTTGATTTTATTAGGCTTGTAAAAGCTTGAAAACAATTTCACGAGACGATTTTCCCTACCAATATGTTTATGAAGTAAGGAAAGGGCAGTGCAGGGTTGAAAACAAAGAGGCTAAAAATAGGAAGCCCTAATTTCCACAGGGGTTCTCAGGCAATCCACCTAAGTGAAATGATTTCCACACACATTCCTGCTCTGGAGTCCAGTTACTCACATCTCAACCATATCCATGAACTCTGTGATTCTCAAAGTGTGTTCCCCACACCACCACCATCAGCACCATGTGAGAACTTATTAGAAATCAAAATTGAGGTTCCACCCCAGACCAGTGAATCTGGGAATGGAGCCCAGCTACAGCAATCTATTTGAACAAGTCCTCCAAGTTATTCTGATGGATGGTAAAGTCTGAGAACCACTGCTTAATTAAGTTGATCATTCACCCTCTTTGGATCCTTGGGCTGGATAATTGATGCTCTAAGATTCACCTTAATCATTGACCCTAAGGGGCTCTGGCTGTGTTGGGAAGCATTTTGAAGCTTTCCTTGGTGGAAACAGGGGTTGTTTCTTCAAGGCTACACAACTGAAGGCAATGATATTAACTCTGTTCAACCTATCCTATCCTTAGCTCAGTCCAAAGCCAGAATGGCTATCAGTGGGGTCACCTGATCTGAGTGATACCTATCTCATAGTTTGAGTGGGTCATTGTGTACTGGCTAGCAGCAAGTACAGCATTTCTGCTGATAACCATAATAATAAATAACAAGGAAATTAATAGCAAAAGTAAATAGCAACAAAAATTGCTATACATGTTATAATATTTGTATTTTTTCACACTGTTAAGAGTAATAATGCTATTATTAATAATATTTATTACCAGGCACAATGTCATGTGCAAAAAGTGTACACAAAATGTATATATGATATAACAAACCCTATGAGTTAGGCATATAACACCATTTTACAGGTAAGGACATGAGACTTAAAAAGTTAAGTCAGTTGTCCAAGATCACACTGCTTGTAAGAGGTGGAGCCTGGATTTAAGCCCAGCTCCTTCTGACTCCCAAGCCTATGTTTCTTAACCATTATGTCATATTGCTTCTTGTGACTGATTCATTCATTGTGAATCCAGCCAAAAAATATTTATTGGGTGTCTTTATATGTCCATTCCTACACTGGGTGCTAGAGTTGGATATGAAGGTAAATGGTCCAGAGAGGGGACTGGGAATGGGCATCTAAGCAGCTATTCTAGTTCAATGTGATTAGTACTGAAGTGGGGGTGTGAAAAAAATGGAGGGCAAACATACAGTATGGGGAGGAAATTGCTCCTGGGATTTCACTATCTGAGTCCTGCAAGATGATATCTAGCTTCTGCCTCTTAAAGCTTGGCCAGTCGTTGGCTGTTAAGGAAGTCAACAGAAGACATACTATTATAGTGAGTCACCATATTAGCTGAATGGCTAGCTCTCTGAATTGAGAATCACATGACCTGGAGTATCATTTTGCCTTTTTCCATTAATTTATTTTAAAAACTGGAGGAAGAAGATGAGAATGAGAAGACACTCACTCTGAGTCAGGTACTGGGTTAAGCCCTTTGTATATTTAAGCCCCACAACATCCCAGAGCAGACGAGGTACCTGAGCCATACAGAAATTTCCTACCTTACAAAGGGATATAATCTTGAATTAGTCAAAAGAGAGCTAAAGTTCTATTATTTAGAAGTGAAGAAGCCAAAGTATCGGTGACTCTGAGACTGCCACATGTCAACCAGTTTTAGAGACATGTGCACTTGCCTCTCAGGGCTGCACCCTCATTCAACATGCAAGGAGATCACCTCTTAGGCCAAGAGAAGACTTAAGTGACAGAAAATAAAAATCCCAGAATCACAAGACTAGGAGTGAATTCAGAATGCCACCTAGCCTAAGTCAAGTATTTTGAATGGGTCACATATAAATTATGTAAATGAATATTAATATTGATGAAAAATCTATTATGTTATTAAAAATTTCCAACTTAATTCCATAATTAGCTCCAACTGTCACCAATTAGGAACTGTTTCTTGTACTTAATTGATGTTCCTCACCAATAAGCCTAAACCATTTTACTTCAACACTTTGCTCAATTGCAAGGGCAAGCAACTGTTAACTACTCTTGATGTAATTCATTGGAATTTAAAAACTGTTATTGACTTTGAGAGGCCAAGGCGGGAGGATAGCTTGAAGCCAGGAGTTTGAGACCAGCCTTGGCAATATAGTGAGACTGTCTTTAGAAAAATTAAAAATAAAAATAAAAATAAAATCTGTTACTGCAATAGCCTTTTATTTCCAGTACACTTAAAAAAAGTTCTTTTTAAATATTTATTTATAAGTGGTATGTATTATTTCCTCATCTATGGATCTTTTCCTCTAAATATTTTCTGATTTTTCTTATAAATCATGTGATATAACTAAACTGGAGCTGAGTAGTCTGAAATATTAATGAATATTGCATGCATTGACTTTATTCTGTGATAATAATATGGAAAACAATTCATGCAGGTTTTAAAAATGGTTTAATTCCCTTGCAAACATTTTAAGGCTGAAATTAATATTTCCATTCACAAATGAGAAAACTGAGACAGAGAGAAGGTGTAAGTTTTCCAAAGACACATGGCTAACTAGTAAATACTAGAATTGAGAATTAACACCAGGTTTTCTTGCTAGAATTCTCTGGCTGTTTCCATCACACTGTGTGATCTTTTTGTGAGTGCACAGCTAAAGAGATGTGTTTACCAGCCCCTCTTCAGGGAGATCAATGAGTTTCTCTGACAGAACATATTATTTATAGACTCTTTGTGACTTAACAAGAGACATTAAGAAGTGATCCCAAAACGCTGGCGGCTGTGATGTCCCACAACCTCTAAAAATTCAACATCAGAAACGTGATCATATGACTCAAAACAGTTAACACCCTACACATTTGTAGCTAATTTAACCATATAGTCCAAACTATACAGCCAAGAGCTAAAGACAGCATAAGTAATTTAAGGCAATGGCACTTGAGGAGATAAAATATGTCCATTGAAAGAGGCATATGCCTCCCCTTTTACCTTTCCTGGCATGGGCTCTGACACCTGGCTTCGTTAGCTGGCCAGCTGGCTGCTAGCTTGATAAACAGAAACATCGCTCATCTCAGAGGTCTTTGTGATTAGGGTCTGGGGTCTTTAAGAAGGCATTTCACCCAGCGATATGCCAGAAGAAGGAGGTTAAGGAAGATGAGAAAGCAGGATTTGTCAGCCAGTGAGGAGTGGGGGTGATGAGGGACACAGGGCAGGAAGCCTGCTTCTCTGCAAAAGGCAAGGTTGAGTAGAGGACAGCAATAGGGCTTTTCATTTAAGGGAACTCAGCATTAAAATCTAATCTTGGAATCTTCCCACCTCATGTCAGCCCAAATCACATTTTCTTTGATCTCTGCAATTAAGTCACCCTTTAATTCCTCCTGGTACTGCACCAAATAGGGTGGTCCTACAAGGAGTTACATGATTTTGGGGGTATCACAAAAGTATTTCTTTGCAGAACTCAATTCTGTGACTCATTCCCATGCCCTCTGTAGCACATCACTATCACAATAGGTGAAGTGGAGGTTGCAACGCAGTCCTTCATTTCCTTAAGGCTGCAAGCTGGAGGTGGTACCTACGTGAAGCTCATGCATGAAGGAACTGCAGAAGATTTATTGTAGTAATACATTTTTGAAAATTTCATTTTTTTGAATCATTTTGCACATCTTAATTTCAGAAAATCACTTTAAAATTTCCCATTTTATCCTGCTGAACAAGGCACTGAATGAAAGATGGATGAGAGCGTGGTTAGAGGGATTCTCCTCTGGCTGAACAGAATGGCTCTGCTGTGAAAGATGTGAACATATGGCAGCCTGAAGAAAGGTTGGATGAACATGGGAGAAAATGTGGAAGGCTTGCTCAATGGATCTGCTGATGACAGGCAGGGAGGGGAAGCTAGGATGACAGATGAGAGACTCAACATTAAAAATTATCATCATGGGCTTTAGCACTAGACTGAACATACAAGATTAAATTTAAGCATAGTGAATGTAAAATTTTGAATTTAGACAACTATACAAGTTTAAGATGAGGGAGATGACTTGATTATAGTTCATGTAATCTAGGGATTTTAACTGATCATAAAGATTTATACATATCACATATCTAGTTTTTTATTTTTATTTATTTATTTTTTAAGACAGGCTCTTGTTTTGTCGCCCAGCCTGGAGTGCAGTGGTGCAATCTTAGCACACTGTAACCACAACCTCCTGGGCTCAAGCGATCCTCCCACCTCAGCTTCCCGAGTAGCTGGACTACAGGTGTGAGCCAGCATGCTCAACTAATTTTTTAATTTAAAAAAAATGTTTTGGAGAGACAGCGTCTCACTATGTTGCCTAGGCTGGTCTTTAAATGAATAAAAAACCCATCAGCCCCACAAAAGTTCCACCAAAATTTTTTAAAAAATTATTATTATACTTTAAGTTCTAGGGTACATGTGCACAATGTGCAGGTTTGATACATAGGTATACATGTGCCATGTTGGTTTGCTGCACCCATCAACTCATCATTTACATTAGGTATTTGTCCTAATGCTATCCCTCCCCCAGCCCCCCAACCCCTGACAGGCCCCAGTGTGTGATGTTCCCCGCCCTGTGTCCAAGTGATCTCATTGTTCAATTCCCACCTGTGAGTGAGAACATGCGGTGTTTGGTTTTCTGTCCTTGTGATAGTTTGGTCAGAATGACGGTTTCCAGCTTCAACCACGTCCCTGCAAAGGACATGAACTCATCCCTTTTTATGGCTGCATAGTATTCCATGGTGTATATGTGCCACATTTTCTTAATCCAGTCTATCATTGATGGACATTTGGGTTGGTTCCAAGTCTTTGCTATTGTGAATAGTGCTGCAATAAACATATGTGTGCATGTGTCTTTATAGTAGCATGATTTATAATCCTTTAGGTATATACCCAGTAACAAGATGGCTGGGTCAAATGGTAATTCTAGTTCTAGATCCTTGAGGAATCGCCACTGTCTTCCACAATGGTTGAACTAATTTACACTCCCACCAACAGTGTAAAAGCGTTCCTATTTCTCCACATCCTTTCCAGCATCTCTTGTTTCCTGACTTTTTAATGATTGCCATTCTAACTGGTGTGAGATGGTATCTCACTGTGGTTTTGATTTGCATTTCTCTGATGACCAGTGATGATGAGCATTTTTTCATGTATCTGTTGGCTGCATAAATGTCTTCTTCTGAGAAGTGTCTAATTCATATCCTTTGCCCACTTTTTCATGAGGTTGTTTTTTTCTTGTAAATTTGTTTGAGTTCTTTGTAGATTCTGGATATTAGCCCTTTGTCGGATGGGTTGATTGCAAAAATTTTCTCCCATTCTGTAGGTTGCCTGTTCTCTCTGATGGTAGTTTCTTTTGCCATGCAGAAGCTCTTTAGTTTAATTAGATCCCATTTGTCAGTTTTGGCTTTTCTTGCCATTGCTTTTGGTGTTTTCGTCATGCAGTCCTTGCCCATGCCTGTGTCCTGAATGGTACTGCCTAGGTTTTCTTCTAGGGTTTTTATGGTTTTAGTTCTAACATGTAAGTCTTTAATCCATCTTGAATTAATTTTTGCATAAGGTATAAGGAAGGGATCCAGTTTCAGCTTTCTACATATGGCTAGCCTGTTTTCCCAGCGCACCATTTATTAAATAGGGAATCCTTTCCCCATTTCTTGTTTTTGTCAGGTTTGTCAAAGATCAGATGGTTGTAGATGTGTGGTGTTATTTCTGAGGCCTCTGTTCTGTTCCATTGGTCTATATCTCTGTTTTGGTACCAGTACCATGCTGTTTGGGTTACTGTAGCCTTGTAGTATAGTTTGAAGTCAGGTAGCGTGATGTCTCCAGCTTTATTCTTTTGGCTTAGGATTGTCTTGGCAATGCAGGCTCTTTTTCGGTTCCATATGAATTTTAAAGTAGTTTTTTCCAATTGTGTGAAGAAAGTCATCGGTAGCTTGATGGGGATGGCATTGAATCTATAAATTACTTTGGGCAGTATGGCCATTTTCACGATATTGATTCTTCCTATCCATGAGCATGGAATATGCTTCCATTTGTTTGTGTCCTCTTTTATTTCCTTGGGCAGTGGTTTGTAGTTCTCCTTGAAGAGGTCCTTCACATTCCTTGTAAGTTTGATTCCTAGGTATTTTATTCTCTTTGTAGCAATTGCAAATGGGAGTTCTCTCATGATTTGGCTCTCTGTCTGTTAATGGAGTATAGGAATGCTTGTGATTTTTGCACATTGATTTTGTATCCTGAGACTTTCCTGAATTTGCTTATCAGTTTAAGGAGATTTTGGGCTGAGACGATGGGGTTTTCTAAATATACAATCATGTCATCTGCAAACAGAGACAATTTGACTTCCTCATTTTCTAATTGAATACCCTTTATTTCTTTCTCTTGCCTGACTGCCCTGGTCAGAACTTCCAACACTATGTTGAACAGGAGTGGTGACAGAGGGCATCCTTGTCTTGTGCCGGTTTTCAAAGGGAATGCTTCCAGTTTTTGCCCATTCAGTATGATATTGGCTGTGGGTTTGTCATAAATAGTTCTTATTATTTTGAGATACATTCCATCAATACCTAGTTTATTGAGAGTGTTTAGCATGAAGGGCTGTTGAATTCTGTCGAAGGCCTTTTCTGCATCTATTGAGATAATCATGTGGTTTTTGTCATTAGTTCTGTTTATGTGATGGATTATGTTTATTGATTTGCATATGTTGAACCAGCCTTGCATCCTAGGGATGAAGCTGACTTGATCATGGTGGATAAACTTTTTGATGTGCTGCTGGATTCGGTTTGCCAGTATTTTATTGAGGATTTTTGCATCAATGTTCATCAGGGATACTGGTCTGAAATTCTCTTTTTTTGTTGTGTCTCTGCCAGGCTTTGGTATCAGGATGATGCTGGCCTCATAAAATGCGTTAGGGAGGATTCCCTCTTTTTCTATTGATTGGAATAGTTTCAGAAGGAATGGTACCAGCTCCTCTTTGTACCTCTGGTAGAATTCAGCTGTGAATCCATCTGGTCCTGGACTTTTTTTGGTTGGTAGGCTATTACTTACTGCCTCAATTTCAGAGCCTATTATTGGTCTATTCAGAGATTCAAATTCTTCCTGGTTTAGTCTTGGGAGGGTGTATGTGTCCAGGAATTTATCCATTTCTTCTAGATTTTCTAGTTTATTTGCGTAGAGGTGTTTATAGTATTCTCTGATGGTAGTTTGTATTTCTGTGGGATCGGTGCTGATATCCCCTTTATCATTTTTTATTGCATCTATTTGATTCTTCTCTCTTTTCTTCTTTATTAGTCTTGCTAGCCGTACATCTATTTTGTTGATCTTTTCAAAAAACGAGCTCCTGGATTCATTGGTTTTTTGAAGGGTTTTTTTGTATCTCTATCTCCTTCAGTTCTGCTCCGATTGTAGTTATTTCTTGCCTTTTGCTAGCTTTCGAATGTGTTTGCTCTTCATTCTCTCGTTCTTTTAATTGTGATGTTAGGGTGTCGATTTTAGATCTTTCCTGCTTTCTCTTGTGGGCATTTAGTGCTATAAATTTCCCTGTACACACCGCTTTAAATGTGTCCCAGAGATTCTGGTATGTTGTGTCTTTGTTCTCATTGGTTTCAAAGAACATCTTTATTTCTGCCTTCATTTCGTTATTTACCTAGTAGTCACTCAGGAGCAAGTTGTTCAGTTTCCATGTACTTGTGCAGTTTTGAGTGAGTTTCTTAATCCTGAGTTCTAATTTGATTGCACTGTGGTCTGAGAGACAGTTTGTTGTGATTTTTGTTCCTTTACATTTGCTGAGGAGTGCTTTACTTCCAACTATGTGGTCAACTACAGAATAAGTGTGATGTGGTGCTGAGAAGAATGTATATTCTGTTGATTTAGGATGGAGAGTTCTATAGATGTCTATTAAGTCTGCTTGTTGCAGAGCTGAGTTCAGGTCCTGGATATGCTTGTTAACCTTCTGTCTCGTTGATCTGTCTAATATTGACAGTGGGGTGTTAAAGTCTCCCATTATTATTTTGTGGGAGTCTAAGTCTCTTTGTAGGTCTCTAAGGACTTGCTTTATGAATCTGGGTGCTCCTGTATTGGGTGCACATATACTTAGGATACTTAGCTCTTCTTGTTGAATTGATCCCTTTACCATTATGTAATGGCCTTCTTTGTCTCTTTTGATCTTTGTTGGTTCAAAGTCTGTTTTATCTGAGACTAGGATTGCAAGCCCTACTTTTTTTTTTTGCTTTCCATTTGCTTGGTAGATCTTCCTCCATCCCTTTATTTTGAGCCTATGTGCATCTTTGCATGTGAGATGGGTCTCCTGAATACAGCACACTGATGGATCTTGACTCTTTATCCAATTTGCCAGTCTGTGTCTTTTAATTAGAGCATTTAGTCCATTTACATTTAAGGTTAATATTGTTATATGTGAATTTGATCCTATCATTATGATGTTAGCTGGCTACTTTGCCCGTTAATTGATGCAGTTTCTTCATAGCATCAATGGTCTTTACAATTTGGCATGTTTTTGCAGTGGCTGGTACCGGTTGTTTCTTTCCACGTTTAGTGCTTCCTTCAGGAGCTCTTGTAAGGCAGGCCTGGTGGTGACAAAATCTCTTGGCATTTGCTTGTCTGTAAAGTATTTTATTTCTCCTTCAGTTATGAAGCTTAGTTTGGCTGGATATGAAATTCTGGGTTGAAAACTCCTTTCTTTAAGAATGTTGAATATTGGCTCCCACTCTCTTCTGGCTTGTAGGTTTCTGCCAAGAAATCTGCTGTTAATATGATGGGCTTCCTTTTCTGGGTAACCTGACCTTTCTCTCTGGCTGCCCTTAACACCTTTTCCTTCATTTCAACCTTGGTGAATCTGACAATTATGTGTCTTGGGGTTGCTCTTCTTGAGGAGTATTTTTGTGGTGTTCTCTGTATTTCCTGAATTTGAATGTTGGCCTGCCTTGCTAGGTTGGGGAAGTTCTCCTGAATAATATCGTGAAGAGTGTTTTCCAACTTGGTTCCATTCTTCCCATCACTTTCAGGTACACCAATCAAACGTAAATTTGGTCTTTTCACATAGTCCCATATTTCTTGGAGGCTTTCTTCTTTTCTTTTTACTCTTTTTTTCTCTAACCTGGTCTTCTCACTTAATTTCATTAATTTGATCTTCAGTCACTGATACCCTTTCTTCCACTTGATCGAATTGGCTATTGAAGCTTGTGCATGCATCATGAAGTTCTCGTGCCATGGTTTTCAGCTGCATCAGGTCATTTAAGGTCTTCTCTACACTGTTTATTCTAGTTAGCCATTCGTCTAATCTTTTTTCAAGGTTTTTAGCTTCCTTGCGATGGGTTCGAATATCCTCGTTTAGCTCAGAGAAGTTTGTTATTACTGACCTTCTGAAGCCACTTCTCTTCTGTCAACTCGTCAAACTCATTCTCCGTTCAGCTTTGTTCTGTTGCTGGCAAGGAGCTGCGATCTTTTGGAGGAGTAGAAGCACTCTGATTTTTAGAATTTTCTGCTTTTCTGATCTGGTTTCTCCCCATCTTTGTGGTTTTATCTGCTTTTGGTCTTTGATGTTGGTGACCTACAGATGGGGTTTTGGTGTAGATGACCTTTTTTTTTTTTTTAATTTGGATGCTATTCCTTTCTGTTTGTTAGTTTTCCTTCTAACAGTCAGGTCCCTCAGCTGCAGGTCTGTTGGAGTTTGCTGGAGGTCCACTCCAGACCCTGTTTGCCTGGGTATCACCAGCGGAGGCTGAAGAACAGCAAATATTGCAGAACAGCAAATATTGCTGCCTGGTCCTTCCTCTGGAAGCTTCAACCCAGAGGGGTGGCCACCTATATGAGGGGTCTGTGGGTCCCTTCTGGGAGGTGTCTCCCAGTTAGGCTACACAGGGATCAGGGACCCACTTGAGGAGGCAGTCTGTCTGTTCTCAGAGCTCAAACGCCATGCTGGGAGAACAACTGCTCTTTTCAGAGCTGTCAGACAGGGACATTTAAGTCTGCAGAAGTTGTCTGCTGCCTTTTATTCAGCTATGCCTTACCCACAGAGGTGGAGTCTAGAGGCAGGAGGCCTCGTTGAGCTGTGGTGGGCTCCACCCAGTTCAAGCTTCCTGGCCGCTTTGTTTACCTACTCAAGCCTAAGCGATGGTGGATGTCCCTCCCCCAGCCAGGCTGCCACCTTGCAGATCGATCTCAGACTGCTGCACTAACAGTGAGCAAGGCTTTGTGGGCGTGGGACCCACCGAGCCAGGAATGGGGGAGAATCACCTTGTCTGCAGGTTGCTAAGACCTTGGGAAAAGTGCAGTATTTGGGCGGGAGTGCCCCGTTTTTCCAGATAGTCTGTCACGGCTTCCCTTGGCTAGGAAAGGGAAATCTCCCAACCCCTTGCACTTCCCGGGTGAGGCGACTCCCTGTCCTGCTTCAGTTCACCCTCCGTGGGCTGCACCCACTGTCCAACCAGTCCCAGTGAGATGAACCAGGTGCCTCAGTTGGAAATGCAGAAATCACCCGTCTTCTGAGTTGATCACAATGGGAGTGCAGACTGGAGCTGTTCCTATTCGGCCATCTTGGAACACCCCACCAAGTTCCACCAAAATTTAATACAATACCACCTCAAGCTATCCTCCTACCACAGCCTCCCAAAGTGCGAGGATTACAGGCATGAGTCACTGTGCCCAGACCATGCCAACTTCTTGATGTAAAAATAAAACACATTCTTCCTCCCTTCCTTTCCATCCCCTTCTTCCAACAAATCCCCCACAATCTATTTGTGCACAGTCTTTGGCTGCATTTAAGAAAGGTGTGTGTTCATGTCACAGGAATGCTTGATCCTAGTGTACTCTGCATTTGATCAATGAAAAACTGCAGTATTCTGTTTAGATCTGACATTGATATGGACAAATGTGATGCACTATAGTAGGACAGATGGGCTGCTCAGAGGACTGGAAGCCATGTCACCAGAAGAGTGAATGGGCAGCTGTGGGTATACTCTGAAGAAAGAAAGACCCAAAGGGTCATGTGTCCACATATTTGAAGAAGTATGTAGAGTACAATGATTAAGAGCATGGGCCCTGGGGTCAGATTGCCTAGGGTCAGGCCTTTGAAAGGAGTTAGTGGAGACAGGCAACAGGCTCTCACACTCTTTTTGAAGACTTGTTCAAAATATCTAAAGAAAAGGGATATGCCATGTCACCCTCCTCTTGTGTATTTACTGAGCCTGACACATCATAGGTATGTAATAAATGCCTTAGCTTCCTTTAATAAAACATAATAAACAAAGAACCAAGGTTTCAGAAGCAAATTACAAAGGAGGCAGATACACACACTGGTTAAGCACCTGGTAGCAACCGCAAGGCAAATAATAGCAGCTCATCATTGTCTTGCCCACAGCTGGGTATGGTGGTCATGAAAATGATGTGGTGCATTGGAATCATAGTTGCCTCCTGGTAACTGAACAAGGAGGCAGCTTAAGTGAGAGTGAACTGCCTTTTTTTTAAGAGGAAATTTGCATTTTAGCTATTGTTAGTTCTAATAGGTCCAAGTCAGCTTACAAGTAGAGTCAGCTCTCACTATACAACTTTCATTCCTTCTAATCTTGGCTCTCTTTTGTTGTTTTGTTCATAAACTTTGACAAAAACATTTTCCTCCCAATGTCATGGTATCCTGCTATTTTGTCCCCAGTGAAAATATCTGCTATTGAAGCTTAATTAAAAAATACATTTGTTTTTACTTCACTGCTATCAGAGGAATCTATTACAGTGTTTGTTTTCTCTTCATGCGAGATAATTTAGGGAAATGCTAGCTCCCCACTCCACAGAAGGTCACTAACTAAAATGAGATGCTTCAACTGATAAGCATTCTTTAAGGAATGTGGAGTATTCCTAAGATCCTATCCTTGCAGGGCTCTGGGCTTTGGAATGAAATCAAAGTCTTGTTAAAACCTCTGCATCTAAATGTAGCCATTCAGAAAATAGCCATGAAAATTCCTTTTTTTCCTCTAAGTTGTCTGTTCTTTAAAGTATTGTAAAATGTAGAATAATTTTAAAGGTTTTACCCACTTAGCTCAAATTATAAAATATACATATATATAATGTCAAAATGGATTATGGTTTAGGCATAATAGTTATCTCTTGATTATATCATCTCCTGTATATATTTCACAGATATAATATGTATTGTATATACCTATATATTCAGGTGGTTAGATAATACCACCTAGGAATTAATTATGTATTGAGTATTATATAGAATACAGGAAAGTATTTATATATTTCCTTGGGAACCCAGCAGGATATTTCTGTTGTAGTGTGTTCTCTCTGTTCCTTGACTCAATAAAGGCACTGACCCCAAGGAAAACTAGCAAGCCAGGTTCCCAAAACAAAACTCTAGAGATTGAGAAACCAGAGGGAGCACACTGAGATGCTTCAACATGGAGGTAGAGAGATAATCAAGAAGAAGTCTTTGAACCAAGCTAGTTCAATGAGATTATACCTGTGAACTTCCATACATGAAACTTTCCCATGTCCATTTAGTTCCACTTATGTAATATGTCTGTTCCATATAACCCCCAGTTAAATAATTTAAGGGGAGTAAGTTGCCTTTATATTATGTGCCTAAAACATTCTGGTCAAGCTAACCTCTGCAGCCTCCATTTCTCCTTCTCTACTGGTTCTCCATGCACCAGCAACACTCATTCTTAATCTTCTCTGGGGTCCCTGAGTTTCTTTCTGCTTCAGGATAGTCACATTCCTGTTCTTTCTGCCTGGTTCATTCAACCTCTTCAGGTTGGCGTGGTTTGTCCTCATCCTTCAGCCCAAGCCCAAACATTGTTTCCAAAAAAGACCTTTCTAGCCAGGTTCGGTGGCTCATCCCTGTAATCCCAGCACTTTGGTAGGCCGAGGCAGGAGGATCACTTGAGCCCAGGAGTTGGAGATCAGTCTGGGCAACACAGGGAGATCCTGTCTCCACAAAAAAAAAAAAAAAAAAAAAGAAAGAAAGAAAAAGAAAAAAAAAGAAAACGGACTTCCCTACACCATCTCCCTGCCCCATCATGGGTCTAGATTAGAATACTTGTTTATAAATTCTCACAGCTTGATAGTTATCTTGCATGGCACTTAGCACAATTGGAATGATTCAGTTCCTTGTGCAATGATTTGTTTATTGTCTATTTCCTCTATTAGACTGTAAACGTCATTAAGAGAGGAGCAATGCTGATGCTTCCTAAGAGGGTGCCCAACATACAGTAGATGCACCATGAATACTTTTGGAATGAATGAATAGAATAGACCCACTGAGAACCTAAAGCTACTTGCACCTCATTTCCATCCACTTGGGGAGTGTCTGACTGGCCTGAAATTTATTTAAGGAAGTATTTGAACCCCTGGCTCTCTGCTCTCTGCCCTCTCCCATACCCCCTCCCCGCTACATATCCCCACTAGGGAGTCTGTGCAAACTGCCAATGAAAGATACCCCTTTTTACCACAGAATATTGTCACATATCCTGGAATTTTATAGATAATAGGTACTTGTAGTTTTTCCCCAGTGGTTTCTAGAAAGGAGAGTTTTTCTTAATGAAACTTTAATGTTCCTGCCCTTCCCATTACCGGATGATTGGTAAGACTAATGATGGAGTAAGAGAGAATCAGAAAATTAAATGGTCATAAATTAAATCATACTATGCTCTAATTCTATTGAGATTCTTCTTTTCAAAATATAAACAGCTCTGTCTAAGTTCTCCCCTTGAACCCAAAGGTGCATTTTTCATTCAGCTCAGGGCACACCTTAGGGGAGGATGTAGCTCTCAATCATGAAACTAACACATTTCCACATTTCTTCTGATAAAATGAAGTGGGTCTGGCACCACCCTCAGACATTCTACAGAATTTACCTTGGAAGAAAATAAATATGTTTGACTTAATGCTGTCTGTGGTGAATGACCACAGGGACAGGTCTAAATGGTTTATTAAATAAGAAAGATTGAACATTTGAAAAATTGTTCTCTTTTAAAATATTTCTAACCCACACATGTAATTTATATCATGGCAAAATTCAACACAAAAGGTCTATTGTTTTCTGCAAAATAACCTGCAAACATCCTTAATTAGGATGCAAACTGAAAGCACCATTTAATACTGTTGACAGCCATTAGCTTTAGACAGCTGTTTCCACTATTATTTTATTTATGGAAACATATGAAAAGAAGTAAATATGGAACTAGAAGACAAAATTATTCATGACATGTAGTATTTTAATGATTTTTATTTGCATGTCAACATCACAAATAATACACTCTAAACATCCCCAACTTGGAATGGTAATGAAAGAAACTGTTTTTGCAATGAGAGTTTATTCCCATGGATATTCGAAAAAGATGTCAGCATTTAAGTTAATCAGTATCTGTTTCTAGTGTGCTTTACTTTGAGAAGTGATGGCCTGTTTCTGGGGAGAAAGTATAATTCTTTATCCTGACACTCCATTCCATTTACTACAAGATGTAAATGAATGCCTCCATTAAGTGAATTCCATGGTCAGTCAATATCCAAAGCAGTCTTTCCTCTATTGTAGTCACTTATTCACCCTTCAATAGGAACAGCTAGCTCCTAAAAATAAATCTGAAAGAACATAACATAGGGCATCATTTTCAAACTGGTAATGACCCATTCTTCCAGGGCCGTGTCTCATAATTCGGTGTTTCTATGGATTACAGACCGAGGATACGAAAGGGAGGATCAGGTTATGGGTCTGAGCATGGCAGAAAGAGAATCCAGAGAATCCGGTTACGTTATCTGGACATTTCAGACACTTCATTTATTTAAATTTTAGTAACCACTTTTAAAGAGATAATTTATGTGTGACAAAATACAAGGTAAGACTGGGTGCGGTGGCTAACGCCTGTAATCCCAGCATTCTGGGACGGTGAGGTGGGTGGATCATGAGGTCAGGAGTTCGAGACCAGCCTGACCAACACGGTGAAACCCTGTCTCTACTAAAAATATAAAAATTAGCTAGGCATGTTGGTGCGCACCTGTAATCCCAGCTACTCAGGAGGCTGAGGCAGGAGAATCGCTTGAACCCGGGAGGCGGAGGTTGCAGTGAGCCAAGATAGTGCCACTGCACTCCAGCCTGGGCAACAGAGCGAGACTCCGTCTCAAAAAAAAAAAAAAACAAAAAAGAGAAAACAAAAACAAACAAAAAAAACAAGGTAAAATGTAGAGTGAAAGCATTACATGATACAGTCGAAAGAGTTCCGGTCTCTGGTTCTTTCCCCACCCCTGTCATATGGCTTCAGGTGAATTACTTCAGTAACTCATCTCTGGGCCGTAACTTCCTGTTAGGTTTCCTTATCTGAAAATGGCAGTTATTGTGACAAGGATCAGGCAAAATCATGGAGTCTATAAAAATGATTTTAATAGCATAAAGTGCCACAGAAAGTCGGGATATTTTTCTGTGATAACTTAAAAAATATATGTACCATAGATCACTAATCTGAAGTTAAAACGTCAAGAACTTCAAGGTTGGATAGCTGACCTGAGTTACCGGGGCTTACCGTTATTTTTTTTTTGAGACGGATCTCACTCTGTCGCCCAGGCTGGGTGCAATCTCTGCTCACTGCAAGCTCCGCCTCCCGGGTTCACACCATTTTCCTGCCTTAGCCTCCCAAGTAGCTGGGACTACTGGCGCCCGCCACCATGCCTGGTTAATTTTTTTTTTTGTATTTTTAGTAGAGACAGGGCTTCACTGTGTTAGTCAGGATGGTCTCAATCTCCCGACCTCGTGATCCACCCGCCTCAGCCTCCCAAAGTGCTGGGATTACAGGTGTGAGCCACTGCGTCCGGCGGCTTACTGTTTTAAGTTCCTATTTTACGTCCGCAAACATAGCCTTAGAATTAAGTAAATGTGAAAATGTAAACTAGGTGATCTATTTTATGAGGTTCTGCTACATTTTTCAGTGATTTACTTCCTATTATAAAGTTAATGCATACAAAATGTAAAAGCTCTCCACAGCTTAGAATGGTATTAATATAAAGAATAAATACTTTCCCTCCACCGCTGCTCACTTTCTCCCACTTAATCTCTCTCTGTCTCTGCCTCTGTCTCTGTCTCTCTCTCACACACACACAATTCCCCATTTCCACTCCCCAGAGAAAAACATTATGAACAGTTTCTTGTAAAACCAAGTACTTTGAAGATGAAAAACACTGTAAGACATTTATAGATTTTTTTTAAATTAAAGAAAAATCTAGAATTATCCCATGCCAGTCAGAGTGCGTGAAATCTCAGATTTCCTTGGAACAACAGAATGACCAATTGCTGGGTAAGGGAATTGAAACAATAACCCTGTAAACAAATTGTCCAAAGTGAATGGCCAGAGACAGCCTACAGCAAAGACGAAATAAGGCCTTCAAGGAACACCACCTCCTCATCAGGGTTTATAACAACTTGATGACGTTCTTCAACATGTTTTAATGATTATCATACCTTCCCCTTCACAAAGGATTGATTTATTATGTTTTAAATTTAAAGAATACTGGTTTCCCAGTTTTGAATCAGGCTTAGATTACAGAACACATAAAATCAATGACTTTGTTCTAGGCCAAGAAAAAAACAAAACAAAACACCCACCAGTGTTCATTTAAGTACACAAGGAATAGTTCGGGGGAAAAAATTCCTCCTGCAATTCTGCATACTAACGAGCTCCACTACTCCTTCCCTCATCACATCATCGGGACCATCTCACTTCACACTTTTATGCCACCTTAACATTCACAAATTACTTTGCATATTATTTGTTTTAATCTTCAAAACAATCTTATCAGATAGGAAAACATTGTTTTTCAATTTACAGATTCCAAAAACTGAAGCTCTGAGCAGTGAAGTGATGGGCTCAAGGTCATTCCACCAGTAAGGGACAAGACTTCACTTCTCATTGAGGTAGACCGATGACTTCTAAACATCTATCTCCAGCTCAGCTTTTTCCTCACAAGCCACAGGACCCACATCCAACCCACGGACTTAACGTCGGCACTTTGCAGTCCCAAATGCAGTTAGACTCAGAGTTTCCAGGCAGAGCCCGTAATATTCCTCCATAAGCCCATTCCTCTTTCAGTTGTTTTCTTTCCCAGTGAATGGTGCCACAATTGTTTCAGTTGCTCAAGCCAAAAACCTAGGCATCCTTCTGAACCCCCTACTTTTCTCAACACGCACATACGGTCCATCACCACATCCTGCAGATTCTGCCTTTGGAATACTTCTCAAATCAGCCCACTTCTCCCTGTCTCCCCCATGGACGCTATAGTCCAAGACCCCACCACTTTGTATTGCAGTCATTTCCATGCACACATTCTGCCTCTCCCTCCCATCCCCACCCCATCCAGAGTCACCACTGCAACCAGAGTCATCAGGCTGTTCCTCTGCTTAAAATCATTTGTCAGCTTCCAAATGATGAAGATAAGAATCTTAGATGAAGATAAGAATCCTTAGTGTGGCCTACAAGGGCCAGTATGATCTGATCCCCTTGTGTCTCTCTAGCAACATTCTTGCCTTCACCTTTTTGCTTCCATCACTTGGGCTGTTTTTCATTTTATCCAAGGTACCCAGCTCTCTCTCTCCTAGAGCCTTTGCGCTAGATGCTCCAGTGTCTGGAATGTTTTTGCCCATTTGCTGTCCCTTGCTAATTTCTAACTCATTCTTCAGCTCAAATGTCACTTCCTCAGGGAAGCCTTCCCTGACCATCAGGTTTATACTGGGGGAATTTCTCCTTTACGCTCCTAAATGTGAGTTTGTTTGTTTACTTGTTTTTGTCTGTTACCTCCATTGCCTTGTAAGTGCTGGGACAGCTTCTCATTATTGCATCTCCTGGTGCTTGGCACATGTTAGACACTCAATAAATATGGGTTCAATGATGACTGAAAGCCAGGAGTCATACTCAGACCTGTTGACCCCACATTTTACGCACAGCATTCCTCCCAGCCCCCAACCTAAGGAGCCCCAGTGCCTAGATCATTAAATCGGGGTCCTGATTAATAAATGAATCACTTATTTACTAGTACAATCTAGTATATATTTACTAGTATAATCTGGGCATGGGAAGTGCTATCTAATAGAGAATTCATTTGGCAAAGGAATCAGTGCTTTTAGCTTGGAGGCTAAAGCTTGGAAATGAAATTCTGAGCCACATGGCACATGTTAGCACTGTCAAAGGAAGTTTGTGATTTACAATTGTTAATAGTCAAATATATAGAAAGCAATGCATTAGCATTCTTCAGTGGTGCAACACTACTGTACAGAGAAGATTACAGTGGAATTTATTCAACTTTCACTTTTTAAAATAATGAAAGCCAGGCATGGTTGCTCATGCCCATAATCCCAGCACTTTGGAAGGCTGAGGTGGGAGGATCACTGAAGCACAGGAGTTCAAGACTAGCCTGGGCAACAAAGGGAGATCCCAATTTCTACAGAAAAATAAAAAAATTAGCTGAGTGTGGTGGCGCATGTCTGTAGTCCCAGCTACTCAGCAGTCTGAGGTGGGAGGATCATTTGAGCCCAAAAGGTGGAGGCTCCAGTGAAACACTGTTTCAAAAAAACTAACCAAATAAATGAAAATAAAATAAAATAATGACAAATCATATTTCACTAAACTCCCTACTGTAGGATACTTTGGATGGGAGTGAGGAAATGAGGTAATCTAGTCACAGGTTCTCAGCTTGGTAAAACTTATAACAACATAAAAAATTAATTATAAAACTATGATGAACAAAATGTATCTTTTATTTAAAGATTTAGAGATAGTTTTCAGAGTCCTGATTAATAAATGAATCACTTATTTACTAGTATAATCTAGATGTGGGAAGTGCTATCTAATAGATAATTTGTTTGGAAGAGTGCTGGTTGACATTTCACTGAATATCATTACAAAAAATTGGGCAGACACATGTCAACATTTTTTTTTAAAATAAGATCTTTCCCTGTCATGCAGGCTGGAGTGCAGTGCCATGGTCATGGTTCACTGCAGTCTTGCCCTTCCAGGCTCAAGCAATCTTTCCACCTCAGCCTTGCAGGCATCTGGGACCACAGGCACTCACCACAGCACCTGGCTAATTTTTAAAATTTTGTAGAGACAGGGTCTCACTAAGTTGCCCAGGCTGGTCTTGAACTCTTAGCCTCAAGCAATCCTCTTGCCTCAGCCTGCAGAGTAGTTGGGACTACAGATGTGCACAATCACACCTGGCTAACGTTAGTTTTTTTTTTTTTTTTTTTTTGTAGCGATGAGGTCTCACTATGTTCCCCAGGCCTGTCTCAACTCTTGGCCTCAAGCAATCCTCCTGACTCAGCCTCCCGAAGTGCTGGGATGACAGGCTTGAGCCACTGTGCCAGCTCAGGTTTTTTTTTTAAACAATTGAGAACATTTAATAACTTAAGTGTATTGATTAATTGTAGAATAAAGTTTGTGCTTGTGGATTTTCTTTTTTAGCATATGACCATACATATATCTGATTAATCTTTTTTTTTTTGTTTTTTTGAGATGGAGGCTCGCTCTGTTGCCCAGGCTGGAGTGCAATGGCGCCAGCTCGGCTCACTGCAGCCTCCACCTCCCAAGTTCAAGCAATTCTCCTGCCTCAGCCTCCCGAGTAGCTGGGATTACAGGCATGTGCCATGATGCCCAGCTAATTTTTGTATTTTTGTGGAGTGGTTGTCTTACAGTCTGAAAAACAGAGCTGGTTTCATGGGTGTGTGACAGTGCTGTTGTGTGGGGCCTGCATTTAGAAGAGACGAGCCCCATGATTGATTTAATGTTCTACTGTCACTGTCTTCAAATTCTTAATAATTTCTGAACAAAGGGCTCTGCATTTGCATTCTTTTCTGGGCCTTACAAATTATTTAGCAGGTTCCTCTAAAAAAAATCTCAGTGTATTGAGAGCTCCTTCGTGTCATCCAGAACCACAGTGTTTATTGCACTCATTTTCTATATCTTGACAAGAGAAGAGCTCTGAGGGTCCCTGGAGTCAGAATTGTCAGTCACTAGGGGGGTCTATATACACTGTGGCCAATCAAGGATTTCAGACCAAAAAAACATAAGCTTCTACTCAATAAATGAGATTTCCAAATACAGGGAAACCTGGTTAACAACTTTGGTTAGTGAAGTGAAGCAATGCCAACAGGTGGTTAATGTGGAACACATGGTGTAGATTCAGCTGTCATTTGAGAAAAGTCCTGGCCTTTACTAGAATATAGGGGATAGCTGGGCAAAAACAGGTACAACTAACTTTACTGAAGAGTCTGGTTAGCCATACTAGAAATAGTTTTATGACTAAAAAAAAAAGCCCTTCAATACTTTTCTACTAAGAAAAATGAAGAACTGGACCTCTAAGGGAAACTGCCTGCTCGTGAAAAATGTTACCCCAACTGGTACATCCAGGACTGCAGTTTTAACTGCAAGCAAGCAATTTGATGGTAGGGAAAAATTCTGTGATACTATGGCTTAAAAGCACATCCTGTGCTACTTTTATATTGTAGACGTTGAAAAAGGCTGCTTGCATCTGTAAGTTACCATTAAAAAACGTTATTATTATGATTATTTAGAAATAAGGTCTTACTTGGCTGGGCGTGGTGGCTCATGCCTGTAATCCTGGCACTTTGGGAGGCTGAGGCGGGTGGGTTGCCTGAGGTCAGGAGTTTGAGACCAGCCTGGTCATCATGGTGCCAAAATAAAAAAAAAATTAGCTGGGTGCGGTGGTGGGCACCTGTAATCTCAGCCACTCAGGAGGCTGGTGCAGGAGAATTGCTTGAACTCCGGAGGCGGAGGTTGCAGTGAACTGAGATTGCACCATTGTACTCCAGCCTGGGTGACAAGAGTGAAACTCTGTCTCCAAGAAAAAAAAAGAAAAGAAAAGAAAAAAAAGGAAACGGGGAAAAAAAAGAAAGAAAGAAAGAAAGAAAAAGAAAGAAACAGGGTCTTACTCTGTTGCCAGGCTGGAGTGCAGTGGCGCAATCATAGCTCACTGCAGTCTTGAACTCCTGGGCTCAAGCGCTCCTCCCACCTCAGCCTCCCGAGTAGCTTCACTATAAGTGCACACCATCATGCCTGGGTAATTTTTTAATTTTTTGTAGAGAGAGGTCCCATTGTGTTGCCCAGGCTGGTTTCAAAACTCCTGGCATCAAGCAATCCTCCTGCCTTTGCCTCTCAAAGTGCTGGGGTTACAGGCATAAGCCACTGCACCCAGCCTATAAACTATCATTTCAAAATAATAATATTGAAGATGATGATAATAATTATCATCATTGTTATTTTGCCTCAAAAGCAAATGATTCTAGAAGAATTGATTAACTACCCTAATTAACCTAGATTAAAAATTAATATCCAGGTGAAATTTAAATTTTAGGCCAACAATTTTTCCTTGTGAGTTCAAAAGTTTTTTAAAATACAAAGCTTTCAACTTTCTTGAGAAAGTTATGCTCCTGAGATAAAAATTAAGTAATAACATAGTTTCTAGAAATTCCTTTTAGTAATAAAGGGAAAGCACTCAGGTGTAAAAATAGCTTCTTCAAGAAGATAAATTTTGGTGTCAGACTTGGGTTCAGTCCTCAACTTTACTGTCTACTATGTGAGCTGGGCAATTTCCTTGATCTTTCTAAGACTCCACTTCTGGATTTGAAGCAGGGATAACAGCACTCAATGCAGATGTAAGGATCAAATTAGATAATAGATGTAGGTGTCCAGCACAGTGACCAGGACAGGATAAACATTCTACAAACGGAGCTATCATCACTGATAGGATTTTTCCTCCAGGATTTTAATTTATTAAATAGTTACCTTATTGACAGGAATCATGTTTTTGACATTGTAGTAGAAGCCAAAATAAACCATGTTGAAAACTCCATGTCGTCCCAAAGTTGCAGTTAATCCTTTGTTGAGGCCCTGGAGTCCCCAGCCTTCCTTCTTAATGATTTGTCTTGCATAACCCACAGTGGATGGTTGCTGCAGAAGAGAGAAGCAAGGCCAGAATGATCATCTTTGGGACTGTGGAATACAGTAAATTACCGTATTAACTTCCCTTCAAGCCAGAATTATTAGGGACTTTTTTCCCCCAGATATGAATAATCATGCCTAGAACTGTGTTTTTTAAAATCAGCAAACCCAAGAAGCAAACAAAATTGCATGCATAAAAACAGGCTTTATAGAAAAGATTGTTGGCAAAGAACAAACGATTTTGATAGGATTAGTGAAACTGATGTTGTATAATAACTATCATCACTTTCAACATGTAAGTAATTACATCCAATTCTGGATTATTCACACTAATGAAGGAGATTAACCATATAGATATTTGGTAATCCATAACTATACATTATCCAAAAGGAATTTATATTTGGCTCCTGAATCTAGTGTATTTACCTTTCTAATTATGTTTTTCTAAAGCTAATGTTACAGTTTTGATTCAATTGCCTCAATGGTTGAACCTGGCACTATGTTATAAATTGGCCATAAATAAATAGCTGTTGATTGTACACGTCCTCAAGCAGATATGCAATCAGTGTGCGTATCACTGCTGTGATAAATTCTACATAAATGGTGTTGGGAGTACTTGGTTACCACCTTGAAATTACTCCTTTCCAGTCCCCTGATTGATTACCCAAGGCTGAAATGTCCTGACTGCTAGAATCCAGTCTGGCTGAAGAGCTCACTGCTGTTACCCTGAGATTTACAATTCATTACAATACAATTACAATTCACATGGGTTTAAAAAAAAATGTATGAGTGGTTGTTTCTTTTTTGAAGGCACTGTACAAAAGATATCTCTCTCATATTTTCACTGAATAGTTAACAGGGGAAACTGTTCAGTGCTTTTTTTTTTTTTCCACCCATGAGGCACACACTGACATGACATTTGTTTGATATTTCACTAAAGCAGGTTGTTAGCGTGGTTGTGGCAGTCTGGCACACTTTCAGACTAAAAGTATTTTCTTATCATGTGCAATTAAGGCTACATCAGCAGAATAGAATAGAACAAATCCCATCAAGGCTTTTCTTCCCATCTGCATTTATAATAGCTATGTAATTAATGTGAAACATTTAAATGAGCTTGTTTATATAGTAAATCCTATAGTCTTTGCTGATAAATGTTTTGAAGACTCTAGCTACAATTCTACACTCAACTTCATCCATTAATTTAAGGGAACTAATTACAATCAATTACAATAAGCTTAAGAAAACCCTCCTTTGTAATATGAAAAAACCATGGTAGAATACATCTTAAAACAATAAGACATATCATACAGGAAAACCAAAAAATTTTCTGAAGGTTAAAGTTTACTTTCTGTTTGACAACATGAGATTTTTTTGTGTTTCAGCACATTGACTTTCACCCCCAAATCATTATTTTTTGGTTTTCAAAAGAGATAGGACAAGTTGAGCAGAAACTCATTTTTGTTGGAAAGACCCTGGAAGTGCTGAGTAAACTGCCCAAGTACTGCTATCTTGCTTCAAGGAAGGCAGTCTAGAGGTGGGGGAAGGAGAGGGCAGCTTTCCTGGGGGTGGGAGGAACAGGACAGAGGTGAGGCTGCCTGACTAACACAGGTTCTCCCTGCACCCAACCTAAACCTTTTCTCCATCCTCACTCCTCTGAGGTCTTGAGGGCATGAGGGCGGAGGAGCTCCGAGGCCATCTAAGTTTTAGAGCAGCAGAGAAACCAACGGCTCTAAAATAAAGTGCAAATGACAATGGCTTTCCCTAAAAACATGGGTATAAAGATGTTTCTATTGTTTAAAAATCTTAGTTTGCTAAGTCATTAGAATTAGGATGACTAAACTAAGGATTAATTTGGATAGCATCTTTCTCATCATCTTGAAAAGAGATTTCTCCTAGATCTCGGTGAGAGCTGACAAATATTCAAGTGGCATTTGCTAATTGTCTGTTTCCTGATTTTCACTGGCTTGGGTGCTGTGTGTGTATAAGCAAATGTAATGCATCATTTTAAACTCAAGTGCTTTGTTGAGTTCGGACTCTAGTTGTCAGTAATTAATTGGAGAGTAGCATAGTAATTGGAAATAGGAGCTCAGAGCTAGACAGTTCCAAGTTTGAGTCTCAGCAATACCACTTGCTACTTTGGCAAGTATTTTATCCTCTCTGATTGATTCTCACTTTATTAATTTCTAAATTTCTAAATAAGGATAATGATAGAATCTTCCGGAGGTCAGTGGCTTCTGCAGTGGCTCAAACCTGTAATCTCAGCATTTTGGGAGGCGGAGGCAGGAGGAGTGCTTGAGCCCAGGAGTTCAAGACCAGCCTGAACAACATAGTAAGACCCAGTCTCTACAAAAAATTAAAAAATTAGCCAGGTGCTGTGGCAAGCCTGTGATCCCAGTTACTCAGGAGGCTGACTAAGGAGGCTGACGCAGGAGGATCACTTGAGGCCTGGAAGGTGAGGCTGCAGTGAACTGTTATCCTGTCACTGCATAGTGACAGGCTCCAGCCTGGATGACAGAGTGAAAGCAAGACCCTATCTCAAAACAAAAAAAGAAAAAAAAATCTTCCTCACAGGATTGTTGAGATTGTTGAAAGAAGTCAATGAACTTAGTCCACTGTAAACAACTTAGTCCATTCTAAGCATTCACTATACATTTAGGTGTTAACGATAATGGCAATTATGCTGACAATCATAAAAATAGTTATAACAATAAAATGACAGGTGATTTCTTTGTTAGTTGAAGGCAGTGGCAACCAAAAGCTGGAATCTGATTTGAGGGAGAGAAAGCTTCTTTTTTTCTTCATTCCTTCTGGCTGTCCTTTCCTTTTCCCAGAGTCCCAGACCTTTGTGATAAAGTCCACCAGAAATGCATGCAGAATGCAAGATAACAGGTCTGCTTCCTCTGAGACCCAACCAAATTCAATGCTTGGGGTAGAGATCTTGTTCCAGGTACAGTGCCTCACCCAGGAGCTTTCCTCTCTGGAGCAGTAAATCCTATAAATTGGCCTCTTCCTTATCCCTCAAGGTGAGTACCCTGGCTAAGATCTCTGCATATGGCAAGTCTGTGGGCTGTAGAAGTAAGGCCATACGGGAAGAAAGGCTGGCAATGGAAAAGCACATGAATTGGGCTTCCCCCTCTATATGGCTTTCCAGCCTAGAAAACACATTTGTATACGTGATCAGGTAGCTGGAACACAGGAAGTGCTCAACACCTTTAGCCATTATCATACGTGCTCAGTACTTTTTGGTGTCATTTAATCCTCTCAGTAATTGTGTGAGATATGTCTTATCATGATCCCTATTTGGCAGATAAGGAAACTAAGAGTTAGAAGTTAAGTTACTCACCCAAGATTACAGAGTAAGTGGTAACAACAGAGTTCCAACTGAGGTTCCTTGGACTCCAAATCTGTACTTTTACACTCTTGGTGGTTCTGCCATCCTAACATATCTGATTGCTTCTCTCAGCAACCTTGTAATGTGGGCAGCTGGTATATCTCATTTTTCAGGTGAGGAAACCAAAGATTGTTAGGCAACATGCCTAAGATAAAATGCTGCTGATAAATGGCTTAAGCAGAATTCTGCATCTAATCCAATGTTGTTCTTTACACACTCATTCTTATTGTACATAGGTAATAAGAGTTTCAGAGTTTGACAATCCAACTGATATAAGTAACAGATGCATAATAGTACAAATATATTTTTCTGGCAAATGGAGGCCTTGGGATAAAGAAAACCAGAACTCAATTGCCTATAAAAATAAGAAGTAATAGTATGATAGTGTGTTTTCTTTCTTCATTCAGGGACATTGTTTCACACATATGTAAGCAAATATTTAATTAGAAAGGCAAAACATGACTTCCACTAGGATGCTTAAATAGGAAAATATAGAATAATTTTGACTAGATATCTGTAAACACATGGAATTTTACTAAACTTATTTGATTATGGGGCTTCCATTTAAAAGCAAAATGGTAACTGATTAGCATCATCAGCCAAATGATTCCAATACTATCTAATCCAGCAGGTCACCCACTAGCTCAGTTTCCTTGTATTATTTAGATTCACTCCAATTTTCATATTTAGTTACCAATTGTGGGCCAAATTGCACTCTAACTTTCCTGGTTGTACCTTCATTGACTGCACCCAATCTGAAAAGCATGGAAGAATAAGTGGATTGGGATGAGACTTAACAAATATTTTTTGCTTTAATTTTTACATGAAGGGATATGCTGATAATTTTTATATTTACCTATGAGAGTATTCTATAATGGTTATGGGAAATGGAATCAAATATCTGCTTAAAAAGTTATTAAGAGGTTTAATTAAAAAAGCAGATCCTTGGCTGGGCACAGCAGCTCATACCTGTAATTCCAGCACTTTGGGAGGCCAAGGAGTGTGGATCATGAGGTCAGGAGTGCGAGACCAGCTGGCCAATGTGGTGAAACCCTGTCTCTACTAATAATACAAAAAGTAGCTGGGCATGGTGGTGCGGGCCTGTAGTCCCAGCTACTTGGGAGGCTGAGGCAGAAGAATCCCTTGAACCCAGGAGGTGGAGGTTGCATTGAGCAGAGATCGTGCCACTGCACTCCAGCCTGGGAGACAGAGTGAGACTCTGTCTCAAAAATAATAAATAAATAAATAAATAAATAAGCAGATCCTAAGTGAAATAAGCCAAACACTGAAAGAAAAATATCATATGATCACTTATATGTAGAATCCAAAACAAAAAAGGTCAAATATACATGTAGATAGAATAAAACAGTGGTTACCAGGGGTGATGCGAGGAGTGGGGAGAGGTGGGGAGATGCAGGTGGAAGGGTGCAAAGCGTCAGCAGGATGAACAAGCCTAGAGATCTAATGTCCAACATGAGGACTAGAGTTAATAAAATTGTGTTGTACTGTTTTAGGGATTTTTGTTAAATAAGTAAATTTTAGCTGCTCTTGCCACACACAAAAATAGTCACTATGTGAGATGATACATATGTTAATCTGCTTTTCTATAGTAACCATTTTACTGTCTGTATCCTGTAACACCATGTTGTAAACCTCAAATATATCTAATAAAATATATTTTAAAATACAAAAAATGTTAAAAAGAGAGAGAGAAGATCCTTGGTGTAAATGAAGCTCCCAGGCACCACTCTGGGGCACTGAGTCCTTACTTTCTGAGAGCCCAGTACTACCAACGAATCACTGAGATGACCTGTGGCAGCCCCAACTATTTTTTCTGGAGTTCTTCCATCTGACTACTGACGATACCTGGCTCTGATTAGCTCATGAGATCACAGGCAGGATTTTAGGCAGCAGGCATTGTTCCCTGGGTAAATACCAGTCAGAGTATGGCCAGTGGGTACAGGCTTGGGTGTGTCAGTGGATTTCCTCCATCTCTAAGGCCAAAGAAGAGTTCTAGGCACAGCATGTCAAAAGAAAGCACGCTCCACATGCATTCCTATGGAAAGGTGAACGGGTTGCATTTGAAAGCCAATGGAATACGGGTGTTGTACCGGATTTCATCACATAGCTGGAAAGCAAACCGGATGAGACTACACAATGGAGTGAGTGTCCATATCTGGGCCTTCAGAAAAACACTGCTTTGTTTAAAAAGAGGGGACCCAGTTGCTCCACCAAGGTAGGAAAATATGCTTGTTCTTCAGGAAATGAAAATCATCCATACTTTTCATTACTCAAATGAGGTCTTGAAGCATTTTCATACATTTGAAAAATTTAAAAATCATAGAAAAATCTTCCTTTTATTTGAGAACAAAATGTAAGTGAAAGGAAAAGAATCAGGCTTAAAAAGTCCACATTTATAGTTCTTTTAGCTTAGATATTTCACAAATTCATCATTACAGTTTGTTTTAATAGGGCATGATTATGAACAAAAAAGATACGCAGATATAGTTAGAGTCTATCCAGAGTGTATGTTGTATGAACAGGTCTATTTGCAAACAACCGGTGAGTGGAGAAGAATTTGCTGTCAAAAACCCCTCCCAGATACCGAACCACAAAGCTATGTCAATATCAAATTGCTATTCAATAGCCAGCCCTGGAGGAGCACGGCACCCTGCAGGTGATGAGACGCTCATGCTGTGCCTTGCCCTTGCACCAATGGCAGAGCTGGGAGGAAGAAAGGTGACAGTGCTGTGGCCACATGGGTTACGACTCAGGAAAGACTGGCAACAAAGAGGAGGTGTTGCTTCTTCATGGTCTCATAAACACTTTCTTTTGCTTTTCCCTTGAGCTTCTTAATTATCTAGATTTCTTTATCCCAATGAAAACAGTGTGGTTGACTAGAAAGAGACATCTATGTTAGTGTTCAGTTTCTTAGAGCTAACTTTTTTGGGCTTTATTTTCTCTACCTTATAAAATGTGGATAAAGCCATCAACCTTATAAAGAGAGGATTTGAAATATCAACTGAGTGTGAGCGTCAGGAAAAATGGAAGGGTTCACAGTGGCGACCAGTGGGATAGGGTTAGAGGGAGATGTTGGCAAAAATCAACTAATTTTTCTTTATATAGCTCTGTCTTACTTGATTTGTTAAAAAAGTATTATGTTAATAATTTACAAAATTATATTAATATTTTTAAAAATCAAATAAAGGGAAAAACTCACATAAGGCAACTTGCAGAGTGTCTGATATATAGTAGATATTCTGTAAATGGTAGCTATTATCATTATTTCAAAGTCTTGATTCTGAAAACAAAAATCTAGGGTTCCTGGCACAGTTGAATGGAAGACAAGTCTATTTTCTGTAAATGATAATAGAGAGACAACTTGGCTGCTGCTTTAGATATTATTGAAAGATAACTATAGGAATGGATTCATATGCATAATTTTCTTTTCTGCCCACAGGAATCATAGACTGGAAAGAAATAATTTCTGTCCTGAATTGTTGCCAGACAGTGTTTTACACAGTAATGCAGGAAAAATTTGAACTTAACCCAATACATCATCATGAATGTTGACATGCCCTTGAAGCTGGCTTCTCCCACTATCTGTAAACAGAGCCACACGCTCACTCTCTGTATAACTCAACTTCTCTCTCTCTCTCAAAAGAGATGATCACAAAATACAGCCCTTCAATTTACTTTATCAACATAAAGTTGACTCTATGTAATATAAGTTTAAACATTTGTTGATCTTCTATGGAGAACATACTAAGCTTTGTGATATCATACACGATCTAATTGGTCTCTATTAGATTATTAAGTTCCCAGGATAAAGTGTGTAGAGCTATATTTATTGGTGTTATCCCAAACTAGAACCAAACCCTGAGCTAATTTTTTAAAAAATCCCTATCTTTAAAGATTTTCCCATCAGTTACACATTTGCTATCTGTTTGTTGATCCTTAAAATTATAATCAGAGCAAGATAGAACACTAATTATTTCTTTTTTGGGCTGAACATCTTTAAAGAAGAAATGGAGGTAAAACAGGCTTTTACAGTTTCCTATAGGTTTAGGTTCATATTTGGGGTGAGAATGATTATGTTCATATGTAACGTAGATAAAAAATGACAGAGTAGAAGGAAAACCTGTGCCCCAGCCACACATCAGAGGCAAATCCTATAGACCTCAAGGGAAGGAAAACATAACCCTTTAGCCAAATAATAACTTTGAAGTAGATTTCAAAGTGGAGAGGAAAACTGGGAAACAATTCATACAAGATTTTGCTTCTGGGGAGAAATTCACATTTTCCAGGCTAGCAGAGAGCATGCCAGCCAAACATCACTTGCCTTAGCACAACTGATAGGGGACTTCTAGTTCTTATAAATATACAGATAAAAACCAATGCACCCAGTTTGGGGAGGTCCTGTAAGGACAGCAAGCTACAAAGTCACATTGGCAAGACTGGGTATGCAAACCATCTCCAATAGGGAAATCCTTGGGCAAGCTTAGTCCCAAGCCAAAGAGACAACAGATCAGAACAACTCTTTGCCTGGGTTTAGTTTGAAGGATGGGGGGAAATTTGGGTCTATCCCAATTTTATCCACACATGTTTTTACACCCAGTGAACCAAACCAGAGCATGACAAAGCTATGATTACTTTGCTCCCCACAGAAGGTCAAGCATATTTAAATTACAGACTGGTTTTCTTTATTCACTGTGAAGTTTAAGACACTGGCCAAGACACTGGTATTAGAGTTGGAGGAAGGGTGGCAAGGATTATAGTCTTTGACTAATATGGTGGTAATTTAAGAAGTGTAGGCAAGACAAGCACACCTATTAAAATATTTTATACATAAGTTGGAAGTATATGAGGGCAGTATCAGGAACTAAATTCACCACATTTTAAATTCACATTTTTTAAAAACAGTTTATGGCTAAACTGGGCAGGAGGCATATTTTGTGGGTAACATACTTCTGACTGGGTACAGGATCAGAGAGGAGAGCCCGGGGCAGCTGGAGCGTGCACAGTACCTGTCGTTCTTGATGGGAACTCCACTTGCAGCTCCAGGACTCCAGTTCCTATTATTCGGCTGCCATGAACCTAACAGAAGGAACTTCAGCTCTGTGCCGTGCTGCACTTGGATCCCGGCTACAGGGGCCCTTGATCTGGACCCTGTGCTTCAGAGGGCACCATTCTGGCCCTCTGCCAGCCAGGCCCACCCCACATGGCCAAAGGGACATCCACCTACATCCCACACCTTCTTCTAGACCATGCTCTCTGCACCTGGAACTGTAGCAGTTCCTTTGTTCCATCGCTGTCTCTCCCCTTACCCAGAAGACTTTCAGTATTATATTAAGTGTCATATTGGCTACTGTTGTCCTCGACTGTCCTCTGCTGCAGTGCCCCTCTCAGCTGCAGCAACTTCTTGCTGGAAGTTGTTAGGAAATTTCATGTCTAAAAGACCCCACGGACTCACCACCTTAGGCTGAAGAAATAGGAAAACCCAAAATATGCTGTGTAGGACACCATGGTGGTTTATGTCCAAGACATTAGGGTAGACAGGTTGAACAGCAGACATGCTGCCTGAGAAATTCTCCCAACTGGCAGGACAAGAGCTACCTATCTGTAAAATAAGCATCTATGGGGTACCTGCTCTGCTTTTCTTAAAGGTGTTGTCAAGCCAGTTGGCCATTCTGCATGTAGCCCATCCATTTGGTGTTCCACCACAACTAGGAGCTGACTGAAAAGGCTGAAAATGAGCTTAGTTCATAACCTTCCATGTGAAGTGATTAAGAAGGCTTAATCGAGAATTCATGTTAACTTTATACAGCTATTCCAGAGGAAGAAATCTCTTGATTGTGGTAGAATTCTTCCCAAAGTGGCCTCAAATGTTCTGTTTCATCTCTAACTTCTGCTGCTAAGTGCTAGTTATTTACAGTAAACAGATATCCAGCTACTGCTATTTATGATAATGGGCCCTTATCTGAGTTTAAAGACCTTATCAACAGGCACTGTAAGCAGGCTGCCAGTCCGTAAGCCTTGATAAGGAATTCAGGCTGAATGGATGGCAGTGGCATCTGATAATGACCTAAGGCACACTGAGGGAGAAGACCCTTGCTCAGTGAGCTGTGCTGGTGCCCACAACTGGAGTCAGCTGTGACTGCTCAATATTAATTGGAGCAATATCTCAAAATAAATCTGTCTCTACTTAAACTTACGCATTTGTAAGATCACCTTGCATCTAGAAATAGTTATCATTGGTTGAATGCCTACCATTTGCCAGGCTCCATGTTAAGACCTTTGCATATATTAACACATTAAAATTCTCATAACAATCATGTTGTAATAATAATGACTAACATTTACTGAACCATCACTGCATGCCAGGCCATACTGACAGCTTTATATAGTCTCACTTAACCCTCATTTGACTGTTTGACATGGCTATTACTATTATTTTTTCCTAACAAATGAGGAAACTGGGCTAGGGTCAGGGTAGGAAATGTGAGGCTGTCACATAGTCAATAACTAAGATCTCCCTCCAGGTCTTGTGCTTCCAACCACTACACAGATGCCTTGCTGTAAGGAGATGGACTGATCACTACCATTTTACCAATGAGGGAACTGCAGGTACGCTATTCAAGGCCACACTGTTGGATAATGGTAAAAAGTGTAATGAGAACTTCAGTGTGTCTCTCCCCACAAGATTGTTCTTCCTGTTCTACACAGCTCTGATTGTATATGCTCTTCAGTAATTGGCAAACAAAGTTTAAACTCTGTTAGAAATTACAGAGTAGGAAAAAATATGGGTTCTGCTCCTATAAATGAAATCATGGCACCTGAATTATGCAAGGTTGAGCTCCAAGATGGGCCAGCAAGTCATTCCCACCTGATCAGTTGAGAAGGTCTTCCCTGAAGGCAGGGCTTGATCTTGGCAGAGCCATTAGAAGCATTTCCTTTGGATAACATACTTTTCTTTAAACTGTTCTATATTTTCTAAATTTTCTACGATGAGCATACATTACTTTTGAAAGTAAATGTTCACAGACAAAACATGAATGCATTCTCATGTTAAAACATTCAACATCACAAAGCCCTTCTCTTAAACTCTCACCTTCTCCTCCTCTATTCCAGTCTCCTCTCCAGAGGTATGAATTTCAGTATGAATTCCTATAGACCTGAACTACCCTATATGAAAGTTACTACCCACATGTTGGAAGTTACTACCCACGTGGCCATTGAGCACCTGAAATGTCCTAGTTGAGATGTGCTGTTAACACAAAATATACACCAGATTTTTAAATTTAGTATAAAAGAAGAATGCAAATATCTCATATAATTTTTATATCAATTACACACTGAAATGAGAAATTATAGAGACAGTAAAAAGATCAGTGGTTGCCAGGGATTAAGTGGGGAGGGGAGGGATGAATCGGCAGAACACAGAGGATTTTCAGGGCAGTGAAATTACTCTGTATGATACTATAATGGTGAATATATGTCATTATACATTTGTTCAAACTCATAGAAGGTACAGCACCAAGAGTGAGCCCTAATGTAAACTATGGACTTGGGTGATAATGACATGTTAATGTAGGTTCATCAGTTAAAACAAATGGACTGCTCTGATGGGGGATGTTGATCATGGGGAAGATGATGCATGTGTCGGGGCATGGGGTTCATAGGAAGTCTCTACCTCTTGCTCAGTTTTGCTGTGCACCTAAAATTGCTCTAAAAATAGTCAAGAAAAATGAATATACTGGGTTAAATAAAATATATTATTAAATTAATTTCACCTGTTTCTTTTTATTTTTTAAATGTAGCTACTAAAAATGTGGCTCACATATTTCTATTAGATAGCACTGCTCTAGAGTCTAGATCATTTTTAGTGCACTTATACACACATATTTAAGAAATACATATATATTTTGGTGCTTTATAACATAAATATGCATTACTTTTATGCTTGGATTAATTTTTTTAAGTCAAATCTTTAAAGGCAGTGGACATTAAATTAATTCTTTTCTTCTTCCACTTCTCTTCCTCCTCTTCTTCCTCTTCCTCTACATCTCCCTTTTATACTTAACAACCCACAAAGCCTTAGAGTGAAGAAAGCAAGAAGTATTCCTGGCCATACACATGCCGAGGTGAGCATACCTAATATTTGAGTTAAATCAACACAGGCACAGGTTAACTAAAGGTTATCTATCCCCTTGTTGGATAAAAGAAGGAGCTAGTCAATGAAGAAGGCTTCGGCATTATTGAGTCCTAGATAAAAGACCTATAAGATACTAGCAAAAATGACCAGCAATATCCGAATGTTCTATTCTTATCACGTCATCTCTTTTTCTCAGACATTTTCTACAATAGTCACAATCCCATTACTGTCTGTTGAGTAAAAGCACCTATGGCTTCAATTTGATGAACATTGCCCATAATGTGCCACATCAAAACACCACCTCATTTCAGCTACTGAATTCTGCTAGTTGCTGTAAATAAATGCTGATGCATGTTACCTATGTAATCACTACTTTGCTAAATTCTAAATAAAGTCACTTTTAAAATATTTTATAATGCATCTAATTGATTTTATTCTAAGTAAATACCTGATAATGTCCAGTTCAGTGGATAATGCAAAAGAAATGACCCCGAACAAGCTCCCACTATCCCCTGGCCCCTGCTTTAAAAAATGGCTAAATATACATAATTTACACCGACTGCATTTGTGTAAGTGATGAACTGGAAGCATGTACACATGCAGCACATTCTTTTGTTGGGCAGGAAGGGTGTTTATTGCATTCTTGCAAGTCATTAGCACATACAAAACATTAGCAGCTCTTACTTGGCCTCAGTGCAGAGCCTCCTTGAGGGCAATGGAGAGAAAAAGAACATTAGCATGAGCCGAGGTGCCCTGATAACTCATGACTTTCATTCCTGCAAGTGCCCCTTGATGCTCTGTCCCATTTGAGTCCTTGTGGTTACATGCTGCCTAGATAAAGAATTGCAGCTCAAGTCCTGTTTATTCCTTTGCCTACTCACTGCTGCTTCAAGACAAGCTTCCCAAGGGGTAAGATGGGAACACCGGACAGGGATCTCTGCAATTTTCTTCTAACTGGTAATTCTCCCAGTCCTACAAACCAAGTTTTCCTTAAGCAGATTCCATGGGAACTGTTTTAAATGCTCCATATTAATAAGCCATTTGAAAAATGTTTCTTTTCCCCTCCCCCTGTTCCGCACCATCTTTTTCGTTTATTCAAGAAAGAGTAAAGAGAAACGAAAACTAGAATACAGAGATTTTCAACTTTTTATAAGATGCTATATATTACTGTATTTAAGACAATCTTTTGAAATGTAAAAAAAATTCCCCCTGAATTAGGACTGACTTCATCTGAGTAGATACCATCTACTGTAACAGCCCAACCCTGTCCCCTCAGGTCTTGGCAGCTAAAGGTGAGTAGGGCCCCCCTCCTTCCCCATACCCCTGCCTGAGAAACTGCCAGGAAGCTCTCAGGCAGCATCAGCAGGCAGGAAGTGGGGTGGGAGTGAGGGGGTCTCCACCCATTAGCAGCTGCTTATGCAGTAGGCAGGGAAACTTTCCTACAGAAAGATCAGGTCAGCAGATACTCCAAACCAATTTCTACCACATGCTACCTAGTTGTGGAATTAAATTAAAAAGCTAAGAAGGGACCTGGAATGCCAATCCCCTTGTTTTCCTCCTACCTTGTGCCTGGCACCCAAAAGAATAAAACAAGAACAGCTGGATTTGGCAGTTGAAAGGGAATTCTTAGGTAACTGGAAGGAAGTGAAGGCAGCACACACCAAGGAATGCTGTCTGCACAATACGTCATGTACCAATGATGAAATGTCAAGACCCGTCATTGTCCAAGTGCTCATTCAGATTCAACCAAAAGACAAATTTGACAGATTATCAGAATCTTCCAGGATGGGTGGTGGGTGTAGTGGGGAAAGGAGTGAGGTCATTTTTTAAAAAAATGACTCAGTTTTTTTTTTAAAGCAAAATAATGTTATCACCTCAGTGGTTTAGCTATAGTCCATTCTAGAGCAATTGAAAAGAAGTTTTGCCAGCAGCTGGGAGAATATTTCCAAATAAGTCACTTCAGATTATATTAGAGCTCTAAAATAAAAAATGAATAAACAATAAACAAGTGTTTGTCCATTAGATCTCAGTGCATTTTTGTTAACACTTTACTTGCAGGAGATACTTGATTTTTTCTTACGCTATTTCCTTAACAGTGATTTGCTATTCCTTTAATAAGTGGATAAAAGTTGTGCCCATTGTTTCACATGCACATTAAAAATAAGTTTTTATGGCTGGGCGTGGTGGCTCACGCCTGCAATCCCAGCACTCTGGGAGGCCAAGGCAGGTGGATCACCTGATGTCAGGAGTTCGAGACCAGCCTGACCAACATGGAGAAACCCTGTCTCTACAAAAAATATACAAAATTAGCTGGGTGTGGTGGTGCATGCCTGTAATCCCAGCTACGAGGGAGGCTGAGGCAGGAGAATAGCTTGAACCCAGGAGACGGAGGTTGCGGTGAGCCGAGATTGCGCCATTGCACTCCAGCCTGGGCAACAAGAGCAAAACTCTGTCCCAAAATAAATAAATAAATAAATAAATAAATAAATAAATAAATAAATAAATAAATTTTTACATGCCCCTAACAATAGAAAAACATTAAATGGTTACCTCTGCAAATGTGTTCCGATTTGCTTGCAAGCCAACTTTTACTACCTCAAAAGGGTTAACTACAATGGCTTCTGTTAGTCCAGATCCCAATCCAGCAATGGCGAATGTCTAGAAAAATTAAATCAATCAATACTTTAAAACAAGTTATCATGTGTATGGGGTTAAACATCCTATTCATTACACTATGCAGCTGAACGTTATAAAGAGAATGGAGAAACCTACATAAACGCACCATATTCCATTACTAAACAGCTTTAGTTCTTGATTAGATGCTGACAATTCATGAAGAAGAAATTACAGAAGCCACAAACCACATCCTAACAATTTCAAAATAAAATGTCAAAGCCCCATCAACAACGACTCTTTCCTTTAACAAAAAGCAAGGTTGTTTTACTGATTTAAAGGTGGATATTAAAACATCTGCACAGATAACAATTAAGAGAATTTGAATTGTAAAAAGAGAGCTTCATTTTTAAACATCTACTTAAATTCCTTTATTGAGCATATAAGAAATCCAAGGAGCACAACCACAAATAAAATGTTTCTAAAAAGCTAAATTTCAGGTAACAACATAGCTGGAAACATTTAACTCTATGTTCATGTTTTTAGAGTCACTATTCTGGACTATTAACAAACAAAAATTATTTTTTATTCATCTTTTCCCTATTTTAAAAAACACCGGCAATTGACGCAGTCTTCTAAACCTAAAAGCTGAGATCAGAAATGGCTAGATGTGCACCCACAGTCCCAGCTGCTCGGCAGCTGAAGTGGGAGGATCACTTGAGCCTAAGAGTTCAAGGCTGCAGTGAGCTATGATTGAACAACTGTACTGCAGCCTGAGCAACAGAGTGAGACCCTGTCTCAAATAAAATAAAAAAAAAAAGAAGAAGAAGAAGAAAAAGAAGAAAAGAAAGACAAAGACAAAGAAATGACTAGGTTATTCTGAAAGGCTCAAATAAAATGTAGAAAACTTATCAAAAGGTGACTGTATGTCAAGTTCTTATTCGCTATCTGTTAAGAATTTCTGCAACAGGAAAGGACAATTTTCTAGAATTTTCCTCTAGGTAGAATGCTTGTGTGTTTTCCAGAAAATCTGCATCAAAAATAAGCACAACAATTAAAACATGCACACACAAGACAGAAGAACAAAATGAAATAAAGCCCCAGTCTCCAAAACAGATGCTGGAAAAAAGGTAATTATTTAGTGCTGAACCTCCAATTCCAGGACAAGAGGCAGTACTATAGACAACCAAGAGAAGAATAAAACCAGTGAAGAGTAAATAACAGGTAACTCTTGTTAATGGGCTCTAATATCTTCTAAATAGGAGAGGACGGAGGGAGAAAGGAATATCTTCTAAAAGAGAGGAAGGAGGGAGAAAGGAATGTTGTGTAACCTTAGAAAGGGAGGCACAAAGGCAGGATCCAGAGACAGGAGGTCTAGGTTTAGGTCCAATTCTAGCACTTACTGGCTGTGTGACTAGAACTGTAACACACAGTAGCTTGTGCATAGACAAAGGTGCCCAACCAAGGGTGCTTGGAGGCTGGAATCCAGCTTGCCCCTCACTTGCTAAGAGAAGCCCTGGAGAGGCATCGGTCAGGAGAAGGGGCAACTTTTCATTATTTACCCAAAGGTGCCATGGGTGCTAGTTGTGGCTCTGTTGTATACATTGCTGAATCTCTGATGAGCCACAGTTTTCTCATCTGTAAAATGGAAATAATAATATCTAATTTCCCTGCTTATAAAGTTATTTTAAGGCTCAAAATAATGTGTGAAACCATTTCATAGAGTGCTATGCAAACACCATTGTTCTTGTTGCGCATAAAAAAGGAAGAATGGGCCAGGTGCAATGGCTCACGCCTGTAATCCCAGCACTTTGGGAGGCCAAGTTGGGTGGATGACCTGAGGTCAGAAGTTCAAGACCAGCCTGGCCAACATGGTGAAACCCCATCTCTACTAAAAATACAAAAATTAGTTGGGCTTGGTGGTGCATGCCTGTAATCCCAGCTTCTGGGGAGGCTGAGGCAGGAGAATCACTGGAACCCAGGAGGCGGAGGTTGCAGCGAGCTGAGATCATGCCACTGCACTCCAGCCTGGGCGACAGATTGAGACTCTGTCTCAAAAAAAAAGAAAAAGAAAATGAAAAAGAAAGAAAGAAAGAAATTGCATACAGATTCTAGGAGAGAGAGACTCACTGATGATGTTTCCATTTCATCTCCCTTCATTATAATTTTAAACATATTTGTATAGGGTAACTCATCAAATATTTTATTCATTTATCTCAGACTTCCATGATAGAAGCCAAAAGTGGAAAAAAAAATACTAGTCCCAAACTCTTTTGACTGGGAAAGCTAAAATCCAGATGTCCAGGTTTTTATTACTTACTCTATGCAATCTTCCAAGTAATTCACTTTTTTGTTCTTCTATAAAACTCAGCTACATTTGCTGTCAGAACTAGTGTTCAGCAGTCCCTTGTCAAAAGAATTGATCAGATATCAGCAGATCATGTTACGTAGGTTGTTCCAGAAACCTACATTTACTGTTCGGTTTCCAGTCTCCTAGGCTTTTCATGTGAGAGCACCAGGGGACATTTAACAGCTGTTTAAATGTCTAGCCATATAAAAAAAAGTAACTGAAATAAATGAGTTCAAGAAAAGAGAAGAACCGTACACAGTTGGCATGCATTTGGTTATAGTAGCTGCAGTGACCAAATGCTTTTCTGTTTCAATTCTCAAGAGTCCAAAGACCTACAGTTTCTCACATGGTACCAATGTTTGACACAAGAACAGCCAGCTGGCCCTCTGGAGACAATATTTTATTGTTTCTCACTAGGAAATTTTTAATCCTCTTTTTTGCCAAGCTGTTTCCAAACTTAAGAATGACATTAAGGGAAGATGCCAAAGAATTAAAAGGAAAAAATCCCAGCTAGTTTCGAGATTCATGGTATCACTGCTCCTCTCTAGGAAGCCATGTCTCCCAGCTATCTTGTATAGGCAAGGGCTGGACAAGACATTGCTTTGTTATAACAAAAAGTGATGCTATTAGGTTTCCTAACAGGATTTTTCCTAGAAAAGGGGCATGTATGATTTTTTAAAAATAACAGATACTTCTTCTTGGACAGCCTATTTGGCAGAATACATATCTCAAATATTGTCCATTTCATTGGACAAATGAGGGCATTTTCCTAGAGGCTGGAGTACATTGCCAATTGGAGGGCCAATGCAGATTTTGTTTTGCTTTGCTTTGCAGACTTGGAAGGAGAAATTAGTGCATTTGCTCTCTCAGGGGCTCTTGTTGCACACACATTTGTAGAACCCATTTGGTCAATACAATTAACTTCTGTGAAAAGCAGCAAAGTCACCAAAAAGGAGGGGAATGGCATAGGGAAATGTTCAAATCACCAAGTGAATTTTGTGTGATACATGAGATATGTCATTGTAATATCACAATTCTCCTTAGCTGAGTTGTTTACAGTCATTCCTATAAAAGGCCCTTCAGTCTGCATCTGACCACAGAGTGACTTTATCCCAAGGGATCGATCTGAAGTCTTATATTTACTACAGCTGGTGCAAAAGCTGGAAAAGTGACCTGTTTGGCATGTTGACTTTTGGATAGATATATGCAGTATGTATGTAAATACATGCATGTCTTGGTTTAAAAGGAGTCTTTGATAAATGTACTCTTTATTTCATATTCTTGACCATATCTCATATGGGGCCTTTCCAGACATATCATTATTATCATAAATTCATCACTGGGAGCTATAAAATAGCCAAATTGTGAGTTATTAGGAAGATGGCTTTCAACAAGTAGCTGAACACTGAATAACTCGAATTCATATTTTAGTAGCTGGGCTTGGAAATCAAAAGAGTTTTTGTTTCTAGATTTTGCTTTATGAAATAACACACACATTTAAGTATAATAAATACTCTCACTTACCAATGCTGGTGACAGTGACACATATCCCAGCAATTTCTTGTACTGCTCAAAGGTGAAAAACTGTGAAACAAAACCAAACTCACAGATTTATAACAATTTTCCTGCAACAAACTCTTTAATTGACTCAAATTTCTTTGGTAAATCATTATGTTAACCAGCATTTCAAAAAATGATAAACTATCTAATACAGTTTTTAATCCTGTCTCGGGCAGTTGCTATTGGATCTTTCTTTAACATTCACAGTTTCAAATGCAGTTATAATAACCTACAGAAGAGCTGATGAAATCCTTTAGAGCAGTAAATGAACCATACAACTTCCATTTACCATGACCATTTTCAGTTTCCCCAGACATCAATATATGGCAGTGATTCAACATTATAGGCCTAGAGACCTGACATCTTTGGTCTCCTATGTTTTCTCTATGAACTGCTTTCCCAGTGAAAGCCCAATTTTCTAACACATTTGTAAAAGACATCCACTTTTCAGCCTTAACTTGCATTTCTATTGTGGTGTCTCCCCACTGCTCCATGGAATTGAAAACACTAAATAATTATGAAGATGCCATGATAAACTAGGGAAGGACTCAATGAGGTTATCTAGTCCATCCCCTGCCATAAAGCAAGACTGTCCTCAACCTGAATGAAGAAAGCTGCTAATTCCTTCCTTCAAAACTGATGGTGATGAAGATCGTGAAGGTATTGTTGGTTTCTTCAGTAGACAATGTTTAGTATCATTTTCTCTGCAAACAAATTTCAATGGAGGCGAATCTAATCAATTGCTTCATATAATACATTTCCCCCCTTTTTTCTTCCTCTATTCTACTTTTTGAGCAACAACTGTGCTTGAACATGTTTTGCTCCTGGGTAGCATGTTCAGGTAGCTGTCAACACCACTGATAAGGCACGTTTTTAAGTTCTGCTAGAGTCTGATTCTCGAGACCCCAAAAATGTTATAGGTATTATATGGTCCCCAATATTTTCTACTCTATTATTTTATAGCCCAGTAAAATGGGGCAAGAAAGCAAAACCAGATTTCAGAGCCAAAAATACTCTGTTGTTAGGAAGAAGTAGCTCCTTATAGATGGCTTCAGTGAGTGTTTGGGCAGCCCAAGAATCGTTTTACTATCTGGTAAATTTTGATTCTTTTCAACACTCAGGAACTACTTTTGTGCCATGGTCTTTCAAATGCACTATGAATGTAGAGTTTTCTAAAACAGGGATTCATTCATTCACTCGTTTAATAATACTATTAGAGACCTCCTATTCTAGGTACTGGGGATGCAACAGTAAACAAAGAGAAACCTCTGCCTACTTGAGCTAACATTCTAGTGGCTAGTGAAAGCCCTGAAACTACCCTGGTGTTAAAATAGTACTCAACGGCAAACACCAGGGACCACCACTTTTCTGATGAAACCATTAACCACTAGAAACCATTAACCATGGAAGGAAAAGTGTTATAATCTTAGGTTTTTTTTTTTTTTTTCGAGATGGAGTCTCGCTCTGTCGCCCAGGCTGGAGTGCAGTGGCGCGATCTCGGCTCACTGCAAGCTCCGCCTCCCGGGTTCACGCCATTCTCCTGCCTCAGCCTCCCGAGTAGCTGGGACTACAGGCGCCCGCTACCACGCCCGGCTAATTTTTTTGTATTTTTAGTAGAGACGGGGTTTCCCCGTGTTAGCCAGGATGGTCTCGATCTCCTGACCTCGTGATCCGACCGCCTCGGCCTCCCAAAGTACTGGGATTACAGGCAATCTTAGCTTTTAAAAGTAATTTATTTTTCTTCATTTTTATGATTATCATCATCATCACTTTGACAGTCACCTTGCTGGCATTTTGAAATGAGCAGTCCTAGAGCTGAATCCAGGTTATGCTGCTTAGCTGTGAAAGCACAGGAAAGCTGCTTAACCTTTCTAACTCTCAGGAACACAAAACTTACCTTTTAGATTATCATTAAATAAGATAATTTAAGTAAGATTCCCTGACAGGACTGGCACAAGTAAGACTTTTGAAAAATCTTAGTTTTTATTCCCTGTAACTTAGGTTACCAAAGGAATCATAGAGGCCTTAAGTATATGAGCACTCCTCTCAATGCCCTGGGGCTGCTGAAGCTTTCCAGTCTGGCTGGTGGGAATAGGCACTATTCTCAGCCCCATGTGACTGCTGAGCACTGTTCCCTCAAAGCCTTTTGGGTGGTTCTTTCCCAGGCATTGGTAGTTTCCTTGCAGGCGTGCACTGGTCAATACTCAGCTGAACACTTGAGGGGTCCCTCTACAGATCTCAGGAGTTCTATCTCTGTGCAGCCTGCTCTTCCCTGGTACTCTGTCCTGTGGACTCTGGCTGCCCTGCTCTCCCCTGGCTTTCAGCTCCTTCTCAACCCAGGGAGTCCCCTGGGCTCTGCCTCAGTTTCCCCTCCCTGTCCCGGGGCCTGAAAGTATCCCAAGGTGGTAAGCTGTGGCATCACAGGGCTCATTTCATTTGTTTTCCATTTCTCAGGCATTTCCAGCCTTCATCATCTGATGTCCAGTGTCTTGAAAACTGTTATTTCATACTGGTCCCTGTTACTCTATCTCCACCAGGAGTGGAAGTCTTGGCCCTCCAGATACTCTGAACAGTGGATGTGGGAATTTTCTCTCTATGTATATTTCTTTGTTTCTTTCTTTTAAGTTTTCTTTCTGTTTCTTTTTATATATGTTTCCTTTATTCATCTAATATCAACTGAACATCTAGTATGTGTAGATACTATGATTGGTATAGGTATACTGTAGTGAACTAATTAGCCTTCATAGTTTATAATCTCTTGTGAATTTAGTTAGCATAAGGCAGTCCTTGAGAAACTGCACATGGGAAAACTGGTATTTCTGTATGTGTGAAGCTCAAGACTGGACCCTGAAGCCGGAACCATGGTGCCGCCCATCTGTGAGGGATCAGCTGGTCTCTCTGAAGTCTTCTTTTCCTTTTGCTAACTACAATATTAACTCTGTCTAATTTGTGAAAGGAGAAATTTCATTTATTTAGCATCAGTAAGTCTTATTACTTTAATGATAAAGCTCATTTCAAAGAATAAAGTACATAAAAACTTAAGATTGTCTGTTTCTAATTATGGTAATGATTTTAACTAAAGTGTCAGTACCAAAGAATACACACACACACCCCGCCCCCCTCAGTCTCTGAATATTTTTTTTCTTTGATGACATACAATGAAGCAGTTTATGATGTATGAAATCGTTAAAATCAGGTGATTGCTTTCCTCACAAATCCTAAGATAAATATCTATAAAATGAATGTTTTCATAAATTGTGTTGAAAAACTAGTGCTATCCATCTGGCAAAGATACACTTAACTCCAAGTTATACTTAAAAAGCCAACAAACTTACCATATGTCTCAATAATTTTAAGGTAAAATCTACTTGAAACAAGATGTCTGGGACACATACACCATATTCAGTTGCCCAAAAGTTCATCTGTTAACCATTGTTCTGGCACAGAACATTGCTTTTGGAAAATAGGGACTGACTCTGTTTTATAAAGCTCAACTATTTTTTTCTGTAAAAGATTGCTTAATGTTGATAAGTCTTAATCCTCTTAAAGTTTAAATTGTCTCCAACACATAATATTAAGAAAAAAATATTCCAGGAAAAACTCTAATTTTAGTTTACTTTATCTATACATGTAACTCACTGAACAGATGAGTATATTATTCCATGCAGACAAAGTGACTTCCCTTTTGAACAGGAACTCTGCTCTATTTGTTTACTTGGGCAATCTTTTATCAAGTAAAGCCATTTCATAATTCAATTCAGCTCTTTTGTCTACTTTGGTGAACTTATTCCAGATTCATTACTGTGATTCAGATCCTTATAACAAAATTTGTATTGAAGTGATACTATAAAATCACAAAACCTATACCAACAAAGAGGGTGAGTTTATAGAGAAAGTATGTTCTAAAGCTTTGTTTTCCAAATTCTAGACTTGAATTCAATCCTATTAAATTGCCACTTTGACATCATATAAAGGTTGGATGTTCATGTATATATGTGGGTGATTTTATCATAATTTTTAATCCAGTCACCCTCTTGAACTTACTGAGTAAAAGTATATGAACTGTTCCTTCTTGTCTTTCAGGAGTACTGCGAATACATTTCACACACATGAGTAATGTATGTGAAAAAAAACCTTATGTTGCTTGGAAAGTAAGTCTTTAAGTTTAGGTTATCATTATTATGGAAGGACAAAGCCTTATTTGGTGATGTCAGTGGTGCGGGGGAGGGGAGCAATGCCTGTCAGAGTCGCTATGATCAGGACTTTTGTCTGAGAGAAGACAGTAGTCAGATTGAGTTCTTTTGCCCCTGGACATTCTGCTGGATCTCCCTGTTCCTCTTCAGATACTGAACTAGCAAGTAGTACATAAACCTCTACAGTTATGTGGTTAAGTAAATGGAAATCAGGGTAGTGGAAGTAATAATTTTTGTTAAGAACCAGAATAGAGAATTTTAACAGAGGAGACTAAGGGGGAAAATGAAGTTGGCATTCCAAAAAATTATGTTATATGAGAATCATATATAAAGAAATATGGTATATTGGTTTACTCTGTTCATGAAATGGGAATGATTTAGGGAGAAAAGTTTTCCCTCCTCTCCTCTTTCCTCTTCCCTCCATCTCTCTTTCTTTAATAATTGTTTCTCCAAAGAAAAATTTCTGAGTTGCTTTGAAGAAAGGTCCAAGCTATTTTGTGGTTTGATTACTAGAATTTTATTCACCATGTTGTTTTTTGAATAATTTCCCCATTAGAATGGAATGCTTTTACCTGATTAAAAAAATCTACAAATTGATCTACATATTTGAGAGACTGACCAAGTCTAATTATAATAAAAATTATGCTATAATTTCTGCATTAAAATTTTTAGTGCTTTATATATAATTCATTTTAATGTCTTAAGAGTTTGTTGTGCTGAAGCTGTTACTGTGCCCTACTTTTGCTTGGTGCGAACGCATGCAATGCTTACCTTCACTGCTCTTTTTGGGGTTTCAGCCAAGATAGGTGGCAGAATTCCCTTGTAAAAACCAAATAACCTGTTGGAGAAATAAAAGATTTCCTATGAGTAAGGAAATTAGGCAACAAGTATTTCTGACTTTGTTAAGATAATCCTAAAGTATTCCCGATTATTCAACATAGCACACCAATCATGAAGTCTTCCTTTCATTCTAAAATAAAGAAATAAATTTTATGTCTATTAGCATTATGATATTCAGAAGGTAAATACGTGATACTGAGACAGGAATCCCTTAGATAAGTTGCTAAGCATGACCATTAGTTGTACCTTAACGATGAATCTGACTGTCCTTACTCTAAGGGCTCTTGAGTTTATTTTCTCAGTTGTGTGGCAGGTAGCTTCAAGCTATCTACAGTCCTGCATTTCCTCCCTTGTGGCAACCAAATGAGGTTAGGATTATACCTGAACCCATTAGACTGTACCTTTCTGAGGCTAAGGAGGTGATGAAATTTTCAATTTTAGCTTTACTAATACAAGGGAACTAACAAGCTCTGTGGGTATGGTACTAGAGCTTCCAGCCCCGTCCTGATTTAGTCATAATTTTCAGGCTTCCTTGATGGAAGTGGAAGAAGGTCACAGAGGGCCAGCTACAGGACTATGTATTGCCAACAGAAGAAATGTCAGACTCCCTTGCTGATATGTAAAATCACAGGGCATGAGCCAGTTTACTTTGCCAGTGTTGACGGGCAACATGGTCAGATATTTTTAGAAAAAAAACAAGAATGAGTGACATATGGTTAGATTTATAACAAGTCACCATTTATTTCTTATTATATTTTTAGAATTCAAAATTTTAAATTCCTTTGTCCTGGAATCTTCATATATATGCCATATCTTCATTTCAAACCTTAAAATATATAAATAGAAGAGAATATTATGCATTATTTTCTGAGTAATCACTTTTCCTGATGAGTCCATAACATGTCCCTAATTTAGGATATCCAGCTAACATGGGGCTGCAGCTTCTCTGATTCACCCCCCAAGCTTCACTCCAGCTCCCTTAAACTGGGTCCACTTCTAGCTGTGCTTCTGGGAACAAGAAGTTGAGAATTTATTCAAGTGAACCCACTGTACCACCCAAACCAACACGGCGACCTCTTGTTCTCCTTCAATTCACTGGCTTACACAGTACCTTTTGGTGAGGGCACTAAAGCACTTGCCTGCTTTACTCAATTCATGGGCTTACCCAGCCTCAATTCACTGGCTTACATAGAAACTTGAGGGCAGCGCACCCTTTGGGGTTCTTATCCCAGAATCCTTTTTTTTTTTTTTTTTTGTATATAACCAGGACACAAATATTTGTTAAGCTTATGGATCTCATAAAGAGGAAGAAAGGGATCAAATTATTCTCTGATATGGGCTTATTCTGGCCACAATTTTTTTTTTTTTTTTTTTTTTTTGAGACCGAGTCTCACTCTGTCGCCCAGGCTGGAGTGCAGGGGCGCATCTCGGCTCACTGCAAGCTCCACCTCCCGGGTTCACGCCATTCTCCTGCCTCAGCCTCCCGAGTAGCTGGGACTACAGGCACCCGCCACCACGCCCGGCTAATTTTTTATATTTTTAGTAGAGATGGGGTTTCACCGTGTTAGCCAGGATGGTCTCGATCTCCTGACCTCGTGATCCGCCTGCCTTGGCCTCCCAAAGTGCTGGGATTACAGGCGTGAGCCACCGTGCCCAGCCTGCCCACGATTTTTGACTTAATGGATAGTGCTAGCATTATGAATAGGAAGTAAAGCAGATACATGATTTGGAGAGCTATGGCAATTCATGAGTTGTCCCCACCCCTTTTCCATTCCAATTTGAATTACTGATGCCTGAAATTCTCACATCAACACGAATTACTTCTAGCAACTAATAACATTTAAATACTTTTCTCATTTAAATTTCATTATAAATTAATCACTATGTAATTTTTGGCATAAAGAGTGACCAAGCATAGGTTGGTCTTCCCAAAAGATAAACGTGATTTTCTTGAACAGAAGTTCTATATATATAATGATAAAGGTTATTAGTTCTGTTCTTTCTGTGTTGATCTTTCCCCATCTGGAAGACTATGCCTGATTATTGTAGGAAAAAAAAAATAAAGAGAAACACTTAAATAAGTAAAGCTTTTAAAACAGAGTGTCCAGATCAACAGAGGAACTTGAAATCCCAAACTACAGAGAACAGTTATAGGAAGAACAGTTGCTTCAACTGGAGAAGAATGATCTTAGGGAGAAATATGGTGAACATGATGGATCTTTTGAAAGGTGTGTGTTAAGGAAAGACATTACACTTTTCTCTTTGTTTCCAGGTGGTAGAACTAGGACCAACAGGTGGAAGCAACAAGAAAAGACACATTTTTGGCCCAGGTGGAGCTTAACACAATGAAGTACTTCTAATGGTCAGAACGGTCTAAAGATAGAATGGGCTCTCCTGAAAAGTGGTGAGTTTCCCTTTGGTATGTGATCAAGCAGTCTGGATGGCCACTTGTCATGAATACCAGCAATGGGAGATACACAGCAAATCCATGCATTTGATGGCCCTCAAGGCTGATCTGTTTCAATCCTCAGATTCTGTTATTCTGAGAAAAAGAACAAGAAGACATGGGCAAGCACTTCTCTGAAGTGACAGAATCTGCCATACCTTAGACTTTTGCATCAAATCTTACACTGCTTCTCTGGAAGAGGACTAAAGTCTTCTAAGTACACAGAAGGTCTTCATTTTAAAAGTGATGGGGTAAAATATTAAAAAGAGGTGTGATGCAGGAGAGAAGAAGAGGCAGCTGGGAGAAGCATAAGGATTTAATATGAAAAGAGCTGGGAGGTCCAGAGCCCTCTGCTTTGTGTTGACGATGCTTCATTGATGTGCCCTACTTCCCTTCTCTCTGCTCAGCTACTTTCATGTGCGATCGTTCCCCTCCTCCCATACCACCATCCTGAGCTTCCAAATTGAGAATGAGCAATTTTAACAAGAAGTTCTCAAAGACCACAGGCAGCCTTTGTTGGTAAATGGAAGCTAGGACTACCTACCTCCTCGCATTGCTTTTACCGTATATCCATGCAATAGAGGACTGTGGAACACTCAGGTCAGCACCGCTTCTGCTGAGGACTGCCCCATCAAGTTGTTTTAAACACATTCGTATAATATGATACAATATGATACAGGGTCAGTCTTGCTCTGCTTGGTGAAAACTGTAACATATAAAACTAGGATTTCATTGGCAGCCATGCTTTTAGTCATTTGGAGAAAGTCAATCTGCAGTGATAAAAAAAGAAAGAAGCCACCATTTAGGGAGGCACAGAAGCAAGAAGGAGAAGCTCTGTTTCTGTGAGTGAGGCCCTGCTTCCAGAATTTAAGCCTAGTTACGTCTGGCCTTTCTCGAATATTGGTATTTACCCCTGCCTTTGATTGTATGAGATACTCAGTGACATTTCCATTAAATTCTCTCTTTTACTTAAATAAGTTTGAGTTGCATTCATCATTTATAACCCAGAGCCCTGGATCCAGAAAGTAAGCATCACTGTCCCTCCAGCCAAAGTGGCTGCTGTAGAACCTCTGTGCTGTGTCCAATCATAGGAAGAGCTTCACTCTCAGTTAAAATTTGCCCTTGAGCAGACCAGAAGAGTCACATATAAAATGCAGGTAAGAGCATGTGGTTAAGGGCTCAAGCTGATAGCTATTCTTGACTAGATAATTACTGAAAGTTTTCCCAACGCAAAATATTATATGCAGCTTTCTAGAAACCAAAAAGGAATTGTGATGTTTTATGAAGCAGATACTTTTTTTTTTCTGCAAAAGAACTGATGTTTATATTCACATGCACTGTCCATTCTGCCTTCATGTGGTTTTGGCTTGCTGTGCAGAGCCTACAGCTTACCAGGACCATAATCCAGGAAGTTAAGAGATTGGTGACACCCATTGTTAACATGCGTCATCCCGCTTATGTCACGAGCAGCCAAGAGCTGCTTTCAGTCTACTTGCTGGATGAATGGATCGTGGGATTCTAAACGTTTATGTACAGTGAAGGCATTCTTCTCTCCGACATGACGGCAAAGGCATCACTCTACTCTAAAGTTTTGACTCACATCAAGCCAACTAGAAGAAAGAGTCTTTGGAAGAGGCATGAGAGCTACTACAACACCTCCCATAAAACTGTATTATGAACTACATGGCAGCCTTTATATTTTGTTCTCTAAGTTGTTACTTCTAAAAGGTGTGAGTTTGATTTTAACTGTCCTATGTAAAAAAGTATTAGCTCGTATGTTTATGGATTTTTGTAAATATTATTGTAAGTAAAAATAGACAAATCTGTTGAAATCTTACTATGTAATAGCTTTTGTGTTAAGAATAAAAACATGTAGGTATATGTACACATGGTAATCTCAATCAACTTTCACAACAATCCTTTAAAGTATTTATAATTATTTTCCTCATTTTGCTGGTGAGGACTACCATCATGTCAATGCCAAATAAGATATAGCAACCTAAATCAAGTTCTTTATGTCCTTGACCACCAGGCTATACTGTATAGCTTTTTTTAAAACAACTATTTTAATAAAAGCTTTTGAAAAATTGTTTATGTTACAGCAATACCTTATCATTTCTTATTTTAGAAGGAAGCAGGAAAGGCCACTGAAAACAGGTCTCTATTCCAATTTTTATTCAGTTCTGTTTTAAAGTAATATGAAATACTATATAACTGATAGAACTGGTCTAAGATGAATAAAATCATTTTTGTGAAAGTTTTTGGGATATTGATTAAATATTTTCTAGTTGTTTCAGAATGAGGAAAAAATGAGCCCTAGGATAAACTTTTTCCTCCCCAAGATAGACTTTTGCCCTTAAGAGGCACACCAGGAGGCTAGGCACAGTAGCTCACACCTGTAATCCCAGCACTTCGGGAAGCCGAGGTGGGTGGATCACGTGAGGTCAGGAGTTCGAGACCAGTCTGACTAACATGGTGAAGCCCCTTCTCTACTAAAAATACAAAAATTAGCTGGGTGTGGTGGTGCACGCATGTAGTCCCAGCTACTCGGGAGGCTGAAGCAGGAGAATTGCTTGAACCCGGGAGGTGGAGGTTGCAGTGAGCTGAGATCATGTCACTGCATTCCAGCCTGGCAACAGAGCAAGACTCTGTCTAAAAAAAAAGAAAAAAAAAAAAAAGAGGCACACCAGGATAATTCTGTCAATGTGGGAGAATGTTGGTTACTGACCCAAAAGATACATGCCCCTCACCCCACTTGCTCCTCAGAGTATAAGTGATGCCCATACTCCGTGCTTAGAGAGGTGAGTCCTCCTCCAGCCCAAGGGATAAAGCAGAATTGTTCAAACCCATCATGGTGGCCTCATTCCTTTTCTAGTGAGAGGGTTAGGCATGGACATATGACTGAAACCTAGCCCAAGAGACAAGAGGGAATGGTGTGCTGGAAGGCTTGGATTTCCAGTCTAAGGCAAAGAAGCCCACAGGAAGAAAAGTCCTGTCTTCTTTGCTAGGTGTTTCCTAGCTGTGTGAGATGCCTGTGGACTGCAGCCAAGTGAGACATCATTGCTCCCAAGCTAAGGATGGAGCACATCCCTTTCTGAACAAAGAGCCTTAAATCGAAATTCTTAAAATCATAATTATATTAAAGATAATTGTTAAATCTTAAGCAATGCATTTATAAGGAAGCTGTGAGAACTATTGTTAAGAAATGGTCTCAGATTGTTTATGCTGGGGAGCCCATCACACATAAAACCCCATCCCATTAGTGTGATTGTCTGTGAAAGAACCCCTTACCACAGATGGAATACAGAGAAGCTAGCAGACCAAAGTCACACAGCAAATATGAGGAGGGGGTACCAGGACTCCAAAGCCACTAGATTGTGATGGTTTATAGACTAATGAGAGGTATTTTTCACAAACCTAAGCAGATACACAGTGCTACAATATTGGATCACATTTGTTTTTAATTGTACTACTTATGTACATCTGTAAAATGAAGATCAAAAACTACATCACGTGTTCTTCTCAAAGACAGCTCACACATAGCTTATTTGAAGTACAGATTTCTGCCAAACCCTACAAAATAATTTTATCCCTCATTCAACCCCCCCACCCCCATCTTAAAAGTGTGAAGCTATCTAACATATGGGTGGCTACGAGGTCACAGAGCAACCAATGAAAAGATGCTGACTGTATGGAAGCAAGGAAATGTGAAATTTCCTATGAGTTCCAGCTTGTGTCCAGTCTCTGTGGTTCATGTAGAGCAAGGCAAACCCTCAAAGATGCCTTCTTATTGTCTCTCATTAGTAGGGTCCAGTTTTAGGTTACCCTGTTTTTAAGTCTAAATTTTAGACACCTATAGAGACCAGTCAGCCAGACAGAGCCTTAATTAAACATTGTGTACCTGATATCTTTAGTCAGTTTGAACGACTAAAAAAAGTTCCTTGCTTTAAGTTAGCTACTGAAATCTGAAGACTTTGTGGTAAATAGTGGGTAGACAGGGGAAGGCTTAACATTCTGAAAATTTGACTCAGGTAAAGAAACTAAAAAGGAGTGGAAAAATCACATGTCCTGTCTGCCCCTCCTTTTACCCCTCTGAGTCACCCCCATTGTTGGTTTTGCTGGTATTTTTCTAATTTAGTATGTAGAAAATATGTGTTTGGGAATCATTTGTACCATAGAGTTGAACTCCTCTTTCAAGCAGGCTGGGAAATTTCCTAAGTTACTAGGCTACTAGGTTTTTGGTGTTAGGAGCAAGAACATGGAATATTTTCTTATTTGCAGCTCCCAGTGAGAAAGAAAAACAGTGTAGCTGCTTCACAACTGACTTTTAGAAAGAGTCAACCTTGTTGTCTATCAGAAATGTTACCATAAAACTAAACTGATACATTAAAGAGAAAATGCATATAAAGAAATCTGTGAACAAGACATTTTTCCTCCTAAAAGAGGAGAAGATCAATGTGTAAATTTGCTGCTCATGGAAGCTGGGGCTTTCCCTGGTTGTCAGGGATGAAGTGTTTTGGGATCCAAACTGCTGATATTCATAATCAAAGTCCAGCAACCATCACACTGGGAAAGCCAGGATAGAGATGCACATTATCTGAGCCTGAAAATATCAATTACAGAAATGATCTCCAAGTTGAAAAGCCATTTTCCAAGCCACCTGTAACACACTCACACACAGCATGAGAAGGATGCTTTCACCTGGATCCCACTTCTTTGCCAAAAACCTGGCATTCAGTAAGCATCCAGAGCAGCAATAATACTCACCAGTGAAGCATGAAATAGGAGCGACAGGGAAAGTGACACCAGATCCCCAGTTGGGGAAATTGGAAAGCATTAACACGTCTGTATACCTAACAGAGTACAATTACTACATTTTATTTTGTTTCAACAGCCAGAACCCAAATGAACATCACCATTCAGCTCTGTTCTGGGCAATGATTCAAGCTCATCTTTGGTACAGTTGATTTTGAAGCCTTACAGTCAATCATATCTTTACAATTTGTTCTTCTTTCAGGCTTCAGGCATCCTCCTGATTTCCATTTCTTGTATGGAAGCCTTGAGTCATCTGTTCTGGCAACATGACCAACCCAAATCAGTCATTTTCTCCAAATTATACTGAAATACAGATCTTGCTAGTTTGTTGTTTTCTTCCTCTTTCTTTTTTCACAAAATTTTTCCTTTAAGGATCTCCTAATACAAAGCTGATTGAAGGCATACAATATCCTCTTTCTTCTTCTGCTGTCAGATCCAAGTTTTTTACCCACATGCTGTGGTTCTGTAATTAAAACAACGAAGTCCACGCTCAACCCTGGGTTATGAGTGCACGGCTTCCATTGTTTGATGGATCGTGTATCCCAGACCAGAATTCTGGTCCTGACACTACACACTACACACTACACCTTTAGGGCATTATTCTGACATCATTTGCACTCCACAAGTGTCAGCAGTTCACAGAATCCAAATGAAAGAGTGGGGTTTCATGGCTCTGTGATTTGAATTATGTAGAATCTATAATCTCAAGTTCACAAAATTGCATGCATCTTGGGGCCATTTTCATTGAGGCAAAAGAGGGAGGGAAAACCACATATCTTTTAGAGGGAGGAAAAACAGTTCAAAAGAGAGCAAGTGACACAGATTCTTCTTTTAAAAGCAGCAAATAAATTTCAAGGAAGTGCACATAAGCTTTAGCTAACATTCTAACATAAAACTAACAAAAGTTTTGCCTACCCAACTCATATCAGGTCTTCAGGCAATGACAATATAGTTTTCATTATTCATTACTGAGAATTAATTCAATTAAGTTTCTGCATATGGTCTTTGGATTGATTTGTTACCCCAAACCATACCACTTTCATTATACGCTGTATGGAGGAATTCTTTCAAGTTTTCCTGAACACACTTTTCAAACTGTATGTTTAGTATGATTTTACCACAACAATGAAATTTTTTTGGGTGCAACTGAAATAAACTACAACTTTGATTTTCTAAAATACAAAAATTTATTGTAGCTGTCAGTATCATTTAGGAGGTAAGTCCATGGCTCCATTCCCTGGAAAGTTGGCAGAGTGCTCAATGCACTAAACATGTTGCTCAGTTCAGCCCAAGAAAGGCCTTAGTGTGATATGAGAACCAGAACCCTGATGGAAAACACTAAGGAAAGAAAAAGTGAAAAAGATACTTGAGAAGCAACCAAAGAGGTGAATAGTATTGGTAAAATGTGGGTGTTCATTGCCCCATTAATCTGTAAGTGAAGAAACTTATTTATAACTGACTATATGGTAAGTGTATTAATTTTCAGTGACAGCAGATCACTTTGCTTATAAAGATGAACACTTTCCACTAGGAAATAATAATCATCAAAGGGCAGTTTTTCACTTAGGTGGGTGGCACTATGAGGAAAAGGACTCCAAGAAAAAAAAACAACTCTATTTCTTGGACTCGGACTGAAAACCAGGAAAGACAACCCAATCATGGAGCAAAAAAAGTCCTTCACCAGAATATACCTCAAAATAATAAAAGCCATCCATATATGACACACCCACAGCCAACAGCATACTGGATGGGGAAAAGCTGAAAGCATTTCCCCTAAGAACAAGACAAGGAACAAGACAAGGATGGAACAAGACAAGGATGCCCACTTTCACCAATCATATTCAACGTAGTACTGGAAGTCCTAGCTAGAGCAATCAGGCAAGAGAAAGAAATAAAAGGATCAAAATTGGAAAAGGAAGTCAAATGATCTCTCACTGATAAAGTGATTTTATACCTAGAAACCACAAAATACTCCTAGATTTGATACATGATTTCAGGAATCAAAATCAACATACCAAAATCAGTAGCATTTCTATATACCAATAATAATCAACCTGATAACCAAATCGAGAACTGAATCTCATTTAAAATAGCTACATAAAATACCTAGGAATATACTTAACCAAGGAGGTGAAAAATTCTACAAGGAGTATTTGTACTTTGACAAGGAGAATTGCAAAAGATTGAGAAAAGAATCATAGATGACACAAACAAGTGGGAAAAAATCCTATACTCATCTACTGGAAGAATCAATATTGCTAAAATGACCATACTGCCCAAAGTAATCTACAGATTCAATGCAATTTCTATCAAATTACCAATATCATTCCTCACATAATTAGAAAAACAATCTCCAAATTCATATGGAACCAAAAAAGAGCCTAAATAGCCAAAGCAATCCTAAGCAAAAAGAATAAATTTGGAGGTATCAAATCATCTGACTTCAGATTACACTAGAAGGCTATAATAACCAAAACAGCATGGCATTAGCACAAAAACAGACAGATAGATCAATGGAACAGAATAGAGAACTTAGAAATAAAGCCACATACCTACAACCAACTGATCTTTGACAAAGTTGACAAAAATATATATTGGGGAAAGGATACTCTATTCAATAAATAGTTCTGGGAAAATTGGAGAGCCATTTGCAGAAGGGTGAAACTGGACCCCTATCTCTCACCATATACAAAAATCAACTCAAAATGGATTACAGACTTAAATATAAGACTTGAAACTATAAAAATACTAGAAAAAGAAATATAGGAGAAATTCTTCTGAACATTGGCAGAAATGCAACAAAACCAAAAATAGACAAATGGGACTTAAACTAAAAATCTTTTGCACAGCAAAAGAAATAATCATCCAAGTAAACAGACAGTCTACAGAATGAGGGAAAATATTTGCAAACAATGCATATGATAAAGTGCTAATATCCAGAATCTACGAGGAGCTCAAACAGCTCAACAAGAAAAAAACATATAACCTCATTAAAAAGTGGGCAAAGTTCATGAACAGGCATTTTTCTTTTTTTTTATTATAGTTTAAGTTCTAGGGTACATGTACACAACGTGCAGGTTTATTACATAGGTATACATGTGCCATGTTGGTTTGCTGCACCCATTAACTCATCATTTACATTAGGTATTTCTCCTAATGCTATCCCTCCCCAGCCCCCCACCCTCCAACATGTTCCCCTCCCTGTGTCCATGTGTTCTCATTGTTCAACTCCCACTTATGGGTGAGAATATGCGCTGCCTTGTTTTCTGTCCCTGTGATATTTTGCTGAGAATGATAGTTTCCAGCTTCATCCATGTCCCTGAAAAGGACATGAACTCATCCTTTTTTATGGCTGCATAGTATTCCATGGTGTATATGTGCCACATTTTCTTTATCCAGTCTATTATTGACGGATATTTGGGTTGGTTCCAAGTCTTTGCTATTGTGAATAGTGCCACAATAAACATACGTGTGCATGTGTCTTTATAGTAGCATGATTTATAATCCTTTGGGTATATACCTAGGAATGGGATGGCTGGGTCAAATGGTATTTCTTATTCTAGATCCTTGAGGAATCGCCACACTGTCTTCCACAATGGTTGAACTAATTTACACTCCCACCAACAGTGTAAAAGCGTTCCTATTTCTCCACATCGTCTCCAGCCTCTGTTGTTTCTTAACTTTTTAATGATCACCATTCTAACTGGCATGAGATGGTATCTCATTGTGGTTTTGATTTGCATTTCTCTGATGACCAGTGATGATGAGCATTTTTTCATATGTCTGTTGGCTGCATAAATGTCTTCTTTTGAGAAGTATCTGTTCATATCCTTTGCCTACTTTTTGATGGGGTTGTTTATTTTTTTCTTGTAAACTTGTTTAAGTTCTTTGTAGATTCTGGATATTAGCCCTTTGTCAGATGGATAGATTGCAAAAATTGTCTCCCATTCTGTAAGTTGCACGAATAGGCATTTTTCAAAAGAAGACATACACGTGGCCATCAAACATATGAAAACATGCTCAACATCACTAATCATCAGAAAAATGCAAATTAAAACCATGATGAGATATCATCACCTTACACTAGTTAGAATGCCTATTAAAAAGTCAAAAAACAACAGATGTTGATGGAGATGCAGAAAAAAGAGAACGCTTCTACACTGCTGGTGGAAATGTAAAATATTACAACCTCTATGGAAAACAGGATGGAGATTTCACAGAACTAAAAATAGAACTATCATTCAATCCATCAATCCCACTACTGGGTATCTACCCAAAGGAAAAAAAAGCATCATATCAAAAAGATACCTGCACTCATCTGTTTATTGCAACACTATTCCCAATAGCAAAGTCATGGAATCAATCTAAGTGTCCGTCAACAGATGACTGGATAAAATAATGTGGTATGCCATGGAATACTACTCAGCTATAACAAAGAATGAAATCATGTCTTTGAAACAACATGGATGGAACTGGATGCCACTATCCTAAAGTGGGATGACTTAGAAACAGAAAGTCAAAAAACTTCGTGTTCTCCTTTATAAGTGGAAGCTAAACAATGGGTACACATGGACATACAGAGTGTAGAATAACAGATTTTGGAGACTCCAAAACTGGGAGGATGGGAGAGGGGTGAGGAAAACAATACCACCTACTGGGTATAATGTACATTTATTTGGGCGATGGGTACTAAAAGCCTGGACTTTACTAGTATGCAATATATCCATGTAACCCAGTTGTGCTAGTATCCCTAAATCTATTTTTTATTAAGTCCTTCACCAGACAGCTCATTGATAAATAAGCCTTGCTGAGGAAATTCCTTGCTCCATTCTGATCACTCTCATCTTCTCACCAGCTCCCCTTTTCTTATCTCCTGTTTCTAGTTTCTGTCCCTCCCATTCATAAAGTAACTATCATTCACATTTTAACTCACTCTTTCATTAATATACTCTGTGCCAAGCACTAGGATAAACACCTTTTTCTAGGATCCTATTGTCCAAAATCAACTAAGACCTTAATTTTCTCCAAGGACCTTTCTCTGACATGGTAGACAAAATGTTGATATTGTACCTGCCTGCATTATTTAACCAAGATGTTGCCTTTCATATTACCTTATAGGTCTGACACATAGTAACACCCAGATAACATTATATTAAATGCATATATGCACACACACACTCTTATACATATACATCTATATGTATACATCAACAAATATATATAAATTCATATACCCAGACATGACTCAGTATCCATATTAACAGTTGGAATGACTTGCATATTTTTCACTGAATTGAATATGTATTAGTCACATGATTACCATATTTAATCCAGGTTATAAACTGCTTAATGGTTATTCCTGTTTTTAATCACCACTCTCTGGCAGTTAGTATTAATTTGATGTTATTTGTCAGTAAAGGCAATATGAGTGTGGGCTCTGGAGCCACACTCTTTGGCCTTAAATTTTGGCTCAACCACATGTTAGCTGTTTACCCAGCATGGAAAACTCTTGTACAAAAAGTGAGCAAATTAATTCCACTGCATTACTAGTGGAAGAAAGATGGAGTCTATGCCAGTTCTCTGTACTAGTGTTTATGGAAATGAATTAGTACATTGTTGTTAGTTGCCTGATTTAACAGCTTGACCTAGCTACAGGGCTAACATGACGGCAGCTGGGGCAGAAAGCCTCAGAATTCAGAGATGTCCTCCACAAAAGGAACCTTAACTAAGTGTGTGACCCAGTGCCTCAGGAATTCACACCCTGTTGTGGAATTCTGCTGCAACCAATTCATACACGTTTGAAGCCAAAGATGCCATGCACTAAGTGCACCAAGCAGACTGTTCCCCAAGTATAATTCACATTTGGAAGTGCATTAATCATGGCCATTGGTTATTATAGTACATTCCAAAATTAATTTCTGGAGGTGCCCCCTAGTGGTATTGGAGTTAAAAGCAGCTCTTCCATTGTCCCACCCCTGCCAAATACCCAAGCTTTGGACCCGCGCATTTTGAAGGTTACAATTTACAGTCTGATTTAGTGGACTTTCAATTCACTAAATTAGTCTCCAAAGGAAAAGTGTGGTGACCGTTTGTATTTCTACAGGAATTGAGACTATTGAGGGAGGGATATGTTAGAAACAAAAATAGCAATTGTGCACAATGCTTTACAATTATTATCCCATTCAATTTTTTACATGACATAGATACTATTCTCTCAGCGAAGTTAAGCAACTTTCCTAGTAGTGAAACAGCTAGTAAGTGATGGAGTTAGGACAATAACAAAGGTCTATTTGACTCCAAAACCTCAGCTCTTGAACACCGTATGACTTCCACGTTCTCAAGGAGTCACTATCAAGTCCACTGGGGAATTTCATTCTACCTCCTGGCTCTAACGCTTCTTCCCTGACTATGCCTCTAATGTTGGCTGAAGGCCTCCACCTCGGGCTCTGTTTGGTTTCTGCACGGAGCTAAAATGCTGGCTTTTGAGGAACGGCTGAGCCAAGGTTTGTCATCTCTTTTGTCATTCAGTCCTCTGCATCAGTTTTTTTAAAAAGTGCCCAAGTCCTTATTTAACTGACTAAAACACAAGTTAAATAAACAGTCACTGAGCTTTCTGGATTTACTGAGTCAACGTCTACATGTACTTTATAGACTTCTGCATATGCACAGTTTTCCAGATCATTTTGAAAAATTAGTTCCTTCATACCACATTATTATCAATGAATAAATAAGGGTTAGCTATTTCCCTACCAAACTCCTTCAGTCAATATCCTATGAGTTGGATAAACTAAGTAGGATTCAAAACACTTGAAAAACAATGCAGAAGACAACCCTAGGGCTTAGTTTGTGGACTTTGTCTGTTTCCCTGGTGATTTCATCGGGTCCTATGACTTTAGTTATCCACCATATGCTGATAACTGTCATACATCTCCAGTTCCTCCAGTCACCTACTAACCATCTCCACGTGGATGTCTAACAGGCATCTTGTAATTAGCATGTTCAAAATGAACTCCAGATTCTCCCTCCACAGACTTGCTCCACCCACAATATTCTCCAGATCAGTGTTAAATCAAGTTTAGCCTAAGCCTGCCTTTTTACATATTTAAAGTTCAGCCTAAGGTTTCTCTGTCTATCATGAATTATTACCTAAAGGGAAGTGTAAACAGACTGCAGCCTACTCTTCTGCCAATCACCGAATTTTGGCCAATCCAATGTGGCCAACTGTTCAAACTGTGTTCAAATAAGGCAGATGCCAAACTATAACCAATCTGGCTGTTTTCTGTACCTGTCTTATGTTTTCTGTATGTCACTTTCCTTTTTCTGTCCATAAATCCTCTACTATGTGGCTGTGCTGGAGTCTCTGAGCCTACCCTGGCTCAGGAGGCTGCCTGATTCGCGAATCGTTCTTTGCTCAATTAAATTCTTCTAAATTTAATTTGGCTAAAGTATTTTATTTTTATCATCAGTGAATAGCAACTCCATCTTTCCAGTTACTCAGGCCAGAATCTTTGAAATCATGCTTGAGTTCTTTCTCTACTTCATGTCTACTATCCTGGTGTAAGCCCTGATCATATCTTACTCTAAACATTGCAATAGTCTCCCAACTGGTTTGCCTACAGTCTCTTCTCCAAGCAGTACCAGAATGCTCCTATTAAAATAAAAAATGGCTCATGTCACTCTTCTGTGCCTAATTTCTCAATGCCTTCCTATCTCCCTCAGAGCAAAACCAAAGTCTCCTCAAAGAGCAGGCACACTGCTCCCCTCCTGCTGCATTCTACCTTCCCATTAATCACCTCGTGCTCTGGTCTGGGATCCCTCTCCAACCCCACTGGCCTTCGTCGTGTTCCCTGGCCCAGGTACACCATCACTCCAGCGCCTTTACACATGCTGCGCCTTGCCTGGGATCCTCACCTCACAAAGCCGCAGGGCTCACTGTTCACCTCCTTCACATCTTTGCACAAACATTAACTTCCATTACCTCCCCTTTATTCTATTTAATGTTGCAGCACCCCCATCTGAGTCCTTTCTATTCCTTCTGTCTGCTTTATTTTTCTTCATAGAATGGATCCCTTGGAACATGCTTTATGATTTACTTGCTTATTTTATTTTATTTACTCTCTGTTGTTCCCACTAAGATGTCAGCTCCATGAGGGTATGGCAGGGATTTCTGTCTGTTTTATTTACTGATGTCTCCCCAGGACCAAATATAGGACCTGACATATAAGAGACACTCAGTAAATATTTGTTGACTGGAAGGATAAATGAGTTATATTCCCACTGACGCAGAATGTTGGTGTTGTGAACAGAAAATCGTATCTGGCATTTTGAACTATTCTAAGATCAATCTCTTTCACATTCCTACCAAATGTCCATTTTTTTTCTGGTTTCTTACCAAAATGGCTAACCATGGGGAAAGTTTTGGGCATTTGATCTAGTGAACAAATGTAGACTTCAATAAATGGCCACTGAGGAAGCCAAGACTTCCTAGGAGTTCTTATCCCCCATCAACTACCAAGCTATGGTAATGAAGGCATTTTTACTCACCCAATCCACGTCATCCCTTCTCCATGGAGGCAGAACCTAATCCTAATGTTCACACCTTTGAGACCATGTGCTCAGGAAATCACCAGGCCTGGTATGACTGGTTTAGTCACCTGGTCTTATTCTCCTGGTTGTATGAGACATTGTATGAGACATGAGCAGATGACTTAATTTTAGTCTAATTTGATGGAGCTTTTGAGATGTTTATTTCCCTCCTGAAAACATGAATTCTTGGGCCTTATTTCCAGAGATTCTGATTTGGTAGGTCTGAGGGGAAGTTTGAAAATTTGTATTTTTAACACCACCCCTAACTTCACATTGAAAAATTAAAAATATTAAAAAAACCAAAACTACTCTATCACGCTAATGAAGTAGGGCTGCTCTTACCCAGATGACTATCTGTTAGGAAGCAGACCAAAGGATTCAGTACCTTTGCCAGGCAGTTCCCCAGGAATTTCATGAGATCATCCCTCACTTTCTAATTGAGGGTCTTCACTGTTTTTGAGCCAAAGACTGCTGATTGTGGGAGTGCTTCATGCCTCTGCTCTGGCCATCTCTGGCCTCTGAGACCAGGAAGCTACAAATATTCCCACTGGCCATGATCACTGACTACTAGTTCATACCCCCGAAGATGGGCGGGCTAGAGGGGCTTTGTTCCTCTGAGGGCTATGTCTTGGTTTCCTCTACTGTTTATTTAGGAACAACACTAAGATATGCCAAAACCAGATTATTGTCTTGCCTACATCTTCTCAAAAGAGATTAATATTTCATTACACCTCTGTCTATCAAGACTAGTAGAAATCTGGGTTGGGATAAAGCATGTTTTCACTGTTTAAATGCTAGAACAACATTTAAATGAGGATACTTCTCTCTCATTCTGCTAAGACTCATGCACTTTGCAGAACAGGTACAACAGGAAGTAGCCCCTGCTGTAAAGTAAGCAGGACCACACCTAAGGCTGTTTGAGCTGAAGAATGTAGGAAAATGCTTTCCTTATGCTTTATGCAATGAACCAACAAAGAAGTCAGGCTTCTCTGGTGTTCTGCAGGTGATTGATTTTTAGAGAAGCAACACTGCATGGGGAGTCTGGCTCCAGATTTAGCTTCTAAATTGATTACTAACTTGAAGAAAAAGGACCTGAGAATTACGTACTAATCTTGGTGTTTACATTTCCCACCAAAGCCACTAACTGTCTGGGGCTCTTTTTCCCCAAGGACTTCCACAATCCTCAGATATAATCTATACTTTTCATTACTGTTTTCAGGACCATTCACTTATTTATCAGCAAGTATTTCATGGGCCTGGTACTAGTTATCAATCGTACTTCTAATTTCATCATTGAAATAGTAAACATACTTCAATTTTGTCAATTATCAAGTCCAGAAGCTAGGGGGATCCAGCCACAATGTTTTATCAATGTGGATAGTTTGTCCATGAGGCAGAAGTATATTTTTCTCTCAATTTTCAAGCAACACTGATTGATGGAAAGGTGATCTTTACTTACTGCCTCAGGCAAATAATTGAGCACCTAAAGATTTGGAGTCTATATTTGGAATGTGAATTTTTCTCTCCAGTAAATTCATTCATGCATTCATCTGACAAATAATTGAGTATCTGATATGTGCCAGGCATGCATCTCTGGGCTAGGGATAGAGCAGTGAACAAGTCAGACACACTTCTCATGTACAAAGAGTCTACGTCCTGCTGGGGAGCCAGGCGAAGAACAGGCAGAAAACACATGAATGAAATAATGCCAGGTCAACATTGCTCATCATGAGGGAAATGCAAATCAAAACCACAATGAGATGCCATTTTACCACTATTAGGACAGTTATTACAAAACAAAAATAAAGAAATCCTAGAAAATAACAAGTGTTGGAAAAGATGTGAAGAAATTGGAACCCTTACGCATTGCTTTTGGGAATGTAAAGTGGTGCAGCTGCCATGGAAAACAGCGTGGAGGATCTTCAAGAAATCAAACATAGATTTACCATATGATCCAGCAATTCTACTTCTGGGTATATACCCACAAGAAGTGAAAGCAGAGACTTGAACAAATATTTGTACACCCATGCTCATAACAGCATTATTCACAATAGCCAAAAGGTGAAAACAACCCAAATATCCATTGATGTCTGAATAAAGAAAATGTGGCATATATAAACAATGGGGATATTATACAGCCTTAAAAGAGGTTCTGACACATGCTATAACATGAGTACACCATGCTACATGGAATAAGCCAGACACAAAAAGACAAGTACTGTATTGACATGGTTTGGCTGTGTCCCCACCCAAATCTCATCTTGAATTGTAGCTCCCATAATCCCCACATGTTGTGGGAGGGGCCTGGTGGGAAGTAACTGAATCATGGGAGCAGTTACCCTCATGCTGTTCTTGTGATAGTGAGGGAGTTCTCAAGAGATCTGATGGTTTTATAAGGGGCTTTCCCCGCCTTTGCTTGCACTTCTCCTTCCTGCCACCATGTGAAGAAGGACGTGTTTGCTTCCCTTTCTACCACGATTGTAAGTTTCCTGAGGCCTCCCAGACATACTGACTATAAGTCAATATATAACCCAGTCTTGGGTATGTCTTTAGCAATGTGAGAACGAACTAATAAATGTATGATGCCATTTCTATGAGGTACCTAGAATAGTCAAACTCACTGAGACAGAAAGTAGAATGGTGGTTGCCAGTGGCCAGGGGAGAGAGGTTTAATGGGTTCAGAGTTTCAGTTTGGGAAGATGAAAAGTTCTGGAGGTGAATGACGGTGATGGTTGCACAACAGTGTGAATTATTGAATGCCACTGAAGTGTATACTTAAAATAGCTAAAATGGCAAATTTTATGTTATGTGTATTATGACATAATAAAAAATAACAGAAAGTGAAAAGATATAAAAACAATAAAACAGGAGAGTAACTGGTTGCTCTCGGAATGGAAGGAAGCTACTAATTCCAATTAGGTTTCCAGGAAAGGACCCACTGAGAAGATACTGGCTGAGCTAGGAAGCCTTGTGTTTAGAAGAGGTATAATCTATCAAAAGGAGAGAGAAAATTTAAAAATGGAGAGTTTGGGGAACATATCACTACATCTTAAGAATCTCAGCCATCACTTTATAAGCTTTAGCTTTCCTTTTCATGTAAAGGGCATAGAGAAGCCATGATTTCAAAGGCAGTTTCTTGGGATGTTCTAAAATTTAATTGAAAAAATATTTCATGTTCTCTAGATTCATTCCTCTCCCTAAAGGGAAGTTAATGCTTAGTAGTTGCATACTGTAAAGACATTGATGATTTAAAACTAAATCATTTGACAAAATCCACCAGAAGCAAAGCCAATATTTATAGAATTTCAGAACCATAGCACTTCTGAACTAGAAAGGGCCCGTCACAGCTCTTTAGTCCTCTCCTCTGAAGCTTGATTTCTCTCTATAGTGTATCCACCAAGTTGTTACCTGGCTTCTGATGAGGCACCTCTAGATGGCAGGATCTCAGAACATTCAGGGTTTCCATACAATCTTGAGATGGCTCTCTCACTGGGGACAGAGAGAGAGAGAGAGAGAGAGAGAGAGAGAGAGAGAGAGAAAGAGAGAGAAAAAGCGAGCAGATCAAAGAGAGATCAAAGTGATCCTGCTTTGATCCCAGATCCATTTTTTGGAAACTTTTACCTGATTCTATTCACCAGGCTAATTTTATGTATCAACTTGACTAGGCTACAGGGTGCCCAGATATTTGGTCAAACGTTATTCTGAGTGTTTCTGTGAGGATGTTTTTGGGTGAGAGTAACATTTAAGTCAGGAGATGGAATAAAGCAGATAGCCCTTCATAATGTGGGTGGGTCTCATCCAATCAGTTGAAGGCCTGAGTAGAACAAAAGGCTGACCTTTCCTGGAGAAAGAGAAACTTCTCCAGCCTGAGCTCAGCCTTTAAACTGGGATATCAGTTCTTCTAGTTCTATAGCAGCTTATAGCCTTCAGACTGCAAACCTACCACTCTTCTACTTCCTTAAGGCTATATATGATAGAAAAAATAAGGTGGGTGGGTGAGGATAAATATCTTCCAAGTACATTAAAGGGGAAAAGGGAAGGGAAATAAGATTCGATGAGAGTTGCTTAACACACAATTTGATTTCATCTTTATTTACAGATGTGGAAACAAAGATTCTTGGAACCTAAGTAGCTTATCTACATAGTTAAGAAGTAATTGATATGGGACGGAAGCCCAGATCTCTCTGATCCTGAAGCCTGTGGTCTGTCCCCTGTGCCATATCACACAGCATACACACTGTGGGCACTTGAAAGAATTTCCAGAATGATATAAATTGATGGCACGAACATACAAAAGACAGTGCCCAAAAGAGAAAAAAAAAGAGATAAAAGTATAATACAAGGAAAAGTTAAATTTAATAGGAAATATGTTATTAATTTATCTACTTGTACTTTGTCTTCCTACAGAATTCAGTAATTTTCATAGTAATGCATTTTCACTGCCAGTAGCAAAATCGGTGGCAAAGGAAGAATAATTGTTTTCAGGAGAGCTAAGGGATGAGAAAAATTGAATTTAGAAAACTCAATACACAGTTAATAATCATCTTTAAAGTCTGAATTATGATGAAAACTGTAAATGCTCAGAAAATAGTAGAGGAAAATAAAAATTTAAAATTAAAATCACACAAACAATCTACAATTCTAAAATAAAGAGGAAAAGAAAATGAAACAAAGAATTCCACTTAGTTTGGACCCTTGAAAAACCATAGTCTAAAACCACACTCCCATTTATATTAAATAATAATGAATGAGGACAAATCTGGTATCCAACAACATTTTAGAAAAGTCTGACTCCAGTTTTTATCCAGCTATAGGGATGGAGGTTCCCTATTCACTGAAGAAGCAACAGTGTGATATCAGGGAAGAATTCAGTTATCACTCACCATGTAAAACCACCACTGTATTCAGAAAGTGGGCATTTTGCACATATAACATTTCCATGAACCATACATGTATGCACACAAGCACTCATGTGTGCACACACATATACACACTCACAGGCAAGGTGATTTTTTTCCTTCATCCCTGTCAGTGCCCTGTGGTGGCGGTCATTGATCTCTATGTGACCCAAACTCCCATGGGGCATGGCAATGCATCTGTGCTATGGCGACAAAGTTCAACAGCTCACACACTTGGATGCTATGGTAATATCAAATTGCTTTAACATTTCTAAACACTCTCAATTTCTGTGCTTATTGTGAACCACACTTTGACCACTCATTTTCTTCTGGAAATTAAAAAAAATCTATATATATCAAATATATGAACACATAGATCGTTTTTATCAACATAAGAGGAATCAAAAACAGATTAGTCCATTACTTGCCTTTTGTACTTAATTGATATCTTTCTTACTGGCCACCAGCTCCACAGCATGTTCCTGGTGAAGGCCTCAGAGCTCCACCCCTCCCTCTGGAGGCCAAGTGGGTCCATGTAACAGGCCTGGCATCTGTACCAGGATGGCAAATGAGAGGCTGGGACTCAGCACATAAAGTGGATTTTCTGCATGGCTGAGCCAAGTGCTTCCAACCATCCAGCCACATGTTTCTCTATATGGTCCTGGCAGCTATGGCTTAGGATAGAGCCAGAATTTGGCTTGATTTCTACACTGAAAAGCTTGATAGAATGCTGGGGTGGTGCCATCCCATAATAAAAGAGGTGGTTCCCTCAGACTGGCACACCATTCTCATTTGCCTTGGGAGTCCCTCCAAAAGGAAAGGGGGCTTAAGTAAAAGTGGGTGTGTCCATGTGATCCCTGCCAGGGCCTGGGTGGAGAAGGGAAGCGGGGGCAGCTGAGGGAAGGTGGATGAAGAAGAAAAGTTCTGAGCGATTGGAAGCTGGTGCCAGTTGGAGCTGGAAGACGATGTTCGGCCGCCTCCTTCTGCACATGTGTGGCCACCAGGGGATTGCCTGGCTATGTACGCGGCTTCACATCTGTCAGCTAAATCAAAGATGCATAATTGAAGATGCAAAGCGAGAAGCATGACGTGGTTCACGAGGCTCCCCAGAGGTTTTGGATCTGTAATCCAGTGAGGAGATTTTAATGAGATTTGAGTCAAGTGTTCTCATCTGTGGGAGAGGGTCTCACTCCAGCTGTGCTCAAGGATGCGGAAAACACTTTTTTGAAAAATTCGGGCGGTCTTTCTTGATTGGTCACTGCCTACCCATTTCCCTTGGCACCCTTGGGCCTTCCTCCCAAAGAAATGCTTCTTTTTGAAGCTTGGGCAATTTCTGAGCATGAGGAAGGCTCAAGAGATGCTATGATTGAGGTGTTAGGACAAATGAGTCAAATAAAACCATTAACCTGGTACAGTTCCTTAGAACCAAATTTAAACATTTCCAAATGTTTCATCATAAAAGCAATACATATTCAAGATAAATATTCAAACAATACATAAGGATGGAAAGTGTGAAATAAAAGTGTAAATGGGACTTTTTGCTCACATTCTGAGAACACTATTTCCCAAACATTCTCTGCTGTAGAAATAATACTTTCTTGATTCCAATTCTCATAGACCAATACTTTTGTAAAATACATTAAAATTACTGAGTTGGGCGTGGTGGCTCATGCCTGTAATCCTGGCACTTTGGAAGGCTGAGGTGGGCAGATCACTTGAGCCCAAGGGTTCAAGACCAGCCTGGGCAATATGGCAAAACCCCATCTTTACAAAAAAAAAAAAAAAAAATGACCCAGGTGTGGTGGCATGTGCCTGTAGTCCCAGTTACTCCAGAGGCTGAGGTGGGAGAATTGTTTGAGCCTGGGAGGCAGAGATTGCAGGGAGCCAATATTGCACCACTGCTCTCCAGCCTGGGTGACAGAGTGAGATCCTGTCTCAAATAAAAATAATAATAATTACTGAAATAATTACAAAAAAGTACCCAAATACATATAAAGTACAAACTCACTAGAAACAATACAAAGTTCAACAGCTCACACACTTGGATGCTATGGTAATATCAAATTGCTTTAACATTTCTAAACACTCTCAATTTCTGTGCTTATTGTGAACCACACTTTGACCACTCATTTTCTTCTGGAAATTAAAAAAAATCTATATATCAAATATATGAACACATAGATCGATTTATCAACATAAGAGGAATCATACTAAACAGATTAGTCCATTACTTGCCTTTTGTACTTAATTGATATCTTTCTTACTGGCCCTTAAAGATCTATCTCATTCCTTTTCATAGCTGTCTTGTATTTCATTGTATGAAGGTGCTACAATTTTTTAAAACTAGTCTCAATACTTATGGACATGCAGGTGGTTTCTACATTCTGCTTATATTGAAAATGTAAAGGCATAACCTCCAGAAATGGACTGGTGTTCATTCTGTTTACCTTTTGATGCCAAAGTCACCACTAGCACTTGCTAGAATTTCTTCCTTGTGAACAAAAGCAAAATGTTTTGCAGCCCAAAGTTTCCTCTCCTTCAAACCAGCTTATTGAGCACTCTGAGTCACACCAGTGCTAAAATGACCAGAACAAGCATTTGTCACCATGCATAGCATAAGGCACACCCTCCTCCAGAGGTGAGGGCTGGGTGCCTACCGCAAGAGGATGGAGATTAATTCTTCAAGGGGAGCCTTTGCGTTTTCCTTTAAGTAGCAGAAAAGTGAATATGCAGCAATGAATGCAGACTGGCTCAGGGGCCCCAGAAAGCTGAAAGCACACCGCAGCCACTCAGCCAATGGTGAACTCTTACCCTGGTGGCTCAGACCTCACCAACAGAGCCTGCATGAAGGGAGGTCAGCCTTGGTGACTAATCTCAGCTTAGTTCCCAATTCCTTTTTTTCAGTGTTTTCCAGAAGAAGTGAACTGGGGCTCTACATGATCTCCTGCATGAGTTTTCATGTTACTGCTAGGGCTTCAAGTGGCTGATTATGGGAGCAGTTAGCTTTGTGTGTGAACCACTTCCAGGCAGGCAGGTCTAGTCAAGATGAACCTGAGTGTTTGGCCACAGAAGACTCCCTCTGGGCCCAGGGCATGACCCAGGAGAGGGGCGTAGTGTTTCTTATGTTTATAATTCAGATGTCTCCAACAACGCAGCCAATTAGTCAGGACTCCGGGCATGTTTGGAGATACTGGAAAGGATTCTGTGTTGAAGGCAAAACTGCTCAAGCAGAAAGATGAGCTTTCTTTTCTATATTGGGTCAGCCAGGTCAAAAAAAAAAAAAAAAAGGAGGTTTTAGGTTTGTACCATAAAATTCATCAACTTGGTTTTAGTTAACCCCAATGGGAGGAAGCAGCAATGATTCCCCTTTGCATTTTCAGTTGAGAAGAGAAATGATCTTAGATACCCCAAAGACTGATAGGGACCTGAAAGCCTCTTGTGTGGGAACTGGATGCATCCTGAGGGAACCGAATTCTTTGGTTCTGATAAAACTTCAAGCAAAAACTCCTGAAGAGAGCAGCCCAGAGCAGAGGCGTCCAGGAGAACAATCAAGTGTGAGTTACATTGAGAAAGGATGCATTTCGGCAAGGGATGATTTAGCTTTGCTTCTGGAACGTGCATTATCCATGTCAAAGGAGGCTGCAGAGGGGTTTGAGCAACAACCCAGAGACACATGGGCATTTTCGTTATTCAGCTCATGTTCATTCTGAGCTCTGAGATGAAACCCTGAGTCCCAGGTATTGCCCACACTGGGAGAGAACTCAGGCTCAGCATTTCATCAGTGACCTGCCAGCCCCTAATGCACAACTCTTGTAGGATTTTTTTTTAAAACCCTGCAAAGAGCCCTTTGAGTGCAAACCTGCCCCAGCAGGCCTGCCTTCACATCTCCTTCAGAAATGTTTTCTTTTCCTTCTGAATATGCTCATTTGAGTGGGCACCCTTTCTGCTCTCAGCGTCTTTTGTGTGAAAGTAAGGTTGCCATCTAAATCTAGGAAAAGCAATCTTGAAATGTGTATCTAGTTTCCTTCTGAAAAAAACAGGAGACCTTTTTTTCTGTACATATCATCTCCGTTTTGTCGTTCTTATGAGGGACATTTTGTTGTGCTGACATAGAAATGCTTATTCTTTTCTTCAAATTCCTGATTTTACAAACTATCCAGCAGACAAGCTCTAAATGTTTTGTGGTTCTGAGACAACCCTTGGTTACAAGTGAGCTCTCCTTGGCCGAGATGATCTCATTTATGTCTTACAGAGGAGAAAACCAAGTCCCCAAAGGGGAAAGGCCAGGATCACAGAATAATTGAGTCAATACCAGTAGAAAAGGATCACCTGTTTCCTCCTCACACGGTAAAGCTCTCATCTCCAGTGGATAGTGACTCAAGCAGTTATAGCTCACGCCTGTAATCCCAGCATGTTGGGAGGCCAGATCACGAGGTCAGGAGATTGAGATCATCCTGGCCAACATGGTGAAACCCCGTCTCTATTAAAAATACAAAAATTAGCTGGGTGTGGTGGCGCATGCCTGTAATCCCAGCGACTCAGGAGGCTGAGGCAGGAGAATCGTTTGAACCCAGGAGGCGGAGATTGCAGTGAGCCGAGATCACGTCACTGCACTCCAGCCTGGTGACAGAGCAAGACTCCATCTAAAAAAAAAATAGAAAGAAATTGCTAAGTCCATCCTTGGGCACATTTTTCCTTATGTCATCTTCATAAATGAATCAGTGTACATCTTTCCCATGCATGCTTTCTCTCTGGTTAAGTGAGGGAAGAAGCTGGCTGTTCACTGGCAGTCGCTGAGGACTTCGCTCCTGGGATGTGCCCAGGAGATGTATGTGGACACTACAGTTTCAGGGGCAGCAGGAACTGCCTCCCTTGTGATACAGCCTTCAAGATGCTACTTTGTTCTGCATCATCACAGACCACGGCAAGGCCAATCCAAATTGCATTTCACAAGGCACAACTAAATAATAACTTGTGACATTATTGCCATGTTGATTTAGGCAGCTAGGCAGAAGGAAGGAAGGAAGGAAGGAAGGAAGGAAGGAAGGAAGGAAGGAAGGAAGGAAGGAAGGCAGGCCTCATGAAGAAAATCTCTGGAGTAGAGAGATAGTAATTTTTTTATTGCTCTGTCTTAGGTAGGCAAGGAGAAGCTTGGTCCCTACTGACCAAGGCCTCTCAAATTGAGTGGGAGAGAAAAATTGAACACCAGACTTAGTGCCATTCACTGCCTGTCATGGGGAGGGTCCTGCCAGCTCCATACTGGCACTCCCTGAGTTTGTCTACACACACAAGATTTTTCTGTTCTGAAACAAATGGTTTAGTCAGAGATATAGGAGAGCAAAATGCTACTGCACACATATTGTAACTTTTGAACATTTTTTCACCTCCTGTCTAACTCCGTCACTCATGTCTGTATTTACTGATGATATGGAATGCCAGCGTGCGTGTTTAAGGGGAACCCCCCAGGAGAGGGCTTTAGCTCCCTCCCAAATAACACATCAAGGGTGGAGGGGGAAAGGGAAGGAAAGAGGTAGGGAGAAAAGGTGATCACAAGAAAAGAGAAAGGGGAAAAAAAGGAGAGAGGAAGAAAGGAAAGAAAGGAAAAAAAGTGTAAAGTGGTTTTTGCCTCATTATTAATTTTCATTCTTGCCAAAGTTGCTTGGCAGATTCTTAGAGGCTGCAGAGCATGTTCCTTGAAAACCAACTGGATGTCATGACCAGGCTTAAAAGCATCTCTTTAATTACAGCCACAGAGATATTCCTCTTCCCTTTCATCTGGGGCCTCTAAGGAGCTCAGCTCCTGCCCATTCTCTCGTGAAAGGTTATCCGTGCCACATCACCATTCAGTTTGTGCATCCAAACAGAAGCCTTGGAGCATTTTCTCCTGGCTTTGGTTGGCACGGCCGGCCTGTGGGGTGCGACTCTACTACTCTCCCCGTCTGCCTTTTGCTCTCCTCTTGAGGACTTATCAGATTAGTGGCCTGCTCTGTGCCACATGTGTCCTTCACGAGAGCATTCACTTCAGGCCACTTCCTCGAAGGGGCTGTGACTGCGCTCCTCTCTCTCAGAAGATGCGAACCAGGAAAATATTTGCTCCTCTCTCTCTATAGAGTTGGCTTATTTTAAAGTTGACTTGATTGAGTTGCAGAGACTGCTATAGAGCATTTAAAAATGATTTGCAACAATTACTGAAAGTCAGTTAATCTGTACAAATTTCCACAGAGGATCATAGACTACATTTTGTTGATAAAGTAACAAGCCAGTAATCTTAACTGGAGCCAGCTTAAGGTCTCAGTTTGTGAATTATTACACTGGTCTCTTGATCTTAGGATATATTTGCATATAAGTAATTTAAGAATTAACATGGGATAGATCTGTAGTGATACCAAATGATATATAAATATATGGACTATTACAGTATTTAGGAAAATTTGATCAAATTATCAAATCAACTATAAAGATATGCATATTGACGTATAACAGATTGGCTAATTTTGAGGACATAGTTACCTCTGGATACTAGGAGCTAATTATTCATCTTGTATAGATAGTATCTGGGTTTAATTTTAGTTTTTGTTCTTTTTCCTTCCTGCTGCCAGATTTCTGCTTATATTATTGCTGAAAAGTGGGGATTAGACAAGAAAGAAGAAAATGTATAGCTCAAATCTATTCATTTTATCTTGTCAAAATCTTTCAAAACAACGGATTATAGGTAGATTTCAATCATATGACTTATTTGCATATGTGAGCAGGTACCATGCAGGGATAAACATAGCGAAGGCAACACCACCAATGCTAGCCAGACCTCTTATGGAAGTGAGGTGCTAATATAGAATATCTCTGGTATGTATTCAGAAAATTGTATCTCAACAGTAATAATGATCATATCACTAACAATTCCTATTGGATGCTTACTATCAGGCACTGGGTTAGTTGTTTTGTATATATTATCTCATTGAATTCTCACGATCACCCCAAGGAAGAGTTTCCTGATTCTATTTTTTTGCATGAGGAGACTGGGCTCAGGAACACTGCCCGGCAGAGGGGAAAGGCAGCTCCGGGTCACAGTGCTGCCTTCCACTGACACTCCTTTCCTGGCCCAGGCCCCTATGGAAACTGGTTCTGGGAACGGCAGCCATGAGATCTGCCCGAAGTCACACAGATAGCAAGAATTTGAAACTAAGTGTGTGACAGCACAATCATGGGATATTTAAAAGGCTCATACTTCCCTGAATATTGCAAATTAATCTGAGTTTGAAAATATAAACTGTCATCAATTCTAATATAATGTGGCTATCAAGCATTTAAATCTGGAACTGAATCCTAGTTCAATTCTTAGTTCTGCTACTTAGTAGCTGTGTCACCTTGGGGACATGAATCTCTCTAAGTTTAGTGCCTTCATCTGTTAAATGGGATGATATGTTATGCCCATCTCCTTGAGTTGGTATAGGGATTCATTGAAGGAATGTTTGTAAAGAGCTCACACCTGTGCCTGGTGCCAAGCAAGCCCTCAGTAAATTTTAGTATTAGCCTATCTCTCTAGCACAAAGCAGAGTTTAAGAATACGTCATTATCTTGAATTAATCCAACATACTTATTCAGACAATTTAGCAAAAATAAACCTATTACCTAAATTATATAGACCCTGGTAGCTATGTGGATACATGAGCTTACAACTACCATAAGAAGGTGAACATCATGTCATAATTATCTTCCTGTAGTTTAAAATGCCTGCCTTAAAGCACGAAAAGCAAAGAGATTAGGTCTTGGAATTTCAAAAAGTAAGAGTTGTTTTATAAAACAAGCAAAACATGCTAACTAAATTATATCTAATGCAGACTCCCAAACACAAATGAAAAATGAAAACACTGATTCTGAGATAGTATTTAATTATTATCACAGAGGCCCAGATCTGAGTTTTTCTCTGGAAGGATTTAGGACTGTAAGAACATTCATTTGTCTATTTGCTCACTCATTAAATCATTCTCTTTTATTTGTGTAACAAATATTTACTGAGTGCTGCTAAGTTGGACTCAGTTAGTGCTGGAGATATTAGGGTGAATCACATAAACTTTTTCCCTGTCCTTGTGGGGTTTCCAGTCCACTGGGAGGGAGAGGATATTACACTATTACAAAGGGGATGAATGTTTTCAAAGAGAACTCTGCCTCTTAATCACTCTGCCACTGGAGGGAAGGGAAACAGGAAGAACTTTGAACTGTTTGTGCTGGGTAAGAAATGCTTACTGGACCACCTCAGGTATTTGGGTGGTGGTGGTAGGGGGTCTGGAAATAGCTTTTTACTGTTGTAGAGGGGTCCTTGCTTGATTTGATGTGGGTGCTCATGTAGGAATCAGACACAGTAGAGCACACCGGGAAGACCAGAAAAGGCAGCCTATCAAGTCCATTATTAGAAATTGTTTAGCTTCCCAGGCAGGTGAGGTGGCTCATGCCTGTAATCCGAGCACTTTAGGAGGCCGAAGCAGGTGGATCACAAGGTCAGGAGTTCAAGACCAACTTGGCCAAGATGGTGAAAACCTGTCTCTACTAAAAATACAAAAATTAGCCAGGTGCAATGGTGGGCACCTGTAATCTCAGTTACTTGGGAGGGTGAGGCAGGAGAATTGCTTGAACCCAGAAGGTGGAGGTTGCAGTGAGTGGAGATCGTGCCACTGCACTCTAGCCTGGGTGACAGAGCAAGACTCTGTGAAAGAAAGAAAAAGAAAGAAAGAAAGAAAGAAAGAAAGAAAGAAAGAAAGAAAGAAGGAAGGAAGGAAGGAAGGAAGGAAGGAAGGAAAGAAGGAAAGAAGGAAAGAAGGAAAGAAGGAAAGAAAGAAAGAAAGAAAGAAAGAAAGAAAGAAAGAAAGAAAGAAAGAGAAAGAAAGAAACTGTTAGCTTCCCAGGACAAAACTCATCTCAAGGGAGGAGCCAGCTAGGAACACTCACTCGGTCCAATAACAATGCCACCTCTCTGAGTCACAGCCTTGCCTTTCATTGAGATGGCTCCCCTGGCCCAGCCCCCAGTAGAAACTGTGTCTGTGTCCTGGGGAAGGCAGCCATGAATTACAAACAGAAACCATGGAGAAAAAAAGCCAGCCCAAGGAGAGTGGTTTTCTTATATAGGCTCCATGAGATTGAAGCACAAGCTGCCACGCGTGAAGAACGAGGTAATAGTAACAGAAGGGATTCCAGATTTATGCACACTCACCCACACTCCAAAAAAAAAAAAAAAGCCAAAACAAAACAAAACAAAACAAAACAAAAAACAAAAAAAACCATGCATGCACACACACACACTCCAAAAAAAAAAAAAAAACCACGCATGCCCACATACACACACACATCCCTTCTCTGGCTTAGGACCCAGCATGCTTTGAAGTGTTTGGAGCTCCAGCAGTTCAGCCAGTGGCCCAATGTCAAGTACTCCATCAGCAGGGGAGGCAGCAACTGCAGCTTCCTTAGTAATGGGAGGCGGTGCCCCTAAACTGTTGTTCTGATGGCAGGTCCCCAGCAGGGTCTGTGAAGAGACACCTCATATGGCTACATGTATTGCAGGAATCCTTCTGCACAGAGGATCTGAACTGGGAGGAAGAACATGGTGAGCCACAAGATTACGGGCCATCTTGCTTTTAAGAACAGATAAGCATTTTGAGCAGACTTCCAAAACTAGTTGAGAGGCCAGGAGGGCCTATGTCCCTTCTCTTTAAATCTCAATGGGCTCTGTGATTTCCTTGACCAATAGAATATGGGAGAAGTGATGCTGGGCCAGTCACTTGGCCCAGGCCTTATGCAGCTAGAAGCTTCCAGCTCCATATTTTGAAATGCTTGTTCTTAGTGTCCTGCATTGCTAAGAAGTCTGACTAATCTGAGGCTGCCATGCTCTAAGAAGCCCAGGCTGCATGAAGAGGCCCTGGAGGATGAGACTTCATGTGGAGAGAGCGAAATGCCAAGGAGCATTGCAGGACCAGAAACGCAAGTAAAGAGACCACATTGGAAGTGATCATCTAGCTCCAGCTGCCTCAGCTGACTACATGGAGCAGAGGGGAAGCACCCAGCCAAGCCCTTCCCAAATTCCTAACCCTCAAAAGGGTAAACAAAATAACATGGTTGTTTTAAGCCCCAGTGTTTTGGGGTAGTTTGCTACACAGCAGAGGATGACTGGAAACAGAGGCCTGAAGGAAAAGTACAAGTACCAATGATTTAGAAGATGGTTGCCAGAGAGAGAAGCCAACATTGTATATCATGGCTTACTGTTGTGCTTCCAGTATGCTGTGGCCTGGGAAAACTCAGATTATACTAGAAAAGATGAAAAGTTAAAGACAGGAAGAAGGTTCCACACTGTACTGTCTTGGCATTCCTCTGTGTATCCTTTTCCTCTGCTACCCTCAACGTGTATGTTTCAAAGGATCTTGAAACATCTTGAAACAAAGGATCAAAGCCGTTGAACTTTCCCTTCTCTCACTTGCATATTATTTACTCTCTTCACCTTCTCGCCCCTCCATACAGATGGCAATACATGCAGGTCTAAGCCTCTAGTTTCAAGGTATATCCTGAGTACAGGTTCCTACCTATCTGGACTGCCCACTGATACCTCTTGGAACCTGAAACTCAAAGACTCTTTTCCCACACAGAGCTAATTTTTCCACCCATCTTTCCAACTTCTAGGAATGGTTATCAGCCTTGGAGCCTTTTGAGTTGCCAAGTCATTCCCTTCTTTTTTTTTTGAGTGAAATATCATTTTTACACACCCCTCCCGTTTCTCTAGTTCTTGCCTAGACTCCTGCAATAGCCTATAGTTTATTTCCCCACCTTGTTCTCTTTCTCTCAACCATGATCTACACCAGAGTTTTTCTTATTGTGGTTGCAACCCATCAGTGGGTTATGAAAGTCATCTAAAAAATGAAACAAATACAATAGAATAAAACAGAATAGAAAGTGTTCACATTTTACACCCAGGGAAGGTATTACTTTATACAATATTGTTTTAATTAAAAATATATGTTTTAAATATGTTTGCAATGACAAATGTATTTCTTACTGTGGGCTGTGATCACAGAAAGGTGGAAAAACACTAATCTGAAGTACACATTCCCGTCAGACTGAAGTTCCTACAGTATAATCCTGGTCAGATTTCTCTCCTGCTCAAATGCCTTTGATGGCTGCCCACTGCCAACCAAAGGAAGTGGCCACTCTCATGCTGGGTCCCACAACCTTACTGACTTGATCTTAATCCTTTTTTCCAATTTATCTCCTTTTCTTCACAAGTTGCAACCCAGAGTGGGTTGCTGGTTGCTCTTTGAACATGCCCCGTGCTTTCTGGCCTCTGGGTCTTTGTTTAAGCTGTTCCATTTGCTCTGGTTTCTCCATGTATCGACTCTCATTTCAGCACCCAAGAGGCAGTGTGGCATGGTGGAAAGGGTCAGGCCTTAGAGTCGCCCCAACCGGAAACTGACTCCAGGGTCTGTCACTTACTTTCTGGACAAGTTATATAATCTAAAGACTGAATTTTCTTGTTTCTAAGAGGAGGACGTTAGGATTGGCATGAGGATTACATGAGATAATGCGCATAATGCATTCAGCACAATATGTGGCAGGCAGTAGTATCTTCTTCAGCCTCTACTGCGGTCAATATCTCCAACGTGCCTAATATTGTGTGATATAATAATATCTATTTGCATGACCATATACCACCATTATATTGCTATAAGTACAAACAATTATGACATAATATCAGGCTTGTGGAAAACACTAAAATGTTCTTTTTTGTCTTACTACAAGCTTTCTAATTTTATTCTATTTTATATTCAGTGATTCTTGTGCTTGTTAATTTTCTAGCAGACTTAAAACTCCTAGATCAGCGAAATTTTTAAAGCTATCTGGTATCTCTCACAGTACTTAGTAAACTGGCTTTCATATAAAAAGTGCTCAAAAAATTAAATGGAATTGAAAGCAGAAATGCTACCACACTGTATCCTAGCCAGAGAAAACAGTTCTACATCTGTGAGTCCTGTATAAATCTATGAAAGTGAATCCCGACTCTTTATTCAGATTTTGTTTTGAACTCACAGGATGGCTGCATGTGCACCATGTAAAGTCTCTGTACCCATGAGTATCTCCTCTTAGAGTGGAAAATAAACTCTGGCATTACTATTTGCCTTAGAGAGAAGCTAGGAAGATCAAGTCTATAAATTGTGTGGTACTTTGGGAAAGTCAGCGTAAAAGTAGAAAGCAAGAATCTGAAACTAGTTATTTTAGGGAGAAGGGAACCATCAAATCTTGAAAAGTTGGAGTGAGTCAAATGTGTAAGATCAAATGTGTAAATCCCAGGCCTGCACTTACTCACTTCTTGTAGCGAATGCTCTTTTCCTCCCAATCCATTATGCTAATACATATGCCACATTTTATGAGGCCAAGGTGAAAATGAATCAGGCTCTATTGTAACTAAGCCTGTTTAGCTGACACATGACACCCAAACGGATTTCTAGCCCAGCAATTCAGGCCCGTTGGTATCTGCTGGGAGGTGATAAATAATGAGGTAATCACAAAACATTGTCTCACCAGTGAGGAGGTGGCAAAACAGGCTTTGGATCTGAAGTTTTAACCCTTTTTGACTGGACATCTGGCCCTGCAAATATTGCTGTGATTAGGCTGTTGTAATCCTGGCCCACATCTGGGCCGGCTCCCGTGGCACAGTTTCATTGAATTTTGCAGTGTGGAAAAACATGTCGCTGCCTGCAGCTCTGTACTCTAAAAATCTTCGGCATTCCAATTGGCTCTTCACATTTCTGTGGCCCTGGAATCACCCACTGGCAATAGCTTTTGCTTACTGGCTTCAGTACACTTGGGCTTTATATTGTAAATAGCAGAGGAGAGGCCCAGGCAGAAGCCTAACTTGTTGACCAAGAGAGGGTGGAAGAAGGGAGCCAGGTGCAGTTTGAGAACCAGCAAGCTAGAGATACACATAATATCAGTTTCAGTGTCAAAACGAACAAAGGGAGAAGCAATTGTGCCACTTTCTATTAGCCTTAAAACAATAAAGAGAAAACCAGAATTGGTAAGCTGACAATGACTTGAGTTTGATTACCAATTTTTTTAATTATTAAAATTTTTATTAAAATGATTTCAATGAAACTTTTTAATAGCACTGCATCTCTCTGTCATTCTCACCCCACCGTCGCCTCTTCTGACATACACAGGCTTTCTAATTGTGGCTGCAGCATCCCTACTATATATGTAATCCCTCAGGCTGGGGCAATAAGCCACAAATTGCTTTCAGCTGACTGAAAGTTGCTTTCAGACAGACCTGGATCCAAATCTCTTCAGGTTCTGTGACATTAGGCAGGTTACTTAACTGCACTAAATCTTACCTTCCATGTCTGCAAAGTAATACGGCAATGGAAGTCATATTATAAGGTTGTTTAGAAGAGAAAATGAGTTAATGCACGGACAAAGCTAGCACAAGACCTGGTTAAGTACCTGATAAAGGATAGCTACTGGCTGGGTGGCATGGCTCAAGCCTGTAATTTCAGCACTTTGGAAGGCTGAGGCAGAAGGACTGCTTGAGGCCAGGAGTTCAAGGTCAGCTTGAGCAACAAAGTGAGACCTCTGTCTCTACCAAAAAAAAAAAAAACAAAAACCTATATCTATCTATATCTATATCTATATCTGTATCTATATTTACTGTAACAATCACTTCAAGGTAATTAAAAACTCATGTGCTAGACTGTCTTTATACTGCCTTCACAAAGCAATGTGACATTGCCTGATGCAATGCCACCTGGTATTGCTGCAGCTGTGGATAAGGGACATAGGTGATGTGGCATTACTGAAGTGTCAAGGGATAACACACTCTATTTGGCAGTGTGATCACGGGGCTCCTCCTCAGATAATGCAATTCAAGTTTATTTGTCTTAGTTTTCTATCGTGGTGCTTTTGAATATTTCTATTCTATTTCCAACAATGACAATTTTATTTTCTCCCTCTGGGAATTGTCAGGGCAGGCATGTTCTTCCTCTCCCTTCAATATTCTCACGAATGGAAGAACTTGTTCTTGAAAGAGTTGTCAATAGCTCTTCAAGTATTGCTGTTTTAAAAACTATCAGTTTTGAAGGTGGTTCAGAATTTAGAAAATTTTAATGTAGCACCATTGGAAAATGATTTAAATTAAAAATACTAGTGATTACAAAACAAAGCTAAATTCCTAAAAATCCCTAAAAATCCCGAGGAGAATCTACTCTCTTCATATTATTTTTTCCATATTCTACAAATGCTTAACAAGGATGGCAATTTATCTTTGCGTGGTGCATGTTTACATTTTTCTCCTCCCAAGGGTGTATTAGGATTTTTAACTTTCCCTTTTTGCTTAAAATTCTTTTTAAAATATGTAGACTCATATTTTTCCTACAAAAATAGAATTCATGACAAGAAAACTGAAGATATCTCTCAGAATATGAAACCTCAAATGTCACTGAAATACTTAAATTCTAATGTCATTTCTATTTTTACATTTCTTTAATTAAGATTTCTTACTCTTACACCTCTTTGGGAACTACAATTACTTTCTACCATATTTAGTGTTGTATCCTCACAGGGCCTATCATGGATCCTTGTGTGAAGAAGGCACAGTCCACATTTCCCATCAAGTCAGAGACTTTGGTATCTTTGAGAGCGGCAGCCACATATCTGTAGTAAGCCATCTAGAATCCATCCTTCCCCAGTCAATGGGCTCTAGTCTAGACCAAGCTTGGAACATAAATAGCCTTGCTCGCACTATTCACAATAACAAAGACATGGAGTCAACCTAAGTGTCCATCAATGGTGGACTGGATAAAGAAAATGTGGTACATATACACCATGGAATACCGCACAGCCATAAAAAGAGCAAAATCATGTCCTTTGCAGCAACATGGATGCAGCTGGAGGTCATCATCCTAGGCAAATTAACACAGGAACAGAAAACCAACTACCACATGTTCTTACCTATAAGTGGGCGCTAAATATTTAGTACTCATGGACATAAAGATGGCAACAATAGACATTGGGGACTTCTAGAGGTGGGAGGGAAGGAGGGAGAGACAAGGGCTGAAAAACTGTTGGATAATATGCTCACTACCTGGGTGATGGGATCATGTGTACTACAAACCTCAGTATCACGCAATACATGTACAGTAACAAGCCTGTACATGTACCTCCTGAATCTAAAATAAAAGTTGAAATTATAAAAGAAAAATAAGAATCGTCCTGCTTGGTTTACATCTATTTCAGAAAGCATTACACTATATATACACAGCATTTGTTGTTGATTACTTGTGATTTCTGGTGATTTCTATAAAACGTTAGACATCAGGCTCTTGGTGAGGCATATAATCCCCTATTACAACTGTTTCTATGAGGAAATCAGACTTGACTTATGTCTTTCTTACTTAGGTTACCTTTACTGGGAGTGTAGGAAGATTTGGAGACTGCCTGGATTTCATTTTGCCATATATAATTATGTTATGTGTATAATCAGTCTTAAAAACTTGTTGGCCATATTCTATTACTCTTGTAGCCTTCTTGACTTTGTGCATATCTGTTTTATTTAGACGTTGTTTAACTTATACTCTGGTGTCCACCTTATGCTTACATGTAATACTAGTACACCTCTCCTCCTTATCAAGAAGTGTAAATACAAAGGCCCTTCTTGGGATCAGATCTAAGATGCTGCATTTTGACTCCACAGTACAGTAACTGATATGTCAACATTCCACTGTGATAAACAAGAGGTGAAGATGTAGGTTTTCAAGAATAATCTCTTGTTAGATCAACTTTTGTTATCTGACAGCCCATCTGGTCTTTGGCCTGGCTGAAATATTTAAATCTTTAATATGCTTTTAAAGAATTATTGCCTAATATTTCCTTTAATTTGTAAACCTCAGCATTCTTCAAGTACTGTATGAGTCTTACAAAAACAGAAACACTACAACTAAAAAAAAAGATACAAAATAAATCACTGATTTAATCGTATTTTTGCAATTGTCATTTTTGGATGATAGCCAAGAATAGATTTTTTTTTGGTGGCACTTATGAGTGCAAAGTACAACTCCTTCCATTGTTATCAGAACAAAGATCACTTACTTTGAATGGCTCAAGGTATGTAAACACAGCTGGTCCAATAGCTTGAGTGGCAATGAAATACAGTGCCACGGAAGAGATGGGTTCATGGGTGACGCAAGGACTCAGACGCTCTTGTGCAAAAAGCCCAGAGGCCACAGTTTGTCTACTCCTGACTATGAGGACAAACTTGAACTCTCTAGAGAAGAGTTTCTCTCTTGCTAAACCATATAGTTTTAGAACTATATATAGTTTATTAGATTTCCCAGACAAGCAAAATTTCAAAACATTTGGGGGACTTTTATATAAAGTTGCCAACTTTTAATCTTGCCAAGCAAGAAACATAAAAAAAAAAAAACTACTGTCTCCATCATTTTATTAAAAGGGCATTTTAACATAAAAATATTAATAAGGAATAGCCCTTTAAATTGAATACATCTGAGCTTTACAAAAAAACTCCATCTTCTCATTTTGCCCTGTACCGAAGAACATTTTGTACACAGACTCTGGTGTCTGGGCTCATTGGGCCTCATCTGTGTCTGATAATTGCTGATGACCAACGAACAGAGGTCTGAGCTCGCGAGCAGCATAAGGTGGGGCACACCATTTTCCTTGGGGCCAACGAACAGGAAAGTTTGCCAAACCCTAAGATTTCACATTCCTAGATTGTGCCACTTCACGGCCACAGCTGGGCCACAGAGCACTGCTTACAGGCCATATGGACTCTGTCAGGAGCAAGTTTTGCCCCAAAAGCCTACATAGGAAGTGAAAAGGGAGAGCTCTTGTAGCCTGGCACTCAGCAGCCATATTTCAAGTGTAGCAGAAGCAAAACAAGGGAAAATTTTAAATTTAAAATCTCATTCAGACCTTCCAAAACACGTTTGTAAATCCTTGATATTTGCAAGGGCTAAATCCTGAGACATAAAAAAATCTCCAAATCCGTGAACATGGAGATATTTGCACAGGCTTCTGGCTTTTTCCAAGAATGATTTCTTTTGAAACATATGCATTTCCAAAGTCTATCTCTTCCCACACCAAGTCAATGTTTTTGAAAGATTTATTCATGTTTTATCTTTCATAGGATGACTACTTTTCTTTTTCATAGAAATCAAGTTTTTAATCACCCTAAGAGTTAGTGCTTATGTGAAGAGCAGAGAACAAAAAAAATCTGATTGGAGAGGGATGTTGGGCGGCTGACTAGGCTAACACACTAGCTCCTCAATCACTCCCTAACACTAGCTTCAAAGTACATATGATTCGAATTTGAACCTCAGCAAAACTGCCAATTAACACATCACAAACCTTCATGGTCGATTGCAAATATTCAAAACCTAGAGTGTTAAATCTGTGAATACCAAGGCTCCCCTGCATAGTTCTCTGGCAGTTCAGTGTTACATAATTTGGGGTGAGAAACCCAGGTTGCTGTTGGGAATGGTAACAATCAATAACTACATCTTCCTTTGTTGCAATTCTAAGCACAGTAAAATAAAAGCATAATATGTTTTTAAAAATGAACATACCGATTGCCTATACAAATTGCCTCATTTTCACTATGAACTGGCTTGGTGATAAATGGAAATTATGAATTAAGAGATTGGGAGATTGCTGAACACCGTTCAGAAGAAAAAGATGGTGAAAGTTCTCTTTTTCTGCTGCAGTACTATGCTAAAGAAAAAATATCTCACATTTACCAGCATTCTTGAGGATTTCATGTTCTTTCAAAATAAACTTAAAATACTTTGCTTGGTTGCATGCACGATGACAGATTTCGAGAAGGAAAAAAAAAAAATCAGCTACCAGCCACTGGGTGGCTAAACAACCATGTAGAATGTTGTGTCTTCTCAGCTGTGAGTGATGAGTCAGACCCGTCAGACTCTGCTGTGATAAGGGCCTGCCATCTAGGGCATCTCACATTACCAAAGCCATATCAATTAACATTCATCTGGGAGGACCCCTAAAGGCTTATAACTGATAAGCCACAACTAGAATATGTGATGGAGAAAGACTCTGTGCTTGTCTCATCCTCAGATTTCTTTGGTCTCAGAGAGAATATGTTCAAAAGTTTAAAATGCAAAAACAACATGGATCTATTGAGTATTAATTTGAAATCTAGAACTGTATTTTGAATAAGGTATAAAAGAAGAAAAACAAATGATCCTTGTCTTAAAAGAGCCCAAAATCTTGTTGTGTTGACAAAAAGCAGCATACTAACAGCAAATATAATAGTAACATTTTCTGAATTACTATTTACTGACTCACCAGAGATCCACCAGTGCAGTTTTGCTTAATCCTCATGATAACCCTATGTGGAGAGTTCTCACGTTGTCAACAGGATAGAGATGAGAAGACAGAGGCTTAGAGAAGTTAAATAACTTACCCAGCCAGGTCTCTATGACTCCAAAGCACATGCTCTTGCCCATTACATCATCCATTATAGATACATACATCCATTCATAATGGTAGGGAAAAACGGAATTGCAACAAGATGATGGTTCAAAGGTATTCACGGATGCTTTTTGTAATGAATACACATGAGTTATGTTTCATGTCCATCTGATGGACATTTGTAGATGTCTTGAGTTAATATGTCTACTTCTGCTGAGCAGATGAGAGGAATTCCCAGATACCAGCTCCAATGCCACACTCCTTCCTCTATGGAGGGAACTTCTAGGAGTGCTTTCTTTGTGTTCCCCCAATAGCACGTCCCCTTTTACCATTTATTCAGTGATTTATGTAGTTGTTATAATTCTCTATTAGACTGCAAGCTCTTGTACAAAAAGGATTTGGTTGCTTTCTTAATATTTAGCAAGTGTTTTATATATAATAGAAACTCGACATTTGTAAATGCTAGTGGTCTAATCAATTACTCAGCAGGTATGGGGAGTAGTCAACTAACATGTGCTCTTGGTTTCTTTGATTATATTTTAAGTTTCTGCAAAGTGCTTCAGCTTATGTGTTAGCAGATATTCCATGTGACATTGCAGAAACTATTCAAAAAGTTTATTTCTCAGTACTTTTCCTGAGATTACTTCTGGGAAAGCCAGTATGAGGAAAAGAACTGATAGATCGTTAGGTAGATTTTGATAATATATTCTGGACTCCAAATTCTAAGATGAACAGAAGGCTTTATATCCATCTTATTAACACAGGTTGAGTTTATTTTAGAGACTTTTTTTTTTTAAGACAGGGTCTCTGTTGCCCAGGCTGGAGGGCAGTGGTGTGATCAAGGCTCACTGCAGCCTTAATCTCCTGGGCTCAAGGATCCTCCCCCTCAGCCTCCTGAGTAGCTGGGATGACAGGCATGTGCCACCACACCCAGCTAATTTGTTATTTTTTGTAGAGAACAAGGTCTTGCTATGTTGCTCAGGCTGTAGAGACTCTTTTTAAATGAAAAACAAAGAGGTAAAATAAGGACTCGGATTTCTTACCTTAGTAATATATATTGTGTTGTGTCAATTCTCTTGTCATTTTATTTACACAAACTGATACAAATTAAAGCAAAAAGCTAATGTTTCTATTTTAGAAATAACGACAATTTAAAATATTTTAATAAAAGTCTAAAAACTTTTGAATTAATTCCAGTGGTACTTATGTACAATATAATTTTAATCACTTTTATAGCATAATAAAATTAATAAGTATAATAACAGTAATTACACACTCATTCTTATCTTCATGAGATGGTATTCCCTTCACTCAATAGTTGCATATGGAGAATTCTGTAATTGCTTATTTCCAAAGAACTGTTTGAGTAGAACTTAGTCCCATAGGACTTATAAAAAGAAGTATGTTCGCTTTACTGAAAGGGTGAGTGCTTGCCACTCAGGAAATCAATATAGAAAAGGGGAAGAATAGAAACTCAGTCCTGTGTTTAAGCTTGGTTCCCAGAATATTTAGATAGATTCACTCTTATGAGCTACACACAATAAGAACTGTCTAAAGTAACCAGGGAAGTGAAGTTTGTACAGCCCTCCCGAAAAAAATCGTTTCCCAGCTAATTTATATAATATTACAAATTGACAAATAGTTAAGGGCTTCCCAAATCAAACACAGTCAACTGTGGTTATAGAAAACAAAAAAACACTGATTTGAGCATTGGGCTGCCTCTAGGAGGGCATCTGCTGAGCACGGGGTCTTTCATTGCTAAAGTCCCTGGCATAGACATCAAGAGCAAGACTTCGAATAATGGGTGGGTATAAAATCCAATCTCCCATTGAAAGGATAAGAGTCTTTTATAGTTCATAACCGAGCAACCAACAATTAACTATACTTGCCTGTCCCCAAATAGAGGGGCACTCACTCTACTTTCTCCCGTTGTTAAAGGCTGTGAGTGACCTTTGTGCCAGTTGCCTACATTTAATGAGGATTTAAGTTCTTCCACTTTGCACTCATCAATACTAGCCATCCTATTTAACAGGTGCCCTACCCCCACCCAAATACCCTGGCCTAATACTTCCTTGACTCCTTAATTTCAAAATTCTTTACCACTACCTCATTTTTGCAACCTGTTCCCAAGGCCTGGACATTGGATCACCTGGAATTGAGATACCTGGAGACACTAAGGGTTACCACCTCATTTTTCTATCCTTGCCCTACCACTTTCACTGCTTTGGTTCAATAATACCTGCTTTTCAACCTCATCCACACTTTCTCATTTAATCTCTCCCACTAATTCCAGTCTATTGGAACTTCTCTTGGAAGAGGGGAATTCCTCTTTTTGTACTCTTGGTACATTGTTTTTTTTTCACAACCACACTCAATCCATCAATTCTTGAAACTTTGAAACTTCCCACCAACTGCTTTCTTTTTTCTTTTTCTTTCTTTCTTTCTTTTTTTTTTTTTTTTGAGATGGAGTCTCGCTTTGTGGCCCAGGCTGGAGTGCAGTGGCTCGATCTCGGCTCACTGCAAGCTCCGCCTCCCGGGTTCACGCCATTCTCCTGCCTCAGCCTCCCGAGTAGCTGGGACTACAGGTGCCCGCCACCATGCCAGGCTAATTTTTTTTGTATTTTTAGTAGAAACGGGGTTTCACCGGGTTAGCCAGGATGGTCTCGATTTCCTGAGCTCGTGATCCACCCGCCTCGGCTAGGATTACAAAGTGCTAGGATTACAAGCGTGAGCCACCGCGCCCGGCCCCAACTGCTTTCTTTGTTCCTATAATCACTGGAGAATATCACATGACCTGAAGATTGATGCCTCCCCAACTGTAGGGTTCCCTTGTCATCTGGAAACACAGTGACTTTTGACAATCCTGCTATGACTTCCTGGTCCTGTCTTCCATTCTTCCAGGTGGTATTTGCAACCTTCATGCCACTTTTCTTAAGTTCCCTCTTTACTCTCAGCATATAATATTGCCTTCTATTTCACAGAGTAAATAGCGATTATCAGAAGGATATCTGTCAACACCCAGCTCCCCACCTTCACATCTATTTACCTTCACACATCCTGTCTCAGAGAATTAGAGATACCTCCCCTGCTAGAATGTCTTTCTCTACTGACCTTGTTGGCTCATGCTTCCTGAGAGGTCTTGATCTGCCAATTATCCCCTTTCTCACATAAAACCTAGCTTAAGGCTGGGCGCAGTGGCTCACGCCTGTAATCCCAGCACTCTGGGAGGCCGAGGTGGGCGGATCACGAGGTCAGGAGATTGAGACCATCCTGGCCAACATGGTGAAACCCCGTCTCTACTAAAAATACAAAAATTAGCTGGGGGTGGTGGTGGGTGCCTGTAGTCCCAGCTACTTGGGAGGCTGAGGCAGGAGAATCGCTTGAACTTGGGAGGCGGATGTTGCAATGAGCTGAGATCATGCCACTGCACTTCCGCATGGGCAACACAGCGAGACTCTGTCTCAAAAAAACAAAAACAAAAAACACAACAAAAACAAAAAGCCTAGCTTAAGTCCATCACATCTTAAATAAACAAACAAACAAAAACAACAACAACAAAATGACCTCTGTAATGAGTTGGATAGTGGCCCTAAAAAGATACGTCCAAGTCCTAACTCTTGGTATCTGTGAATGTGACCTTATTTGGAAACAGGGTCTTTGCAGATGTAATTATGTTAAGAATCTCAAAATGAGATCATCCTGGATTAAACTGGGCCCTAAATTTGATGCTGGGTATTCTTATAGAAGCCAAAAAATGAGAAGATACTCAAAGAAACACAGAGGAGAAGGCCATGTGAAGATGCAGGCAGAGCTGGAATTATGGTGTCACTAGCTAGAGTGCCAAGGATTGCCAGAAGTCACCCAAAGCAGGAGGGGCATGGGATGGTTTCTCTTTCAAAAAGTCCAGAAGGAACCAACCCTGAAGACATCTTAGTTTTGGACTCTGGTTCCCAGAACTGTGAGAGAATGAACTTCAGTTGTTTTAAGCCATGTGATTTGTGGTAACCTGTTACAACAGTCCTAGGAAATGAGTACATCCCCCATTCCACAAGCCTCTTTACTTATTAATGATTTTGTTCTGTTTAATTCCCTTCCATGAACAGAATCTATACTCACTATACTGTCTCCCAACCTAGCTATAACACTGAAGGTGCCCCTCAAAGTCATTATCTTTCAACTGCCATGTCTAATGAGAACTCCCATTCCTTACCTCCCTGAGCTCTCTGCTGTGTTCCACACTGCTGACTCCTCACAGCTGTCTTCTCCTTTGGTCCCCAGGATACTCCCTCCCCTGGGCTACCACCTACCTCTTTGGTTACTCCTTCAAGATCCCTTCAGTGGACTCCCTTCCTTCTTGTCTTAATTGCAGCATACCCAAGCTTCTTCCTTGACCCTCTTCTCCAAGGCATTTTGACTTCATCTCCTACATGTATCTCACATCAAATCTTTACTCCCCATCACTGCAATCATGCAGTCGGAAGGGGATGGTGCGTAGAAAGGCAAATACTTACAAATCTCTCTGAGCTTCAGCTTCCTCCTCTATGCTATTAATATAACAAGACCACCAACCTATAGGGTTGCACCAAGAAATGAATGAGCTATCACATGAGAAATATGTAGTACAGCAACTACTCAGTGCATATTCAACACGTATTAGTTCTTCCCACTTTCAGCTCCTTAGTTCAAGGGTTCACTCATTCATTCACTCTTAAAATATTGAGCACTACCATGAACAAGCCAGATTCAATAAAGATACATTCAAGCCACAGGGTGGGGGTGAGGAGATGGCCTTGTCATTACCCCCATTTTATTTATTAGAATGGAAGCCCAAGAACATGCAGAACTAACCCTAGGCTGAAGGAGTCAGTTTAAATTTTTCCCCAGCTTTATTGAAGTATGATTGACAAATAAAAATTGTTTATATTTAAGGTGTACAATGTGATGATTTGATACAGGTATATATTGTGAAATAATTACCAAAATCAAGTTAATTAACATATTCTTCACCTCACATAGTTACTTTTTGTTATTGTTTTAGTGAGAACACTTAAGATCTAATCTCTTAGCAAATTTCAAGTATGCCATACATTATTAACTATAGTTTCCATGCTGTACATTAGATCTCCAGAATGTATTCACCTTATAACTGAAAGTTTGTATGCTTTGACCAGCATTTATCCTCCCCCCAATACTAATCCCTGCTAGTCACTATTCTACTCTGTTTTTATGAGTTCAACTTTTTAAGATTCCACATATAAGTGAGATCATGCAGTATGTGTCTTTCTGTGCCTGGCTTATCTCACTTAGCCAAATGTCCTCTAGGTTCATCTATGTTGTTGCAAATGGTAGAATTTCCTCCTTTTCTTCTTTAAGGCTGGATAATATTCTTTATATATAATATATATATAATATTACATATATTACATATTCTTATATATAAGATATAGATAATATAATATATAATATATAAGAATATATAAGAATTCTTATATATCATATTATTACATATTACATATTCTTATATATAAAGAATATTATCCAGCCTTTTAAAAAAAGAAGGAATTATATATCTCTCTCTATATATACACACACATATATGTAAGAATAAACATATTCTTATATATATAAAGAATATTATCCAGGCTTTAAAAAAAAGAAGGAATTATATATATATATATACACATATATATAATAATAAACATATTCCTATATATATAAGAATAAACATATTCCTATATATAAGAATAAACATATTCTTATATATATGAAGAATATTATCCAGTCTTTTAAAAGAAAGGAATGTATATGTGTATACATATATATATATATATATATATATATATATATATGTATACATACACACATACAAACACACACACATACCACATTTTTTATATCCATTCATCCATCAACAGGCACGTAGCTTGTTATCTTGGCTATTGTGAATAATGTTGCAATGAACATGGAAGTACAGATATCTCTTTGAGATACTGAGTTCCTTTCTTTTGATATACACCCAGAAGTGGGATTTCTGGATACCATGGTAGTTCTATTTTGAATATTTTTGGAACCTCTATACTGTTTTCAGTAATGGTTGTACCAATTTATATTCTACCAACAGTGGCTTTGTTGTAAGTCGAGCTGGCCTTGTAAAATGAGTTTGGAGTTACTTTCTCCTCTTTAATTCAGACTGTTATACTCATTCAGTCTCCTTAATTTGATCGTACTTCTTATTGATCTGTTCAGATTTTCTATTTCTTCATATTGCAGTCTTAGTAGGCTGTAAATTTTTAGGAATTTATCCACTTTTTTTGTAGTTTATCAATTTGTTGGCATATAATTGTTTATAGTAGTCTCTTATGATTCTTTGCATCTCTGTGATATCAGTTGTAATGTCTTCTCTTTAATTTTTGATTTTGAGTCATCTCTTATTTTTCTTAGTCTAGCTAATGGCTTCTCAATTTTGTTTATCTTTTCAAAAAACTAACTTTGAGCTTCAATGATCTTTTCTATTGTTTTTTCATCTCTTGTTCATTTATTTCTGCTTTGATCATTGTTATTTCATAGCTCCTACTACTTTTGCCCTTAATTTGCTTTTCTTTTTCTAGTTCCATGAGACATGAAGTTAATTTGTTTAATTGAGATATTTCTTTTTCTTAATGTAGGCATTTATTGCTATAAAATTCCCTCTTAGAACTGCTTTTGCTGCATTCCATAAGTTTTGGTGTGATGTGTTTTTATTCTTGTTTGTCTCAAGATATTTTTTGATTTCCCTTTTTATTCCTTGACTCATTGGTTGTTCAGGACTGTGTTAATTCCCACATTATTTGTGAATTTTCTGGTTTTCCTCCTGTTAATGACAGGTAGTTTCATACCACTGTGGTTGGAAAAGATATGTGACATTATTTCAATTTTCTTAAATTTGTTAAGACTTGTTTTGTGGCATAATATATAATCTATCTGGAGAATGTTTTGTGTGTGCTTGAGAAGAATGTGTATTTTGCTGCTGTTTGATAGAATGTTCTGTACTTGTCTGTTAGGTCTAATTGGTTTAAACTGTAGCTCAAGTCTAATGTTTCCTTGTTGATTCTTTTTCTGGATGATCTATCCATTGTTGCAAGTGGAGTACTGAAGTCCCCTATGATTATTGTATTGCTATCTATCTATGCTTTCATATTTGTCAATATTTACTTTATGTATTTAGATGCTCTACTGTTGGCTGAGTATATATTTCAAGTGTTATATTCTTTTGAGGAATTGACTTCTTTATTATTAGATATAATGACCTTTGTCTCTTGTTATAGATTTTGGCTAACAGTCTATTTTGCCTGTATAAGGATAGCCATCCCTGCTGTGTTTTGGTTTCCATTTGCGTGTTATAACTTTTCCATCCCTTCACTTTCAGCTTATTGTGTCCTTAAAGCTAAAGTGAATTTCTTGTAGGTAGCACATGGTTGGGTCTTATTTTATAGTTTTTTTAAATCCGTTCAGCCACTTTACATTCTTTTACTGGAAAATTTAGCCCATTTACATTTAAAGTAATTATTGATAGGAAAGAACTTACTACTGCCATTTTGTTGTTTTCTGACTATACTTCCTTTGTTCCTTTTTACATCTTGTGCTGTCTTCCTTTGTGATTTGATTATTTTCTAGAGTGGTATGTGTTGATTTCTTTATCTTTCTCTTTTGTTTATCTACTGCAGGTTTTTGCTTTGTGGTTACCATTGGGCTTATACAAAACATCTTATAGTTATAACCATATCAGTCATTTTAAGTTGATGGCAACTTAATTTCTATCACATACAAAAACTCTACACTTTAACTTCTCTACACAAACAGTTTAAGTTTTTAATGTCACAATTTATTTCTTTTTTATTGTGTATCCATAACAAATAATTGTAGTTATAATAATTGCAGTTATAGTTACTTTTATCACTTTTGTCTTTTAACCATTATACTAGAGTTAAAAGTAAGTTATGCATCACCATTACAGTATTGGAGTATTCTGAATTTGACTATATATTTACCTTTAGCAGGGAGTCTTATACTTTCATATGTTTTCATGTTACTAATTAACATCCTTTTATTTAATCTTGAAGAACTCCTTTTAGCATTTCTGGTAAGACAGATCGGGTGGTGATGAAATCCTTTGGCTTTCACCTGAGAAAGTCTTCATTTCTCCTTCGTTTCTAAAGAATAGCTTTGTCAGGTAAGAGTCTTGGTTGGCAGCTCTTTCTTTCAGCATTTTGACTACATCATCCCACTCTCCCCTGGCCTGCAAGGTTTCTGTTGAGAAATCTGCTAAAAGTCTAATGAGGGTTCCCTTGTATTTGACAAATCTCTTTACTTTTGTAGTATTCAAAATCCTCTGCCTTTGATTTTTAATACTTTGATTCTAATGTGTGCTGGTAAAGTCCTCTTTGGGTTGAAGCTGTTTTGGAATTTTTGGGCCTCCCATACCTGGATATCCACATCTTGCCCAATATTTGGGAAGTTATTAGTCATTATTTCTTTAAATAAACTTCTACTGCTTTCTCTATCTTCTCCCCTTTTGAGGCTCTTATCATCTGCATATTATTTCTCTTGATGGTGCCCCATAAATCCTGTAAACTTTCTTTTCTTGTTTTCTTTGGGGTCAGTGACTGGAAAATTATTGTGTTCTCTTGGTAGTGTCATATTCCCTTGGATTGTTGTGTTTCTTGAAGCCTGGTATTGCTATCTTTGCATTTGAAGATGCAGTCACCTCCTCAAGTATTTAATAACTGAATTTAGGAAAGAAACACCCTCACCAGTCAGCCCAGCTAGGGATTCTGAGGCTTTCTCAGACCTTCTCTATGGATGTACCTGTTCCATCTCTCTTGTTACTTCATGTTAGGGGGAGTTCATTCTCAGTAAACTATCGCAAGAACAAAAAACCAAACACCGCATATTCTCACTCATAGGTGGGAACTGAACAATGAGATCACATGGACACAGGAAGGGGAATATCACACTCTGGGGACTGTGGTGGGGTTGGGGGAGGGGGGAGGGATAGCATTGGGAGATATACCTAATGCTAGATGACGAGTTAGTGGGTGCAGCGCACCAGCATGGCACATGTATACATATGTAACTAACCTGCACAATGTGCACATGTACCCTAAAACTTAAAGTATAATAAAAAAATATAAATAAATAAAAAAATAAAAAATAAAAAAAATAAAAATAAAAATAAAAAATAAAAAAAAAAGATTGCATGCCTTCCCTTGATCCTGCAAAGCCATGTCAGGTGCTGAGAGTCTTTCATAGGTTTTCTCTAGGGTGGTGCCCTGATATGGTCAAGACGATGTGCCTTATTTCAATCCTGCAGAGTTGAACTAGCTGATTATGTGTGCTTGCAAGTCATCTGCAAATGCTCTTACTATCTTGGGGTGGGGGTGGTGGGGGGGCGGAGGAGGAATTTGTGGGGAGCCAGCTACAGGGTTGGGGTGGGGAGTGAGGCATGTGGAGCATTAGGGGCACCAGTGGGCCAGTTGTAGGTGGTCCACAGGTGAGGTGTACCAAGTGACTCATCAGCAAGCCCCCTGATAGATTCCATGAAGCAGTTAGTACCATGCATGGCCCTTTGTTGAGTTTTGAGCCCTGATTACTGTGAGTTTCCACCTGTCTTCCTTGGTCTCAGCCTCTCCCAGCTACTCAGTGTTGCTGATATCCTCAGTATTCTGGTGGGGGGCAAGAAAGAGGTTGGCCTCCTTGGCAGCATCCCACATAGCTGGGAGAGCCAGGCACTCACTCAGTATGCTCTCGCTTTCTTCTATGGGAGGATTCATAGACCAACAGGGTCTCTTTTGGCACTGAGCTGTGCCACCTTGGGAAAGGGGGACATGGGTAAAATGAAACTATTCTTATCCTCTTCAATGTGTCTATTCTCTAGATAGATTTTTTGCTCTAACAGTGTGTTGAAGCTTCTCTACTGAGAAAACAAAGTATACTTGTCTGTAAGTGGTGTTCAAAATCAGTGCACTATGGGGAGATATGGTAGAAAATTCCTGTCCTGCCATCTTGCTGATGTCACTCACCTGGAGTCAGTGTGAATTAATGCAAATCAGGAACTACATTCTGTGTTCTGTACCCGACTTCCCACCCCAAGAGCCTTCAGTCAATGAGGCACACTGCCCAAACTTGTATTGCATTTCTGAGATGAATAATTTTTTTCAACTAATTAAAATATGACAGAAAATTTAAGGGCTTGGACATTCTTTTCCCATTTTGTGTTGAAAGTGTCTGTACCAACAAAATGATTACCCAGGTCGTCAGGTATTTTACTGATGAAAGTTATTAGTTCTAAGCAAAGGAGCACAGGCACCATAGATGACTTCTTAATGGCAGATTTGAGGAATGTTTCGATCAAGCTGTGGCTTGAGGCATTTTCCAGCACATAATTCAATTGACACATTTGATCTCCATTGACTATTAGCACAAGAAATCCTGTTTTACATCAGGCTTGCTATGCAAGAATTCAATAGTTCCTGATAAAAACTTACACATTCATGCAGTCTGGATGATCCATATGCTACCAGAACATTGGCTGTTTTTTTTTCTTTATTCTCTAGCTGGAGATATTTGAGAGTTAGCTCTTCTGTAGCACTGATTCAATTTGGTAGTGGCCTGAGACCTCTTCTAAGCAGCACATAGTCTTTTCTAGAGCTGACCTCACCCGCCCCAGTGAGATTTAAGGCTAACAATAATCTCTCTCAGGGTTTGAGAGAGCTGGGCTATAAATGATCTCAGTTAAGAGCAGTAACCTTAGGTGTCCCTAGATTAGAGCACATCTCTTCCTTTTAGAAACAGAGCTCTATGCTAAGACCAACCAGACAACTTCTAGGAGACAAGAGTGGGAGTAGCTTAAGTAAAAGGCCAAACTGGATTGGTTAGGCTTTGTATCTCTCTTCCCTCCACCAAAGAGAAGGAGAGGTAGGAATGGAAACACTGTGTGAGTCTTACCATGTGTCAGACACTTGCTATCTTACTCCATGAGTCAGCTACCAGGATTCCCATTTTACAAATAAGGAGAACCCAGGATTGTGTACGCTTACCATACTATATATATTTGGCAGTTTGTTTTTAAAAATATTTAATGTAGGGAGCAAAGAATTGCAACATTAGAACTGGTAGCTAAAATAAATTTTTAGATATTGTGTGAATGTAACCTATCCTTATTGTCCCTGATTCCCATATGTAAGGATAGATTAATTAGTTGTTCTACCAGAGGGGTGGTAGCCAGGGGAAGACAGTCCAACATCATGTCATAATGTGTTTCTGTACCCTCATAGAGGACAAAATTGGCCAAAGTACAGTCAGTCCTCCTACTGGAATGGGTCAGGGAAATCCATGTGAGGCCTGACTGTTTCTCTCTGGCACACAGGTGGATGCTTGTGAATGGGGCAAAGTGAACCACATGCTCTTCAACTGCTTCATCTTTTCCCCATAGAATTCTGATTCTATTTGGATCTTGGGTTTGACAACAAAACCACACTAAACCAAACCAACTAGCAAACAAACAAAAAGCATGTTTGATGAATTCATTGCCATGCATTTAATAGTCTAACGCATCCCTCTGCCACTCACCCTGGGAGCAACCTCACTGTACCTGACTTTCTGCATGTGAATAGTAGAGATGTATATATTTTCTCTCATCTACCCTGGAGGGATGGAGAGAGGATTATTGAGACAACAGCCATAAAGCTATTTGAGCTTCTTACCAGAAGGTGCTACTGAAATACAAATTATTATTAGCATGATCATTGTCATGTGGTTTAAAACTACAATATGAAAAGTGGGTTATACAGATCAGTGTGTCAGCATCCTGCATAATGTAAGCTCAATTTCAGTTGGTTGTCTTTGCATGCTTAGGCACCATATTAAAGCATTCTTTTGATGAAAGCACATTCAGGGGGCCAGATGTAGTCACCTTGCAAGAAGAATAATGACGGTGCAAGAACAGACATGCACAGGTAACACCTGTGGAAAATTGATGTTTGAGCTCTCATTTCTGTAATGTGTATTTATATTACTAAGTCCCACCATGGTTAAGTTGGGGGACTCTTACAAGTCAAGTGCTTAATGTACAGATCATGTGACCTGAGACCAGCTGGAAATAGATACTGAAATCTTGCTTTGATAAGTGAAGCATTTTGATAGAAACAAAAAATATGGTATCACTGAACATTATTTCTTGGGGACAAATGTGATATTCCTAGTCAGATCCTGCCCATGGGTTTGATCCTTGGGAAGCACCCTAGTGTATAAGCAAGAGCGTGGGCTCTGGAATCAGAAACGCCTGGATTTATTTATTAGCTATGGGACCTTGGGCACCTTGGTTTCCACCTATAAAATGGGGACAATAAAACCTACCTCAAAGGTTGTTGTGAAGATCACATAATGTAATGTGTGTAAAGGACCCTGCACCAGAGTAGGCACTCATTAAAGGTTATTCCTGTTCCCTGCTGTTTGGCATGTTTCAAGCCTCTATACTGTTCTTCAAATATAATTGATATGCTGGCATTTTTAAAAAACATTTGAATATTTGAATCTAAATGCTGAGCAACTCAGAGGTGACTTTCTATAGAGAGCTTACTAAAAACATATTCTGCAATATTTCTGCAATTAGGACAGGCCCATTTAGAACAGGCCAATTAGAACAGCTCCATTTGACAACTAGTCAGGAGATTTGCTGCTAAATGAATTCCAGAATATTCCTAATTTGTGTCTAAATTCCCAGCGATGTTATTTTGCAGGCAGAGCTTAAATCCATAGAGTTTAATCCTCCCAACTCTTTGCAAGGCTCTTCCTTTGAGTCCTGAAATCACTCTAATTTTTTTTCTCTTGAAGCAAAGAGGTCCTGTGCAATTAACTGCTGCCTTTATTTGATTAAATGTCCCCGCGTTGTAAAATGTCTTTTAAGGACCATCTAAGAAAGAAGACCAAAAAATATGGCATGAAAATGGGGGTGGGGTGGGGAAAATCTGAAAGAGTTTGGCGTATGGCACTGCAACCCAGGCCCCAGCCTCTGTACAGGAAATGTTCCCGGCCCAGCCTCGGGAGAGGCCACGGTCTTTCACAGCAATTAGAGCTGATGGAGGTGAGGCCCCTCACCTCTCTGGCAATTATGAGCCTGTGGTAATAAAATAAACACACACAGCCACTGTCCTCCATATGATTTTTCTCGCTTGAGGGTTGCAGAAGCAACACTGAGAGCCTTGATAATAAAAGTCACAGTGTCAGGCAGGGACTGGGGTGGTGCTCTTTAACATTTTTGCAGTGGCCCTGGGTGAGCTGGATTCACACATAATGCCAGGCACCTGCTCTCAGGTGCTTGAAAGACTTTTGCATTAGTTGGCAAGAGTAGCGGAGAGGAGGAAAAGAGGGAAGAGGCCATTGAGATAGAGTCGGTAAAATGGCTCTTGAAATATACTCTACTCAGAATATCTTGAGAAGCCATGAAAACTAAGGTGAAGTGGGGAAGCAGTAATTTATACCAAACCTGGCTGGGGGTCCTCATTTATTATATTACCTCAGAACTGTCATCTTTAATTTTCCTTTTATTTGCAAAAGGACCAATGTCATTTTTGAAAAGAATTACAAAATAGAATGAAACGCCAATGGTTTTAAAGCATACTTAGCATGCTAGCTCTAGAATTTAATTTCTGGGCACTTTTAAAAAGGATAGCCTTGCTTAAAGACTTTCAAAATTAATGTTGAAATTAACATTAATTTAGAAAAGATGAAAAGAGTGAATATATACAGCCCATTTTATATTAAACACAATTCATTTTATTCAAAAAAACTGTATAAATGTTAATAAAATGGATACAAATGTTGTGTACAAAATAATACTGAGTAAATATTGCTTTCTAGAAACTTTCTAACTGAAATATAATAAGGAGTCTTTAAAAATTATTACTTCTTCCTTTGATACAGAAACATGTCCAGCCAATATAAATAACTAAGATGGAGAGGTGCTTTGGTCTCATGCTATTTTTAACACCTAAATTCCCTGTTTGGGTTTTTTTCATGCAAGTACAAATAGTTTCTGTGACTAGTTCTTTGCAAGCATGCTTGTTTTAATCAGATGCTTGTGCAAAGTATAAACTCAGCTGTATCAAACCAAGGTGAAATACGGTATAGACACTCAGAGTAATTTGTTTGATGTGGACGCTAAGCAACTATAAACACTAACATAAAGCACATTGCTCTCCGTACTTTGCAAGGAAAAGGCTAGCATTTCAGGAGTACTCTGTTTATTTCTCAAGAAATGGAAGGAATAAAATGGCCACTTTTTAAAGTCTGGACACATTTACAGCATTGCTTTATTTTCTTAAACCATAACAGCATCCATTCATCACTGGAGAGTAACAAAGCAGTAACCTGATAGACGACAAATACTATGAGCTTAATGGCTGATGTCCATTACGGATGGGTCTTGCTCACTCTTTGGAGGAGATTGGCACTGAAGGATTACTGAGCAAACAGAGCACCTGAAAAAACTTGCACTCCACAGTCTGTCATCAGGGCTCTGATCGAAGGCATTACCTGAGAACGGCGGCTGTTATCTGAAGCTGCAAACCGCTGCCACTGCCAACAATTCTCAACAAAGAGTGGCGATCATGAAAGGCTGAGCCACCGAGGCAGGCGGCTGGGTACGCCATTTCTCCATAGCCCACCCCCTTTACGGATCACCTGAGCCCAAGCACCAGGCCGCCCTTTAATTGTGGAAAACCACAGCAACTGAGGACAGGCATCCTAGATCTGTGTGTGTTGAAAAACAAAAAGGCTCCAAATATTATTCTCTTGTTTAGCACTTAAACGGCATCTTTGATTTCACAACCAGCTAAGGCATGTGTCTGTACACATGTTTACGGTTCTGGTGGAAATCTTTGGATTCTGATGATATTGAAAGTCTGTGCTTTGCTGTTATCTATCTGTCTTCTCCTTCCTAAGAGAACCTCATCTTCCAGGGAACTAAACTTGTCTTACTGGTTTGGCCCTCATGAAAAGTAAGTCACCGTTTTCTCTCTAGTTATTTTACTCACCTAGAAAAGATCAGTTTTCCAACTGTCAGGGTTTATGGCTTACGAGACTTGTCAAATTTACAAATTCCTGGTGAAAACAGGATTTTTGTAGATTTGGTTTTATTCATTTTTACTGTGTCTGCAACTAAATATCTGCAGATTTCCCAGAAAAAAACATATTTACTAATGTCTCCTTGTTGTTTTTGTATTTTATTTCAATTATGCATTAACATTTGACCATAACATTGTCCACTTAATTTCATTTATAAGCTGATGGTAAAATACATACAAATATTAACTTGACGACAGAAATAAATAACTTTTCAGGGAGTTGAATTATTTGGAGTTAATACTGACATTGCATTACTACGATAATTTCTCATAAATAAGTGCAGTGAAATGAACAGGAGGAGTCATTTGACATTTGAAGTTCTGCTATGGAGGCTCTGGTTTTCCTTAAAGTATTTCATAGATTTTTGGGGAGGAGAAAATAAAAACTGGTATCTTCAGGGAAAAAAAAAGGAAAAGGATTAGAATGAAGAAAGAACTTGCCATTTCTTTCTAAGAAAACCATTGGTAGTTTGATAAACATATATATTTAAAGTGGTGATTATGCTTTCATTTCGTTATCACCTTTCTCTCCTGAAATCAATTTTGTCAATCTTCCTCAAAGAAAACAGGCAGCATTCACTACATCCTATGCCTATCTTTTAGCACAAACATGTTTGTAGGCAAGGTAGGATAAAAATAAAATGTTTAAGAAAAATATAAAAACCTAAAACATAAGGAGGAAAAAAGCTTTTCATCCTGCCTATATAAAAACTCATCTTGTTACTGTAATCACACACACACATATATATTTTATATATTTATATATAATATATTTTATATATTTATATATAATACATTTTATATATTTATATATAATACATTTTATATATTTATATATAATATATTTTATATATTATATATAATATATTTTATATATTTATATTTAATATATTTTATATATTTATATAAAAATATATTATATATTTATATAAAATATATATTATATATATTTATATATATTATATATTTATATATTATATATAAATATATAATATGTATATATAAAATATGTATATATTAAAAATATATATATATTTTTCCTAGTGGAGAAGAGTACTTCAGCTAAATAGTTGATAAAAAGAGAAAGGTATGCATAAAGTACTGGTTATGAGCTTTCAACTTGAGGTTTGTAGGCTTCATGGGGTAGTATATGATGTCTGTTGGCCCCAGCATCTACAAGGGTTCTTGTTAAGGTTAAGTGTCCTTTCTGAAGTGCCGTGGCATCTTAGGATATAAGTATATTTACAGTGATAATTCAAAGGTAATAAGCAGAATAATAATGATTAGCTCAAAGGAAATGTCCAAACCATAATAAATCATCATCAAAGCTTCAGACCTGTGCAAAAATTTCAATTAATTCTAATTTTTGAGAGGTGGTGCATTATCCTATTTAAATCCATACATCATCCTTATCACTCATTCTGCCTTCGAAGTTCTGCCACATCTGCTCTTGCCAGGTAAAATGCTGAATAATTAGTTACTCTGCTTTAGCTCGAATAATTAGTTACTCTGCTTTAGCTCACAGAAAAAAATATGGATTCAGCATTCTGAATTCAAAAAATTATTTTGCACATGAACCTATATTGGATAAATACTCAAAATGTTCTCTGTTCTACTCATACTATTTAAACAGTTCTCCCAATTCACTTAATGATGGATTATTGAGAATTTTTGTTTTCCCCAAAGCCTGCAACACTTTTGAGGTATGAAAATAAGTCCTCTTTTAGGAAAGCCATAAAACAATGAGATTTTGGAAATCCTGTTTAAGATGAAAGGTTAGCTGGCACACACAATTGCACAGTGATGATTGCTCTATATTTTGAAAAATAAACTATTCAAAGCAGGAATTTGGGAAGGTTGGACTGTTATAAAACCACATATATCACAGCACTGTTGTACTGGAAAAAAGGGGAGTGTGCAGTCAAAATCTCTATTACATTTTCCAAAGTATTTCAGTAATAAGAGGAACGTGGCATATATCAATTTTCATTTAATAATAGAGTCCAAATTAAATTCAGCAAAATATCTTTCTTTTTTTATTGTTTCAAAATAAATAGCAAGAAATTTGTGAACATAAGCAATAGCTACAGGCTTTCAAAACTGTTGTTTATACCTATATTAGAATGGGTAATCCAATTGAACTGTGATATATTTCTAGAAGGATCCTTTCAGAATTATTTAAATCTAAAACATTTCAGAGAGAAAATTATGCTGTAAGTTGCTAATTATCTAATACATAAACATCTTTTCAAACCAACGTATTCCCACTAGGCAACACATTATAAATGCATATATTACTTTAACTTAAAACCACACCACTAAATCACCTTTCACAGGAAGCATTCTGCACTTTACAGTAATATTTTTATTCATTACTTATTTCCTCTACCTAAACAAAAACACCCTACCTGCTTTTTAAAGTAAAGAAATTTATGTTGCAAACCTCAGTGAAAACTTCTAGGTTTTAGTCACTAATGTCCATGCAGAGAAACCTGGCTTAATTATAGTTCTTAGCCCCACCAGCAGCCATTTTAAACAGAAAACTGGTTTAGTTGTGTTGACAATCACATTTTAAACTGATTCTTTCCAGATGAAAAGATACTTTTTCAAACAATGTAATAAAAATGTAAACTCAGCTGTTTCACAGACATAAAAGTGATTTATATCACATGTACTGTGCTCATGGAGTTTTTCTTTTTATACAATGAAAGTTTTATTTTAAGGAAAAGTTAATAATTAACAGCTAGGAAAATTCCACAATGCAAAGAAGCCAGTTATAGGGGATTAACCACCCCGCTTTGCTCTCCAACAAAAATCAGCCAATAAACCTGGTGAGAAAATGATGTGATATTTGAAAATTTAAGAGTCAACTTTGGGATGATCCTTACCTTTGGTGGGAGTGGGGCACAACAGATTGGAAAGAGGCACCGGGAGGCTTCTGGGAGCCAAAAATATTCTATTTCTTGGTCTGAGTGCTGGATACATGGGTTTCTTTTTTTTTCTAGCTTATGAAAATTCACTGTATACTTAGGTACACTTTTCTGTGTTATACTACACTTCAGTAAAGAGTTCTAAAAAGACATTACAAATTGTCTTTGATAATAGCATGAAAACATTTTTTAGTGTAACTAGATAAATGCTCTCTTTTTTATAAATACTCTGAGGGACAGTTAGACCATCGACTATTTCCCCACAGAACTGTATGATTAGAGGACTTAAAATTATGCCAGTGGCTCATGATGTGTCCCACGCTAGTCCTAAAGAAGGAGAGAATAGGGCAATATTTTCCATTTAGGAGCAAGAGAGAAAAAGAAAGTGTATTTGAGGTCTGCTATCTGAAATCTTTATAAAAACTTGATCCTTTTGAAGGGACTTTAACAGAGGCCTGTAAAATTCATGTTTCTAGCAGCATTCTTCAATGGCTGCGAGTCTGTATTCTATACATCCAGTTCCCAATTATTCCTGTTAATGGGAGGCAGACCACAGGGGTAACTGAAAACCCACAGTCAAGAGCTGTAACATACCCCTCCCTCATGAAAATGTTGGACCAAGTATTAAATAAATAGAAAGATTGGTTTGCGATAGAGTTGCTAATAAACTGTGAAATGTCCAAAGTGCAGGCAACTTCAGGGCACGCAAAGGACACCATCTAGCTAATGACTCCCTGAAAAATCTCAAATTGCACACATTAAGTGGATACCTTTATGTGACAAGAGCTTAATTTGTACATTTACTCCATGAATTTTGGTATTTAAAACTCTAACATTTAATCCATCAGCTAAAAAACCTTTACTACTTCCATTTCTTCAATATGATATTTCCTCTCTCATTAAAAAAGTTAAACAATTTATGGAACTAATTTTGGGTATCATGCATTCTGAAAGAGCACTCAGGTGCCCAATGCCACCAAGAGTTCCATCAAGAAAAAATCATTTTACAATGATCACAGATCCTACCACATGCTATACCCCACATCTTAAAAGCAGTCCTCACCACATATCTCTTCCTCAAACATCCCTCTCTGGTTCTTATTTGCTAATCTTTGTCTTCCTCTACTGCCCTTACCCTCTGAAATGGCGTCTTATACTGGCATTACTTTTTTATTATTTTTCCTAATCTGAGTATAACAAAAATATCATCTTTAAGCACATACATAGGTGCACATGTTTAGTACGAACAAAGCTAAAAGCTCTGACTACAAACAGGCAAAAATATGGGAAAATATATTATGATCTGATCATCTCTGTATACCATGTGGGGACTGCAACAGGAGAATTTCCTCATAATTTGAAATCTCCCAATCAGCTATTTATTGAGAGAAAACAGAAATGGGATGTTGGGGGAATGAAGAAATAGATAAACAAATTGTTTTTGTCCCTGGAAAATACGGAAACACATGAATAATGGAAAAATATGAATTAATAGAATAAATGAAAGAAGCTCCAGTTCATGCCTCTAAGCACTGAGGAAATGTGGGGAGGAAGCTAACATGCTATCCTGTACCTTGCAGTCATCTGTAAATAGAAGAAGCCTCTCCCATGAGCCTTCTCCCCTCTGCTCCTCCCAGAAAATACAACCAAAAAAAAAAAAAAAACCCAGCATGAATATCATGATGGTCTCATACATGTCATGTTATTTGCAGTTAGGAGTTAAGGAGGACAAGCACATGATGAACCCAAAGTTAATGAATCAAATGTTTTCAAAGTTGATTGTGTACATCCCCAGGGTCAAATTCAATCCTCAAAAATCCACGTGCAGTTTCCATAGAAATAACTATAAACACCAAGCATAATAAAATAGCTGCAGTCAGTCTTTTTCTCTGTATTGACATATGGCCTTTATTCTCCTCTGGCATTTTCTTTTGAATGGCAAGTTTTGGCTTGGTTCTTTTTATACAATGAAACTTCGTCAACTCACACACACCTTCAAGAAACCTAGAGTGAAATGTTCATTTTGCAGATCAGGAAAAAAAAAAAAAAAAAAACTTGGCAAGAAGAAGCAAATCAAAGAAGTTCATAAAACACATTTATTTTATTGGGCTATGAAAAGAATACAGACTTGGAAAGTGAATATGAATAATATTCATAGGAAAATTCAATGGAAAATACATAGTTAACAGAGATGAATTTGTCAATCAGCAAGCAATAAGGCACTTGCATAGATAAAGGTCTGTGGCCCAGGCTAGTGTAGGTAAAGTACCATGCAGGCAATGAACACATATGATCAGAGGCAGATGTACACAGTGCCAACAAGGGAGCAGAAATGAGTAAGAAGCTGTTTCCTAGTTAGTGATGTTCATTTTTTCAGTTCTCTCCAGGAGTGTTTTTATTTCCTCAAAAGAAGGGGAAAAATTAACTCTCACTTTATTTAAAGTTTTAATAACATGAATTTCAATGAGTCTTTTAATAGACACACCACCAATATGTAAATGCTGTTTCAGACTGAAACAGGATTAGAAAATATGACTATGTAATGCATCAAACATTTTATTGTACAGCTGCTTATTGATGATATATATATAAACATCCCAAGCTGGGAGTGGTGGCTCATGCCTGTAAGCCCAGCACGTTGGGAGGCCAAGGTGGGCGGATCACCTGAGGTCAGGAGTTTGAGACCAGCCTGACCAACATGGTCAAACCCTGTCTCCACCAAAAACACAAAAATTAGCCAGGTGTGGGTGGCGCATGCCTGTAATACCAGCTACTTGGGAGACTGAGACAGGAGAATCGCTTGAATCTGGGAGGCAGAGGTTGCAGTGAGCTGAGATCACACCACTGCACTCCAGCCTGGGTGACAGAGCAAGACTCCATTTAAAAAAAAAAAAAAAATCCTAGTAAATAAGACTCTTCTCCAAGGAATAAAAATTAAAGGGTTGTTTGTGTTAATGGCTCAGGGCATATATGAAATTGATTCGAAAGTAAAAATATTAATTAAAATCTCATAAATTTCAAATAATTGAAATTTTACTGACAGGATTAATTTATGGATTTTACTACATGCATTTTTATCATTTGCTATGCTTTTACGACTTGGTGGCCACTAGACCATGCTAGTAAAAACTTTATTTATTATGACTTTCTCAATTAAGGGGAAATGAGGGAATTCCCAGACCACCCTAATAAGAGTATAGACCTTATAATAACCTTAAAGATACTGTTAAAAGAAAGTCTATATAAATTGCTCTTTTTGTTATGGAGGCTTTAGAGAACATTTCTCTTTAAAAATCAAAATTAGAATATGATTTTAAAATGCTACTGAAAGGTATACAGCATTAGAAAAATGATTTTAACTTCGTTATTAAGGTCTTAGGGATCATAAGTAAAGTAGCTCCTTTGGTCAATTTCAAGTTACAAGTAAACCAGTCCACTCTGATCATCATGTTGCTCAGGGCAGAGGTTTGTTGTACCACATGATTCTTTAGGCTGACTTCTGAAGTCCAGCTTGTTTGAGATGAGAATGTAGCATACCTAGCAGTACCATTCTTCTTGCCTAACAGATACCAACAAAGGTCCATACAGCTTGCAGAAAGTGTAAAATAAAATGTCAATCACTTAGACATGTGTTGCTTGACATTTTTGTGTTTAGTTTTAAAGGAAGGATGGATTTATAAAAGGTTGTTCATAACTTCTAGACTTTTAGTCACAGAAGCCCAAGGCTGAGAAAGGGCTTTTTCTAATACTGGGGCTACTGTGGATCCATGATGGACAGTGTGGATCTGTGAAGCGTCTGTGCAGTATTACTCACATGCCTTAAATAAGTCATCCTTCCTTACAAGGACAGGTGGGAGCTGATTATTTGTCAGGCTGAGACTCCTGTCACAACCCCTAAGGAAGCAGGAACCAAACCCATAGTACGAATTGGAGAACCATATCAGTACTCTAAGCTGTGCCTGAAAAGTAACAGGCAGCTCATGCAGACTAGCTTGCAAGAGGCAAGAGGATTGCGGGTAGAGGAAGTTTAGAGTTCAGATGCAACACAGCATATATGTAACCACCTCAGAACAAGAATAACCTAAATGCCAAGGAGTTGTTCCAGCTCATCAAAGTCATGGGAAACGTGATAAAGGACAACCATGGTGTCTGATTGAGAGATGAAATGTCTTACTTCATTTGTTAAGAAAATGAAATGTTGCACAGTGGAAATCAGAAAAAGGGCCCACAAGTCTCTAAGAAGAGCTAACAGATTGATGTTCTAGGAAGAGAATGAAAATGCCATAGATAACATAATTGACAATTTACTGGCAATCTCTGCATGTCAAAGCATTATAGTGCCTTAAAATGCAGGCAATCATCACCACCATGAACATGATGCAGAAAGGAATTAAGAATAAGTTAAATCTATTGAGGAATAGATCACATTTTCCACTTCAGTAAATAAAAAAGACAGTATGGTAATTTATTTATTTATTTATTTATTTATTTCTCTCTTTCTCTTTCTTTCTCTTTCTTTCTTTCTCTCTCTTTCTTTTTTTTTAAAAAGTACCAAATCTATCTTTAAACAGAGTTGAACATTTTAATATAGTTTAGTTCAACAAACTTTTGTTGAATTCCATCTAGGACTCAGGCGCTCCATCAGATCCCAGGGACACCAAGATGTGTACAATAGGATCCTGACCTTGGGGAGCTCACTACTTGCCTTCCAGGAAAGTGTGAATTAGCCTTAGATGCACACCTGGTATAAAATTCCTTGCTAAGACTACCTCTCAGTGGCGGCAAGATTCTGACATTTCCAGACCCTGTTTGGTCTATTCACATGTATGACACGCAGCACACTGTCACAAAAACCTGCCAAGATCCATGTGGACACTTAGTTCCAGTGATGAAATTGAAAACTGAGCTATTCAAATGTTCACACGTCGGCTTTGTCGGAAGATAAACAGACTTTTCAAAGGGAAAGAGCCAATGCACTTTACTTAACTGCCTCAGGGAGCTGGACTCAGCGAGTAAGCCTGGCTTCCATTTCTAACTCTGCAACCACTCCTTAGCGGCCTTTAACAAGCTGCTTACTTTTTTCCTTCTATCTATTTTACTCAGTGGACATAGGATCAGGAGATGGGTTAAGGTGGAGGAGTGTGGGAAAGTGAGAAGTAGCAATAGCTGATCTGAACCTTGCTAAGATGTGTTAGATGAGTATAAAATTCTTTGTTTATTGGAGGAAAGATGTTAGGAAAAGAAATATTAGTGGTAATTATAACTAACATCAAATTTCAAAATATTAAAGTCAAGCATTGTTAATCTAACAATAGTTTGATTAGTTATTTTTAATCTCATAGTTGGATTAACTCTTTTCAAACAAGTAATTTTCCATTCATAGAAAGATCAGATTTTTTAAGACCTTTCAAACATGACATTCAAAATAAAGACAACAATCTAATGCTGTTGATATGTGGCTGAAGGCAAAAGAGAAGAAAAAAAGGCTCCTTAAGACTCCTTAAAACCAGTTTCAGAAGAGTTTAAAATAAGTTCTGCTTCTCATCTCTAATAATGAATTTTTTAAAAAGCAGCAAAACAAACAAAAAAATTCAAGAGCTCTTCTTACATGTAAGCTACATGAAACAGCAGAAAAAGTTTATATTATAAGCAGTATGCTTTAGATTTTGCTTTGCTCTTATCTAGAAAGTTCATATGGCCCATGTAAATTCTATAGCAATGAATCTCTGAACAGTAGCATCTTCCTTTTCAAGGTTTTACTTACTTTAAAACCCTTGCTGTGAAACCTAATTTGCGGTAGCAGAGTGGAAGGGAGTGAGTAGTGGGACAAATTAAGGGAAGAGCATTAAAGAAATCAACACAAAAAGTTTTTATGTAGTTGATCCCAAACCTTATTTGAAAAGCCTGAATAGGATGAAAAGGTTTTCTCTATTCAGTAGTTTCACTTAATCCTCAGTCCAAACATTTGCCCCAATAAACATTAGATTATTTTTATGTTAGCTATAAAGCTGTCAGTCCTCAATAAACAGATATACTCCTGGTGGTTTTACCTTTGCTGTCAAAGAATTGTCAATATGTATACTGGCTTTTAAATTAAAACAAACACACAGAAAAAGAAATGTAAAATAGAGTTTAACTGGAGGCTGTTGAAATCCTAAATAAATGATGGTTCATATAGTCGATGGTGATTAGAAGTTCAATAAAATGTGATAGAAAGTAGTCTGTGCGTTGTTAGCGCCTTGGTGTCCTCTTAGTGGAATGCTGTAACCTCTCCTATTCAGGTAAGCCAGACCCCTACTTTAGTGTCTCTGTAAAATTTTATGTCTGATGTATCCATTTGTTCTAGGAAGAAAAACAAGTTCAATGAAAGGGACACTTTGAAGATTTTATTTCCTATGGGGACAGTTTATTTCTGTCTGGAAAGTCCCTTCATAGTTTTGGTGGGTTTTTTCCTGTAATTGAGAATGGTTATATAAGAAGTGTGAAGAAACCTGTAGGTATTGGAAATGCAAATGTATTTTCCAACTGGTCACATCTCTAACATTTTTGCAGTTGCTTTCAGAAGGATTTTTTCCACAAAGGCTAATAGAATCATGTGACTGAAACACTCATTTTTGCTCATACAGTCGTTTTATTGCAGAATTAAGTGTTTAGAAGGCCAGAGCTGGGTTTTTTTTTTTTAATGTAACTGGTATGCTGCCTAACAGAGGACTGTGTACACATGGGCAGTCACTAAATACCGTTTGCTTGCTGGGTCATAAGTATTCTTAGAAGGCTGGTAAAGAAAATGACATCAATACAGAAAAGATGCCGATATCTTTTTGTAGCTGGAATAATGTTGTTTGCCCTTCATCTCCTTCTATATCAAAACACTTTGTACACTTCAGGGAACTATGTCTCACACCAGAGAGATTAAGAAATATTTAATAATGGGATTGTCCAGCATTACAAAAGGAGGTGTTCATTTTAATTTTCTGTCTGAAATGAGCAGCTCTTTTTCTTCTAATAGGGAGAGAAAGAGAGAGAGAGAGACAGAGAGAGAGAGAAAGAGAAATTGATTAAACAAACGAGATTAAAATAGGATATGAGGGACTTAGAAATGTAACCTGGGTGAATAAAGAGTTTGAGGACAAGAGAGCTAAAGGCAAATATATTGGGAATCTTCAGGTCTGAATGAATACTCCCTTTGTTCTATACAATAAATGTATGATCTTCCCTGCCAAGGCTGAAAGAAAATGGATTTCCCCAAGAATGCCCCATCACTGGAGGAGAGATGGCCATCAAAAGCCATCATGCTCTGAGGAGGTGTAGCAAAAAGATTAAACATTTAAGACAGATGATGGGGTAGAGGAAGGAGTGAAGACAAGGATGTAGAAAGGTAAAATGCCAGCATTCTGAGAATGAGATCCACAAACATGAAAGAAGGAAATTGAGGGTGTCAAACTTAAACCCATGGTTTGTATCTTGTGGCCCCGAGCAATTTGGAGTTTAAGGAGAAAGATGGAACATTCTATTCACCATGGTGGTGTTTCTCATATGTCAAACATGCATGACAGAGCCCATGCCAAAATATATCAAGTAGTGCCCCGGCATCCTGAAGAAACATTTGAAAAAATGTAAAGGTCATATTATAAGAATAGTTTAGTGCCCTAACTGATGTCACCAACCAATTTGGTTTCTCAGTTTTCCATTTATTTTCTAAAGCTGTAAAGTAGCCACTTAGTGAAAAAAGAAGAATTTATGTTTTTTTAAGTTTATCTTTTAAAATAGAGGTTAATATCTGGACCCATGTTACCTGGGTTAAAATTCCTACAACCTATGAGAAATTGGACAAGTTACACAAACATTTTGACCTTGTCTGACTCATCAATAAAATAGGAAAAATTGTAGTTCTTTCCCTATAGGATTGTTCTGAGGACTAAATGAGAGCACTTAGCAAAGCACTCAGCACCTGGTAAGTTATTGTTTTAGTTGCTTAAAATAAATTTTTAAAAATGTTATTTCTCAAACCAAAAATATATGTAGTATTATTATTCCTCAAATAACTTGATTAACTAAGTACAATATTGAGTACCTACCAGCGAACACTAGAAGGATAAAACATTGAAAGTCATACTTTTAATGGCAAAAACTGCTATTACTTTTGCACCAATTTGACATTTTCAGGATTTCCATTTGAATTCTTTTTTTTAAATTTTGTTTTTGCAGATCTCAAGTCTCTGGTGAAATTTTCCATCTTCTAGTTTTTTGAACATAATTCTCATAGCTTTTTTAAAAAAGTCATTCTCTGTTAAACATAGAATTATCATATGCTCTAGCAATCTCACTTCTGGGTATATACACCAAAGAACTGAAAGCAGAGACTTCAACAGATATTTGTCCACCAGTGTTCATAGCAGCATTACTCCCAAGAGCCAAAAGGTGGAGGCAGCCCAAGGGTCCACTGACACCTGGATATGAATGGATAAACAAAATGTGGTACATACATATAATGGGATATTATTCAGTCTTAAAAAGGAAGGAAATGATGATGCATGCTACAATACAGATGAACCTTGAAGGTACATTATGTTAAGTGAAATAAACCAGTCAGTCACAAAAGAACAAATATTGTATGATTCCACTTACATGAGATACCTAGAGTAGTCAAACTCATGGAGACTGAACATAGAATGGAGGTTATCAGGGGCTGTGGGGAGGGAGAAATGGGGAATTACTGTTTAAGGGTACAGATTTTCTGTTTGAGAAGATGAAAAGTTCTGAAGATGCAGTGTTGATGGTTGCACGACATTGACTTTACTTAGGGCCACTGAACTGTATGCTTAAAAAATGCTTAAAAAGGTAAATTTTATGTTATGTATATTTTACCCAAGTAAAAATAAAAAAAAATTAAAGTCCCAGTCTGATAATTCCAAAATTTGAATGACTTATTGTCTCTGCTTCTCTTGATGTTTAGTTAGTTTGTCTTTTTTATTCTAAGGCCCTGTAACTTTTTATTGAGTAGAGGACACTGTGCATAAACATTGAAAAGCCCCTGGATGATGGTGTTTTCCTCCAAAGATGGAAACATTTTTTTCTCAGCAAGCAAACAGATTACAGAAAATACCTTCATTTTGCTGAGGGTGGGTTTTAGGCTTCGTTAGGGAGAATTTACTTATGCTTTGTCCCTATTCCTGAGGCAGAGCTCTCACTCTTGGGAGTGGACATTCTGGGCCTCAACTGAAGACCTGGGGTGCTTACAGAGCCCTTCCACCTGGCTGGACTTGAACTCCAACCCTTGCCTCCTCAGCCTCAAGGGGCTACTGAAGTCTCTGCTCATCTCGATAGCTTTCCAACTGCTGGAGTTTTTCCCCCTAGGTTTCTTGGAGTTTCCTCCTGCTCATATGTGGCTCAAGAGTTGGCAAATGCCTCAAGGGGAAATTGCATATAGATCTTTGGGCTCTCTTCTCAGCAATTTCCCTCTTCACCAGGATCTTTACTCCTCAGGTCTCAGCCATTTGGCATCCCTGAACACCAACCTACAACTCCCTCCTCAGCCCAGACGTGGCTTTGACTCTTTCCCCCAACACTTCCCACAAGACTTAGCAAAGCCTTTAAGTAAAAATCCTGGGTGAATGTGGAACTTACTTCTCTACGCTTCCTTCCCTCAGGTCTTGTAGCCTCTCATCAGTTCTGCCGTAGCTCTACAATGCCTTCAAAAGTAGTTTTGTGTATTTTGCCTATTGTTTACTGTTATTTTCAGCAGGAGGGTTCTCCTGATGCAAGCTACTCTGTGGTGTCTGAAACCAAGAGTCTCTATAATATTGTCTTTCAAAATCCTAACTCAAACTGCCTCTTATTTCACTTTAAATGTTCTTTTGCTTTTACTTATTTCATTTTTTAATCGACTGGAGTATTTGGGTTTTATGTACACAGTTTTTGTCCCTCTGCTTATTAAACTCTAGACAGGAAGTGCTTTAAGGAGAACAGTAGTGAAGACAGAACACATTCAAAGCATGGAAGCAGACAGTTTGTATTTCACTTTGGTCTTCCTAAGCCTTCACAGTTTCCCTAATTAGACCCTCTCAGTGCCATTCAGCATCATTTGCCAGCGGCGAAGTGCCCGAATCTAAAAACTACATGCCAAAATTTAATGCCTCACCTTCAGACACCTGCGTGGCCATGAAAATTATTCTATTGTATTCCTGAGATTGTTATAAAGATGTTACCCTTCTGGGGTTATAGATAAATTATCATGTTTAGAATCTTGGTCTTAATGATACCATGGGTGTCGTAAATTTTCTTACTATCTGTTTTGATTTGATTATACATTTTTAAATATTAATATGTCCAGAATAGCTAAGTATATGAAACTAGTAATTATTCAATTAAATTCAGCAAACACAAATTGGGTGATGATTATATATGATTATATACAAAGAACTATGTGATACACTATAGGAGCCCCAAATATTATTTCATCAGAGTTCTACATATTTACATAACTATGAATAGTTACGAGTAATTGGCTACAATATAAGGTACTAAAAATAAAACTAGCTAACAATCATTATGTGTATATTTATATTCCATATATTAATACTGAGTGCTAGCAACACAATAAAATAAGTATGGTTATTGTCTCCATATTACAAATGAGAAAACTGAAGTACAATGAGGTTAAATAATTTGTCCAAGGTCCCAAAACTTCCAAGTGGAATTCTAATCCAGGTCTCTTTGAACCCCAAGGTAAGTGTTGTTACAGAGGAACAAAGTGCTATAAGAGAACAGAAGGAGGAAATTATTTCCCCTTTGGATGATGAGGGAAGGCATCAAAGAGAAAACAGCATACGAGCTGGGCATCTTTGGATGACCGGAATTTCCACAGGTGGATAAAAGGGAAAGGACATTCTTGGCTAATGAATATGTGTGAGAAATATGCACAGACAAATTGTTTCAGGAGTTATAATTGTGCCAGAAGGGCTGGAACATAAGAGGCATGTAATGATAGTGGGTGAGATAAAGCCTGAAACATTCAAACCAGAGGGTAAAAATTTTTCCAACACTTACTGGCAAAATTTTATCATCATATAATATCTATGGATCAGGAACCTGTGCATTGCTTAGCTAGGTGCCTCTGGAATGCCAAACACTAGAAAGTTATTGAAATTTCTTCTTACTCATCACCCACATCCATTGTCAAATCATTGTAAAGAGTTTAATTATCAGCATTTTTTCTCTCTAATGAAGTAATATCTTACCTTACACTTGTCAGTATCTCAGATTCTGTGGAAAAAGATAGAAGGTCTGTGGCAGGCTCTGGGAGAACAGTTTGAAAACAGGGTTGTAGACAGAGCCAGTTCATGGGGTTAAGGGGTAAACAGGTAGTTAAGAAACATTTTTGAAATGTAACACATATTTTATTTTACACATGAAGCCAGGTCTCTAGTTATCAATATGTCTTATTGCTTAATGAGTTATATTGCAACATTCTTTTAATTTTGATTCCTTTACAAATAGTGTCAATCTCTGGAAATTTTATTATTTGAATTTCAAAATGTATGTTGACCTGTTCACTGAAAATGTATAGAATACAAAATGGTACTTCTCCTTTTGGTTCTTGATTCTTCTAATATAGGAGAGGTTTTATGTAAAAAAAATTTAAAAAACTAATTCATTTAACAATAAACTCACAACCTCTCTTTAAGAGTTTCCAAAATGTATCTAACACTTTATCTCATTTTTTGTCATCACTGAGACTGTGACTATGTTAGATTTTTTGGTATCTTGTTTTCCTCTGAGTTCCACACAATGAGCTGTTTATCAGCAGGAAAACCAAGCCACTGTATAAGGCTGGCATTTTCTCTAGGATTAGGTGACTATATCTTTACATACATTGTGATCATATGATGCTTCTTCACTCCCATCTGACAATTCATCCAAGGAACGTTGGTTAAATGCCTTATTTCATGTTTCATGAGGTTTTCCTGGTTATTACTAAATTCAACTTCAGTTAGGCCAAGACTCTAACAGGTGAAATAACCGAGTTAAGTTCACTCAGTGAGTCTTAACCTCACACTGTGTCTGGTAACTACTCTTTGGAGATGATTCTGTCCTAAGGACCACAGGTCCAAACCTTGGTCTCATAGAATGATGGTGCCACATGTCAGAAGACATGTGTAATCTAATTTCATTTGCCTAAGACCTTTTTTAAACAAACAAACAAACAAACTAAACCTCTGCATTCTTTGAGTATTGATATCAAGATCAATTTTTCTGGGGATCCCACTAAACCCCTTTCTGCTGAAGTTTTCTTGTACATAGACCAGAAAAGTTGTCAGCAGTCATGCCATCCCTTTCCTTCTTCCCTAGATGAAATTCAGCCAACTGAGATGAGATATGTACAAGGCTTTGAACCCAAAGAGGGAATGGTGTAAATGTGAGGTGCTGCTTCTGTGATTGCTAGTACCACTCTTTTGTTATTGACAAAATAGGCAGCATATTAAAAGATGAGGAAGACACTGGATGAATCCCAGCCCCAACAAATACAGCTGTGGAATGTTGGGCAAGTCCCTTAACAACCCTTACTTGTTTCTTCACCAGAAAACTAGAACTGTACTCCTCATCCTCCTACCTGCTAGGGCTCTTATGAGTATCAAGGAGGTCATATACATGGACACGTTTCACAAACGATAAAGGACCAGAATGGTAACAGTGGTTTTGAATCTAATGACCATCATAACAATACTGTCAGAATCTTCTCCCTTCCTCCAATTCCAAACCACCTGGAAGACCAGCGGGAAAGGCAAAGCTAAAATCATGAAACCAGCCCAAAAATTCATGAAGTCATTGATGAAAATAAACTATGAACTCTTTTAACCTTGTCTACGTCAAATCATGCCTAAGTTTTTTTCTACAATAAGATAATCAGGTATGGGTAGAAGAGTGCTTTTAGGAAGTTCTCTTTTTCCATTTGATTTGAAAATGTTCGGTTTTAACGACCACTAGAAAAAGAATTTTGGTTTTGGTAAAGCCATACTTTCTCTGTAATGTGACTGTACTTCTAGCCCATAAGAAGGCCAGAATAAATTAAAAGTAAGGCCTAAAAATATTTCCAGTGGGATATCCCCCATTGGCTATGGAATCCCACCTTTCCCCTCCACCTTGATTAACACTCCACAAACATGGGGAATATCTGCTCAGGCTCTGAATTGAGACACCAACCCTCCTAGAAGACAACAATTTCCACTCAAACAACTGGTCCTCCTTGCCTTCTTGTCAGCACCACACGCTGAGGGAGGCTGTGTTTGGTCTCTTAATCAGGCCTTGCTGACGGGCTGACATCACTGCAAACGTTTTCACTTACTCTTTGGCAACAGTTAAATCCTTGCCAAAGGCCAGTCAGTAAGTCGGAAAGTGTTGTGAGAGAGAGGCTGGGGGAGTCGGAGTGTGAGTGTCAGCTAGCAGTCTGTGGTGATGACAGCAGGGAGATCTAGGTGCTGAAACCATTTTAAAGGTCACTCTGTGGCAGAACAAAAGACCTCTGATTTAGAAAAGGAAACAGAACTCTGGGCCATTGAAGCCCTGGGATGCCGCCCTCTGAGCACTCTGCAAATTCATCATCTGCTCCCTGATTGTGAAGACTGGGGAGGAACTGTTACTTTACAACCCAGTACAGCTTCTGCCAGCAACTGTGTGGCTTAGCAGTGGTACAGAATAATCTGGTAAGATAGAAATGCCAAATAATGTATCCATGGTCCAACTGCCTGTTGTTTTTAAAACTATTGAAATAAGTCACTGCCTGTTCTTCTTCGGTATTCTTTCTCCTTACCCTTCATCCTTTAATTTTCAAACTTGAATTGCTAAATAATCTAAATTTAAAGTTCTTAGCTACATAGCATAATGTTTCTGTAAAAAGAGATTACATATACTTGATGACTAAAAATTTATGAATATTCATATGTGGAAGCTAAAAAAGTTGATCTAATAGAAGCACAGAGTAGAATAATGGTTACTAGAGGCTGGGAAATGTAGTGAGAAGGGGAGAACGGTTAGAGGTGGATTAAAGGGCTGGGTGCAGTAGCTCACACCTGTAATCCCAGCACTTTGGGAGGCCGAGACAGATGGATCATTTGAGGTCAGGAGTTTGAGACCAGCTTGGCCAACATAGTGAAATCCTGTCTCTACTAAAGATATAAAAAATTAGCTGAGTGTGGTGGCGGCCACCTGTAATGCCAGCTACTCTGAGGCAGGAGAATTGCTTGAACCGGGGTGGGGGTGGGGGTGGAGGTTGCAGTGAGCTGAGATTGTGCCACTGCACTCCAGCCTGGGTGAGAGAGCTTTTTTTATTTATTTTTACTTTTATTTTATTTTATTTTTAAAAAAAGAGGTGGGTTAATGGGCACAAAATTACAGCTAAGTGGGATGAAAAATTCTAGTGCTCCATAGCACTGTAGGATGACTATAGCTAACAATAATATATTCTATACTTTCAGATAGCTAGGAGAGATGTTTAATGTTTCTAATACAAGAAATGATAAATGTTTGAGGTGATGGATCTGTTAATTACTTTGATTTCATCACCATACATTGCATGTATTGAAGTGTCCCTACATACCCCATAAATCTGTACAACTATGTCAATTTAAAAAATCAATTAAAATGTATGAGTATGATATACTAAAGTTAACAAACCATTTTTAAAAGAAACACAGATTATTTAAGAATAATAGTAGTATGTCCATGCCTGAATTAAGATAATCTCTTCTCACATTTTCTTTCCAAATCAGGAGAAGACTTGGAAGAAGAAAATGTCTTCAGCCTATGGAAGCCATATTCTAGACCTAGGTCCATTGCTTTTAAGGCATGCCAGATAAATTTGCTATAGTTTATTCTCCAAATTCTAACTTATTCTATTACTTTTTTCTTGTCCCCCAACCCCCAACCCCTTTTTTTCTAGCTAAAGAGGAAACTTGCTGCAACATCATTAAAAAGCCCAGGCAGGCCATGGCTGAACTCTGGCAGTGTGGGAGCAAGAGCGGCTGGGACTCTCTGCTTTCCTTGTCATCACCACATAAAAACAAGGGAGCACTCGAGGGAGGTCCAGTGGGTACCAGGAAGGGCCTCTTTGCTAAAACAAAAAGAAGGGGAGTGAAGGCAGTCAAGGCACCACTCACGGAACTCATCACAGAAGTCACAGTGCACATTTGGTGCCTACCATAAAAGGAACTTGGGCAAACCAGGCTTACAAACTCAATCAACACCCAATAATCGACACAAAATGAATCTGCATGGCAGATTATCTGCTCAGGGGTCTGAGATGTAGATCTCATCTGAGCGAAGACTCAGCCAGATGTGAACTCCACCGGATCTGTAGTCTGATAAAAGCAACCAGCCCCAGGATCAGGCAACAGTGATGTCAGAACCATTCACTGCATTCCAGCTTGGCAATGCTGGGTGGATGAATTGGTCTCTGTTAGATGGTGCAGGAGAGTTGAGAGGGGAGAGAAAAAGCAGCAGCAACTACTGGGCTTCATGAAGTTGGAATTTTGTTAAGTTGGAAGTTTAGGAGGAGGATGATGATTGGTCAAATAATTAGATTCATGGCTGTGGGAAGAGTCAGCTCTTCCATTGTTTCTTCAAACCAATATCCCCCCACCCACACTTCCACATGAGGGTGAGGGACGGTTTCCAGAGACTACTTTGCTCAGGGGGTTTTCTACAGGGACAGGTCTTTCTATTTTCAGACAGCCTATTTTCATGGCTTTAAAACCACCCAGCCATGTTAGACTAGGTAAACCACTTTTTGAAAAGTAGACCCACTAAGACACTGAATTGAGCCAAACACCTTGGAGTCCACTGATAAAAAGAAAATGTCCAAATCTTACTAAGTTGTAGAGCTGTGGGCATCACACTTCCTTTGTCTGTGTCACAAGCCACTCATTCCCCTTCTTAATGAAAACAAGAGGGAGTGAGTATACCTCCTGGGGCTGTGCCATTTGTGCCGTCTGAAAGGCACTTAAATGAGTGGCACATTATCTCACACATCTGGAGTTTACCAAATTAGCCAATTATGCTCGAGCTCATAAAACGAGGCCTTAAATGTCATTTAACTAGAAAATATTATAATCACCAAGTGGTCTGATTGTAAGATGATACCTGGGGCAGCATCAGTGGTTACAGAAAACAAATCGTGAAACTAAACACAGTTCAAATGCCCCCCAAATGCAACCACATATTTTCTACAGCAATACTTTCTGAAGAATACCATATTTCTGAAGGCACCAGCAATCAACATGTTTCTCATTTGAAGCTAAGCTTAATCTGACCTAGTTGTTTCCTAGTTATTTGCCTTGAGCAAACCAATGCCCAAGAATTTTTCACATAAGAGAGCTAAGGAACAAACAGGATGAAAATCGACTGACTGAAAACCATGAACTTATCAGAAATACAGAGCTAATTATAAAGGATGGGGCAATGATTAGATTGAGTCTTGAGTTGCCAGAGCTTTGTAGTGCTGCCTCAGAATCACCAAGATTTGCTTGACTGAACATATACTAGTCTCAGAGCTTTCATACATTACTTGAAGGAGGATATAAAGCTGCTTTAAGTCGCTGTGTGATTTGAGGCTAGGAATATCAAAGACTTCAGAATAGCCATTTAAAGATTAGCCATTCACAGCCATTATTTCCATATTATCTTCTTTCCAGCCAATAAATAACAAAATTTGATCCTCAGTGGAAGATCAAATACAGTCTAACGGAGAAACCATGGTTATACCTGCGTGGCTTTGGGTAAGTTATTTAACTTCAGTTACCTTATACAAAACATGGGCATGAGGATTCTATGTTGTGTTAATAGTGCTGTGTTGATAAAAATTTATGCAAAAAAATTCTAGCATAGTTCATGGTACACTGAAGAAAATAAATATTAGTTTTATGTCTTTCTCTACCTACATCACCAGAGTATCTTGAGTTCTGTTTAACTCCTATTTTTGCCTTATTTCAGGAAGAATGGCCATTCAAGCACTTTCAGAGGAGGCAGAGTGGTAGATGGGAAGACTGTTCTGGGTTTACAACGACATAATGTATAGTCCCCTCACCCACCTGTGAACATTTCAATCACTCTTTTTAAAGGAATAACAAGTACAAAAGAGACTAGGCCAACTTTCATAAGATGCTCTGAGATAAAGGGGAAGTGAGGCGTGATGCATGGACACATGGTAAATAGAGATATCTGCCACTGTTTGCCAGGTGAGTTTACAAAACCAACGCTATTGGTTTTAAAGGCAGCTAATTAACTAGGCTGTATCTTTATGTCTTCTGGGCTCACTTTATTACAGTAGATGGACCTATTTATTTCTGTCAAACCAGACACAGATGAAAAGTTGTGGTGATGATGAAGGTACTCTCAACAGTGATATTTCTTTACTGCTTCATTTTCTATGAGTTCTCTCTTCTGTGTTACAGAAAACAGTGTCTTTTGTAAAAACTAGCTAAGTATGAGGATTCCATATAATAGAAATCCTTACTTGGAGTTTGGAATGCCTCTCTTTTTAAGCTTTAATCTCACTTCTGTAAAGCTGTGTTGAAAAGCCATGTCTTTCATAAGACATGGTTTTTATTAAAAAGTACAATGTATTTACGCTTTTTAAGAAGAAAAAAATGTTAGAAACAGTAAAGGGATTTGGACTCATGTGGTTGAGCTATTGTCTCTTGAAAGCAAGTGAATTCTGAGCAGAGAGGTGAGGAATTGCATCTCTAAGAATGGTGGAGAGAACCATTTCATTTTCTTAATGCTGGGGAAATGGGAGATCTGTGCAGATTTTAAGTGTATTAACAGACTTTAATGTTTTTAAATAAAAGAAAAGGACAAGCTCTCAAAACCTTTAACTTAGAGGAGATAGGAAAAACCAGGAGAGGCGAATTCTCCTAATTATGTCAACAGTCAAAATTGACTAGTGCTATCTTCCCTGCAGGCCACAGGCCAAACTGGCCTCTATGCACCTGAGTAGGAAAGACATCTTTGAAAACGGAGTGACTCTAAAAACTAAATAAGAAAGTCAAAAGAACTTCTTTAACTAGGGAAAAAAATTAACACAACATGTGTTAAAAGGCTTTTGTCTTCTTTTCTTCTCTTTCGTTTCTTTTTTTGTTTTTTCTTTCGTTTAACCCAGGGCTATGAAATGCTCTTGCTCTGTATAAAAAATAACAGGGAGCTTTTTATTTTGTATTTTAAAAAATATTTCCATCTCTAAGACTAGAGCTCTTTGGCTTTTGGCTAACAGCATGTCCAGATCTAAAGGCATCACAGGAAGAATGTCAATTTGCTCTAGAAGCAATTATACATACAGTATAGAAAAAGGCCAATTCCACTATGTAAGGACCACACATACTGTATGTTTGTTATATTATTTGATATCAAAGCAGAAGCAGAAACATCAAATTCTTCCCAAAACACACATGAATTGAAGATCTTGGCTAAGGAACTGCCACGTTCAATTCAGGGATATCTGTTACAGCTTACAGATCTCAGTAATGCTGACATTACTGTTTTGCAGGAAAGGGATACTTTCATTGGCTATGTAATAAACTATGATTTTCTTAACTTTCTTGTCATAATATAAAGGTTTATATTATCAACGTAGGGCATTTAGGTACCACATCACCAGAGTAATAGCTAAGAACTTGTTGACTTTTGTCACTAGGTGACCTCAAAATATTTAATCAAGCATCAAGATCATTATCATAACTTCAGAGAGGTTAGTCTATAGAAGAGTTATCATCTCTGTTTCATTTTGCATCATTATGATGTTGGTGTGATGACTTCCATTCATTTGTTTAGCATACTTACTGAGTGTCTCTACTCAGTGCCAGACACAAGTATAAGGAATACAGAGCTAATTGGGACATGACCCTTAGGAAATATATTCTTGGGATGGGAAAGGGGAGATAGAAAATGAGCTTCACAAACCAGGATGGTGCGTGCTATATTTTATACAGCATATGTAGAGAAAGAAAAGAGTGGGGGAAATAATTCAGCATATGATAGAGAAAAGAGTGGGGGAAATAATTCAGCATATGATAGAGAAAAGAGGGTCAGGGAGGGTGAAATATGAAGTCACTTTTAAATGAAGAGGGATAGTTTCTAGGGGAGGTTTGGGGATAGGGTCCTTCAGGAATAAGGAAGAGCATGGAAAAGCCCTGAGCATGTGAGAGACCAGAGTGTGGCAAACCATCTGCTATTCCTAGAGCAGATCTGAGTGTGAAGAAGGATCATGCCACAAAAGCTCTGCACACCATGACAAGAAGCTTGAACTCCATACCATGAGGTATATTTTTATATATTTCCCAAATACTCTGAAGATAAAATAATTAAAACAGTATGATGCTGATATAGCTACAGATAGATGAATGAGTGGAACAGAATAGGAAATGGAGAATCAAAATGGAAAATTAGAGGGTATATGTGTAGAAGTTTAATATGTGAAAAAGGCAGCAGCATTGGCTGGGTGTGGTGGCTCACACCTGTAATCCTAGCACTTTGGGAGGCCGAGGAGGGTGGATCACTTGAGGTCAGGAGTTTGAGACCAGCCTGGCCAACACGGTGAGGCCCCGTCTCTACTAAAAATAAAATAACTAGCCAGGTGTGGTGGTGGGCACCTGTAATCCCAGCTATTTTGGGAGGCTAAGGCAGGAGAATTGCTTGAATCCAGGAGGCAGAGGTTGCAGTGAGCAGAGATTGTGCCATTGCACTCCAGCCTGCGTAACAGAGTGAGAGTCCGTCTCAAAAAAAACCCCCAAAGCAAAACAAAACAAAAAAAGGCAGCATTTCCAATTAGTGAGTAAAGGATAGATTTTTCAGCAAGTGGTGTTTGGACAACTGACTGACCATTTCAAAATGAAATTTAATTTCTATATACCACACTGCACATTAAAAAATTATCAGCTGGATTAAAAATTGTAATGTAAAAAACTACCAGAAGAAATGTTTATAATCTTGGGGTTAGAGAATTTTTTTTAATGTGACATCATTAGATATCAGGATGGAAAAGATAGATAATACAAAATCAAAATCTTTAAAAATCACAAATTTCTGAAAGGTATAAGACACTATAGTTGTAAGACAAATGACAAGTTGGAAAAATTGTTTACAACCTACATAATAGTCAAAGGATTAGTATCTATAATACATAATAAGTACCTACAAATTAAAAAATCTAATCTAAGAGAAATGGGTAAAGGACACAAAATAGGCAATTCACAAAAGAAATGATACCTAATGATATGAAAGTATGCTCAATTCCAGTAACATTCAAAGGAATACACTTAGGACAGTTGTGTTTTTCATCTGTCAGATGGTAAACAGGAGATACATGTCAGTGACAGATATATCAAATAATGATTTATAATGTATTTGAGAGTGTGTGAAGAAATAAGAACTTTCAAATCTTAAGGGTATAAAATCAGTACATACTTTTTGGAAGGTAAGTTTGTCAACATCTGTTATAGAAAACATGCATATCATTTGATCCTGTAAGTCCATAGCTAGCAATGTACTTTACTGTACCAATATATTAAAACTATAAAAATATATAAAAGTTATGTAAATATATATCAATATATACTATATATTAAAATATATAGATACACACAAATGTGCAAAGATAGTATGAAAATATTTATTGCACTATTGTTTATAATAGCAAGAATTTGGAAGCAACCTAAAGGTCTACCATAGAGATTAATTTAATAAATTGCAACATATAGATAAAATAAATTACTATGTTGTTAAAGAGAATATACTGGCATGGAAAGATACCCATAATACAAGTTTAACTGAAATAAATGATTAGCAGAATAGTATTTATAGTGCAACCTGGCAAGACAGGTAGTGATCTACAGCAGTTAAGAGCGTGGGCTTTAGGGTCAAGCAGACCTAGATTTGATTCCCAGCTCCACTACTCACCAGAAATGTGAAACTTACTAACTTCTCTGAGTCTTCTTTATCTGTCCAACTGGAATGGAACCCAACAGAACCTACATCATAAAGTTGTAAGAAGAATCCCTACTACATAATAGAAGCTAAATATATACTAATTATTATTACTGTTACATTTTTGAAAGATTATTATTTTCAATGAATTTTCTTATAAAAACAATTTCCAAAAGCAAATATAATATTCTTTGAAAAATTATACTGGATAGTTAAAAAAATTTTTTTTATTATACTTCAAATTCTAGCATACATGTGCAGAACGTGCAGGTTTGTTACACATGCCATGGTGGTTTGCTGCACCCATCAGCCAGTCATCTACATTAGGTATTTCTCCTAATGCTATCCCTCCCCTAGCCCCTCGCTTCCAACAGACACACGCACACATATGTTTACTGGATATGGTTTTTAACTGAATCTACACATTGAAGATAATTTTAGCCTATGTAAACAAATATTCTATTTATTTGATCATTTAATAGATCAGATAATTAATCGGACGCATCAATTTTTTTTTTTCTTAAAGACAGTCTTGCTGTCACCCAGGCCGGAGTGCAGTGGCGCAATCCTAACTCACTGCAACTTCCACCTCTCAGGCTCAAGCAATCCTCCCACCTAAGCCTCCCAAGCAGCTGGAACTACAGGTGTGAGTCACTGCTCCCAGCCTTGATGCATCAATTTTTGATACAGATCTGTTTTATTTGTATATTCATAAACTAGAGTGTGAACGGGGAATGAATTTGGACATTGTATTACAGTACCAAAATAAAGAACTATTGAGTTTAGATAGCCTCAGTTACAGAAACTTTAAACAGCCCTAGTGGCATAAATTAAGATTTGTCCTCTAGTCATTAAACTAGTTATTAATATCTTCTTGTGGTAGTTTCCATTATATATATATCCAGTTTTCAATCACATTATTAGGAAAAACATAACAAAGTAGAAAGGTACCCTTTTAAGTATTTTGCCCCTAGTAAGACTAGGAAAATAAACCATTCGAAATGAGAAAACATGTTAAGTAGAAACATATTAAAATGGCTATATGAAGAATATACATACCCTTCCATTTGGAAAATCATTCGAAAGCTGTCTACCAAGCTTTTATAACTGTTTGGATCGGTTGCACATCTCTGAATCTGAAACCTAGAAGCAAAATCAAACCAAAAATTCTAAGTTAAAGATTTTGCCAAATGGCTTTTCTCATTTTTTAAAGTCTTAGAAACTCAGCTTTTCAGATTAATCTAGAATATTCTGCTTTGGTATGGATTTTATTCATTTATTAGCCTTATATAATCTTTACCTTATTTTCATAGTCTTTAAAATTACATTTCTCTGTAATTTAATGAAATCTATAGAAAAAAAATGTATTTTCATCTATTTCTTAGCCAGGCAGATTTGCCCTGAGGCATTTGTGCTTTTTCCTTTTGTGAAGAGCATACACAGATATCGTAGATTGTTTTAATGTAGAATTCAGAATTCTGAAGATGCATATGAAAAAAGTCAGTAGTGCTATTTCTTATAAGTCTTCCTTGATGGCAATTTAGTATGAAGGTTAAAAATACAGAGTAGCCTGACTAATATTCAGAATCTACAAGGAACTGAAACAAATTTACAAGAAAATACCAAACAACCCCATCAAAAAGTGGGCAAAGGATACGAACAGACACTTCTCAAAAGAAGACATTTAAGCGGCCAACAAACATGAAAAAATCCTCATCATCACTAGTCAATAGAGAAATGCAAATCAAAACCACAATGAGATACCATTTTATGCTACTTAGAATGGCAACTAATAAAAAGTCAGCAAACAACAGATGCTGGCGAGACTGTGGAGAAATAGGAACGCTTTTACACTGTTGGTGGGAGTGTAAATTAGTTCAACCATTGTGGAAGACAGTGTGGCGATTCCTCAAGGATCTAGAACCAGAAATACCATTTGACCCAGCAATCCCATTACCGGGTATATACCCAAAGGATTAGAAATCATTCTACTATAAAGACACATGCACTTGTGTGTTTATTGCAGCACTATTTACAATAGCAAAGACTTGGAACCAACCCAAATGCCCATCAATGATAGACTGGATTAAGAAAATGTGGCACATATACACCATGGAATACTATGCAGCAATAAAAAAGAATGAGTTCACGTCCTTTGCAGGGACACGGATTAAGCTGGAAGCCATCATTCTCAGCAAACTAACACAGGAACAGAAAACCAAACACTGCATGTTCTCACTCATAAGTGGGAGTTGAACAACGAGAACACATGGACACAGGGAGGAAAACATCACACACCAGGGCCAGTTGGCGGCTGTGGGGAAAGGGGAGAGAAAGCATTAGGACAAATAACTAATGAATGTGGGGCTTAAAACCTGTAAGACGGGTTGATAGGTGCAGCAAACCACCATGGTGCACGTGTACCTATGCAACAAATCTGCACGTTCTGCATATGTATCCTGGAACTTAAAGTAAAAAAAAAAAATACAGAGTAGCTAATAGGGCCTAATATTAATCCTGATTGTAAATTTGGAATTCATTCTGGCAGGCAGGAGTCTGCATTTGAAGCAAGAGGTGGGGTTGTATATTGAGGTTGTATTACTCTACAGTTTACTATCGCTACTCGGTGATGGAACAAGGTTGATCATTCTGGGTAGTTCAGGCTACCCGGATCTTCACAGAAGCATAGTGCCCTGCATATAATTAGAGCTCAATAAACATGTGTCCCATTTTTGAAAGGTAAGTTCTTTTTTCTTCTTTTTGCATATGATCATGCATCCCTGAACTCTTAGCCCTCCAAATGTGGAAGTTTCCAGTACTAGGGTCTTATCTTTTTGTTTTGTATTTGCTCTGGAGTTTGTTTCTAAAGAGGTTTATAACAAGTACTCTCATTTCTCCCGTACCTGAGTTGTTTTCTATACTTTGGGTTCTTTACCCTGCCTATTCCTTGTGCTTTACTTTATTGTTCCTGTTGTAAGTTAGGGCTCTTGTTCCTTCTGTGGGAGGGAATTCCCTCCACAATTTTACCTGCTTTTTAAAAAGAACTTTTCAAAACACTTCTGATATTATTTAGTTCAAAAATGCTTTTCTTAGATTGTTGGCTTGATGATATGAACGCAACGTCTACTTCTAGAAATAATATATTTTATAGTTCTAGGCCTCACAGAATTATGCTACAAACTGACACATATCAGACAGAAGAATGAGTGTACTGCTTTGACTGAAGCAGTTGGGCATATGGGCAGAGTGAGTGTGGTATAATACTGAAAAGCAAAGCAAGGCTGGAATTACATTTAGTTTTGTAAAGTGGAAAGTTGCTAGATGTGTTTGTGAAGAAGTACTGAACAGTACTGTGAAGAATTTTGTGAACAGTACTGTTCAGAGAAGTGGGAGTTCAGTCTTCCAGCAGAGTTCTTTGCAATAAAAATCTCTAAATGAGTATCTATTGACCAACTGGATGGATTAGAAAGGGAGTATGGCAGGGAGAACAGTTAGGAAGGAGATACAATAGACTGGGTGAGAAATAATGGTGCTAGAATATAAATAAAGGTGACAGGAATACAACGAAAGGGGCAAGCTTGTTGGGTAGTCCTTTTTCTCCTTAATTTTTAAAAATGACACATTTAACATATTCTCCTCTTTTTTTTTTTTTTTTTTGAGACAGGGTCTTGCTCTGTCCCCAGGGTGGAGTGCAGTGGTGCCATCACAGCTCATTGCATCTTCAAACTCCTAGGCTCAACCTCAAGGGATCTTCCCACCTCAGCCTCCCGAGCTGGGACTACAGGCATGCACCATCATGCCTAGCTAATTTTTAAAATTTTTTTCTGTAGAGGTGGCGTCTCCCCTTCTTGCCCAGGCTGGTATGGAACTTCTGGGCTCAAGCAATCCTCCCGCCTCGGTCTCCCAAAGTGCTGGGATTGCAGGCATGAGCCACTACCCCTAGACAACAAATCACTTTGAAACATACAGAGCAATTTCCAAAATACGACTTTGGTTCAGTTCAAATAAGAATCTTCATTTCTGTATTTGCATATTTGTAACCTATATTCATTGTAGAGTATAAAATCCTTTCTTACATCTAGTGGGAAAAACCAAGACTCTTCTCTAACTGTTCTTTAAAAAAATATTCAAAATAGTTTTATATATTATGAAAGTATTATATAAGCATAGATGCTTTTCATAATATCCGTAATAAGCTTTAATTAAGTTCATTTATCTCAGCAAATTTCTTTCTAGATGCATTTTCCCAAATTACCAAATATTTTCTTAATGTGTTCCATATGATTTAAGATGCTACAGGTTTTACAAAAACCCAGGGTATTACCTTCAACCTCAAGAAGCACAAGAAAGAAATATGAAAAAAAAACCTATATAAGAGGAAATATGCAAAATGTGAAGTAGCATCGGCACTGGGTCGTCCAGGTGTTCACGAGGGGAGCAATTACTGCTTTCTGCAGAAGTTCAGCAAGGGTTTCAGGGAAGAGAAGGATCTGAGCTGACTCCTCCTGGGAGTCAGAGAGTAAATCAGGAGGAAGCATTTCAGGTGGGGAGATGACAAGAACAATGGCCAGTGAGGGAAAGCTGTCCTTTCTAATGGGGAAGCGAACACCACAGCCGCCTACCCCGTTTCCTTTGGGAAAATGTTACAGTACTCTGCTTGCTGCAGGCACTTGGTTGCTCAGGGTGCATGGAGACCTGAAGTGGTTTGGTAGAAGGTATACAGGAGCTGAAGTCAAAGCCCAGTATAAAGCACTTGACCTTTTCTGCTGCTCAGCTCAGCACTTCGGCTACCTCAGGATGGCCATTGCACAATTGCATGGCCCTGGTTCCAGATGGGCCTGTGAACAAGTCAGCAGATGGGCCAGGCAAGCACGTCCTATGTCTAGATATTCAGCCTTAGCCTTTCCTTCCCTTCTGTGGTCAGAGACCTCAGCTTTGCCTATGATGTCTGCATGCTCAGGTAATTCCCAGGTGGGTTTTCTGACAGCTTGTGCAAACGTGTATACAGAGTATGATGATTTCACAAGTCTAGGCACTTCACTCACTAGTTGCAATTTCTTTTTCTCTTTGTAGAACCAAATAGATAATATTTCCAATCTATTGTTCATTCAGTTAATAAGAGTTCTTGAATACAACTATTTATTATACACTCTACTATTTGGGGGCTTACAAAGAAATAAGAAAAAGCCCTGCCTTGTAGAAGCTTTCAGTAAAGTGAAAGAGATGTGCAAATAGATGATTACCATACACAAAAACTATTGTTTAGAAATAGTGTTTCAGAGTATCAGATGCTAGCACCACTCTTATTGGGGATGATCGGCTATTTATGGGTGGGAAATAGTACTTTGCAGAGACAATGGAAGGGAAAGGGAGAGGGGAAATAAAGAAAGACTATCTTGGAGCTACATATCTGCAATTAAACTTTACCCACAGATTTTAGAACAGGCAACAAGAAAGGGCAGTCCATGAAATCCTTGAGGAGTGCTTCACTTAGGAGCTGACTGTCTGATGAGTGATGCTGAGTTAATTACAACCAGGAGCGGCAACATCAAAATAACATCACAGGAGCAGAGTCCATAAACTGTGTTGCATGAGCAATGCAAAAGGATGGGCAGGCATGGTAACTGCTAATGCCCCAGTAAAGCCTCCCTTCCATTCTTAACTATGCTAAAGCAGTGAGAGGCCCCATTACACAGGCTAAGGCAAGAACAGTTGTCTCTTCTACTGTGTATCTCACATACATCATGTCTACGCTTTGCAGAGAAAGTACTTGCAGTATTTGGTTGCAGTATTTTGTTCCATTACACATGACTTATTCTGATCACAGAGTTATCAGTTCTTCTCAGGAATCTGTTTCAAGTTGATATAATTATAGTGCATTTTGGTCAATCATGTAAAACAGCAATTTCCTTCTTCCTCTGCTCTACATTTCAGCAACTTAAAAGGTTTCTCTCTTGGATTGAAGCTTTACATCAGCATGTTCCAAGCTGCATTTTCTGCTAACAAATTCTCTCTACTTAGGGAGACAATTTTCCAGTTACATAATACAACCCCTTGTAAAATTACAAAGGCAAAGCCACACCACTCTTGATTGCATTTAGAAGACAGGGTTGGACTTCTCCATTGTCCTAATAAAAGCAGCTTAAATACATCTGGAATATCCATCTGAGTAACTTCTTTTATTAGGATGGAAACTTGCTGCCACACTGACAGAGTGGACAATGAAGTAACACTTGGGACATATTTGGTGCTTAACATCCGATCAGAATCACACACAACAGAAAGGAATGTGGCTCAAACCCTAGGCTGCATTGCAAAGGAGCCAGATACCTATCTGCCGCTGTTCTCATAGCCAAAGGACTGCACACACTTAACAAATGGGAGGAAACAGGCCCTGTCATTCACCAGCCACAATACTGAGTGAGTTACTGTGGTAGCCAACAGGGTAAGGAAGGGCTTTTCAATGTTCCCAAACAAATGTACAAGCATATTTTTTAAAGACAAAAAATGTTTGCACTAATTGAAGCATTTTTTTTTTCTAAATTAGCTGAGAATCATGACTGCAGCATTTCGCACTGTCTTCATTGTGTGCTCAGTGATATTCTATTTTAAACTAGTCTGTGACTCAGTCTCAGCATAGATATACCACTTCCACTTGTTTGAGTACTTCTGAAGATATGGCCAAAAGAAAGATATGCCTGTAAGAAATAAAATGGCTTTGCTGCCTTAAAAGTCTCAAGACAAGGGTGTTTGAAAATTATAAAATCTCAAATTTATGCAGTGCCTTTATTTCCAAAGTAATTTTACATCTATCATCTTCTTAACAAATACTGAACGAGTCTATTCTGGGGAGTGGAGGCTTTAGAAATATATTTGTACACTATACACTATATATGCATATATAGTATATATACATATATAACTTACATATTATACATTTGGTGCAAAAGTAATCGTGGTTTTGGCCATTACTTTTAATGGTGCCTAACACCCAATCTTTTAATGGCCAAAACCGCACTTACTTTTGCACCAACCTAATATAACTTATATATTCCTATCTTTATATGAATATGCAGTAATTGAATTGCAAAGGGTTGGATTGGGGTAGATGATAGGATTTGTCCTGAGGCTACATTTGCATAGCACACGACTCTGCTTTTTAGTTAGATCATATGATTATTTGGGGTGCTTTGGGAGAGGGAACTGATGGAGACTGGCAGTGGGAAGCCATTCCAAGCCACCCCTTTGGCACTGCCACCAATCCCTAAGCAAACCAGTGAGATAGGTAAAGAGCATTTCTGGCATCACCCCTGGATCACTTCTTAGTTCAGTAGTGTTCCTGTGCTCTCTTCTGCCTTCTCCCATTCAGCTCTGCTTTTGGAAACACATTCACATCCATCATTCATCCTTATTGTGACTTTTACTTTAATGTGCCATCCGTCAAAATGTGTCCTCTCTTATAGGGATTTCAGCTATCAAAAAGGAGATAAGAAGGTTTGTTTTTGTCTAGGATAAAAATGCAGGGGATCCTTACCACCAAAGCCAGCCCTAAGTGCCACTTTTTCCCCCTTCACTGGCAGTTTATGCCACAATGCACTAGGCTGTATAATAATTCCACCTTTGTGTCAAAGGAGGTGAAGCATTTTGAGGAACTGAGACACAGACTGGGAGCCACCGGTTATAATTCCAGTGCTGCCACTGACTCACAGTGTAAACTGGTGAGATTTGTAATTTAATCCCTCTGCCTTTTTCCTCAGCAATAAAATGGGACAATTTGATTTGAGGGAAAGCAGCACACAGACTTAATATTTGAGTTTGTTAGCCATAAGAGAGAATAGACCTTGCCTTTTGTATTCTAAAGCCCCCAAATTCCATCCTTTCTAGAGGTGGGAGACTGCTAGAAAAAGTTGTATACTGATAATAAGTGGTGATGAGCCTAACGAAACTCCCTGCAGAGATTTCCGTGAATGTGCTATGAACAAAGATTATTAGTAATTACCTGAATATTACACGTGTTCCTCAATAAACACTTGAGAAGCCCACTAATGAATCAGAGATTAACAGACTAAAGGTTTGCAATTACAGAACACATTAAAAGGATAACTGTAGGAAGATTAAATAAATAAAGATTTTAATTCACTGTAATTAGCCTTTCTTACTGAAATTAGATGTTGCTCCTACAGAGTATGTTTGCTTTCTTATGAGTTGGTTGAGCATAGCCAAAGTCAGACCAAACATGCAAAGACATGTCTGAGGTTTTGAAATTTATGTGTACACACCGACCTCACCAACTCTGGGCAAAGACCCTAGAAAGCACATCTTCAGAAGAATTCCCACCATGTATGTTTCTTTCCCATTTTCTGAAAAATCACCACCCAAGAGAAGAAATAGCACCTTCTTACAGGAGATAACCACTGGGGACTGTGCCTTTCTCATCCCTCCAGAAAGAGCACATCAGATGGTGGAAAGATGACACTGCTGGTTTTGAAGATAGTTTTTTTTAGCAAGTACTGGGCAGGGTGGGGTGGGGGATGCCTTCCTTCTAACATTTCTCTATGTCCATAGCTTTACTCTTCCAAGTTGAAGTATCTTGTAATGTGAATGGTAGTTTTTAAAAAAATTTAGCTGTGGGTATTTTGTTTTCACTTCAGATTAAATATAATAATAATCTACACTGGCTGGGTGTGGTGGCTCGCACCTGTAATCCCACCACTTTGGGAGGCCAAGGCAGCCGGATTACTTAAAGTCAGGAGTTCGAGACTAGCCTGGCCAACATGGTGAAACTCTATCTCTACTAAAAATACGAAAATTAGCCGGGCGTGGTGGCAGACACCTGTTATCCCAGCTACTCAGGAAGCTGAGGCAGGAGAATCAGTTGAACCCAGGACATGGAGGTTGCAGCGAGCAGAGATCGTGCCACTGCACTCCAGCCTGGACGACAGTGCGAGATTCTGTCTCAAAAACAAAACAAAACAAAACAAAACACCAAACCAAAACAAAACAAAAATAATAATAATAACTACGTAACATTGCCTTAGCACTGACTGAGCTCAACAGGGCCTCTAATCATGTTCGAAGGGTGTGGTTTATAGTTCCAGACATGAATTTTTGTCTCAGCATTTACTGAGCTCCCCAACTGTACAAGGAACAAGGTTAAGGGTTTGGGGGCCCCAAAGATGAATAACACCCAGGTCCTGCCCTATAGAAGAGAACAAACCAAGGTAGGGGACAGGAGATGTTAGTAATTAACTATAAAACAAGGTAGAATATGCATGTTAAATAGAGATTCTAGGAACTTGGTTCACCTGCAATTTAAGCATTGCCTTTGCTTGTTGCTTTCACATTCTAGGCCTGGCATCAATTAACACTCCAAAATAATGCTAACAAGTCCACCAGGGTCATGGAGTTTGGCTCTGCCCAAGCAGTGATCACTAACTGAAGTTCAAAATTAGTACTCATACATATTTGGCTGCTTATCAAATTATTCTAAAAATCTAGGGAAAGATAGATACTTTTCCTGATTGTTGCTTAGTCATTTCCACAGGACACAGAAACCTGTGGTTAAAATTAAGATGTTCTTTGACTGGTTAAAATCTATATGTCTTTATTAGGTGTAGGTGGGCAGAGCTATGCATTGGCTTAACATTTATATACTGTAAAGGAGACCAATAAGTGTCTCTATGTTATTATAAAACAGTTTATAATTTGAAAAAATATGTAACCTGGAGTGCTCAGTCAGCCTAGATAATTACCACAGATAAAGTAACAACATCTTGGCAAGGCCACAAAGACAAGGAAAATCTTCTGTGCTATGTAATTTTGAACATGTTTTTTAACAGAGCCTCAAAAATACTATCTCTCTGAAATATCAGATCAACCCTGATAGCCTGAATATACTTTAAGTAATTTCCTGTGATCCTAGACACATCTAATTGCAGTTCCTTTCACAAGCCAAGGAGATTTAAAGACTGATATTTTGTGTCTGTACACTTTACAATTCAGTCTTACAGTACACTTAAATATCCTATAAATAGTTCATCATTTTGTCAACCACAGATTTCACTACAATAAACATTTACTTGCATATCCTTCATGAATATGGTGAAATAGATCTAGTTTTGTACATCTTTCACAATTACAAGACATATGGTATTTCTAGTATTTAGAATCTATGTAAAATTTGACATTGCAAAATGAATTGTGATAAGAGAGTTTATTCCACCCTCTGGCACAAGTTCTTCTACTTGTTTATATTACTTATGGGATAATAACTAACTACACTGACAATATAATTCTAAAATTTATTTTAATGACAATATGCTAGTTAACAAGTCAGAGGCAAATGATCATGAGAGATTACAACCTAAATCTAATAATGTTAAACCACAAGTAATAAAATAGGCTAATTAACATAGCTGTATAATTAAAATGCTCCAAGCATAAACTGGTCTCCATTAAACAAAAGCTTGACTAGCATAACTTTCAATTATTTTGCTTTGTAAAATACATGTCACATCATAAAATTATGCTTAATATCAGATTATAGTGCTACCACTCTTTGAATACATATATGTATGTATGTATACACATATTTAAACTTCATATTTAATGCTAACAAATGACTTCACATCCACATGCTCTTACTACATTGTCCCACCTGCACTGACCTAGGCTGGCCACTACAGTGGTTAATTACCATGAAACCAACTCATATTTGGGAAATGGGGGAAGGATGAATCAAAGACTGGAAATAGAACCCATTGTCAAGGTAATGAGAATAGAGAGGATCACACCAACCTCAGCAATCAACTATTAAAATTACAAAATCAAGACAAGTATCGTAGTTTTCCTGCATTTTCCAAGTAATTACGGTTTTAAAAATTTGACGCCCCAACCCAAAAAAGTTACCTGTGCATCTTCTCTCTCCGATCCTCCCAAGCAACCCCCTTGAGTCCACAAGCTTTTCCTGTATTCACCAATCTACTGCCTAGTGAGTAAGAAGCACAAAACACCATCCTTACCTGTTGAACATTAGCTCATTGTTCAGGATGGGACTGAAGTTCTTGGTTTCTAGCTTCCATAATGGATTTCCAGAACAGGGAATTTGAATGTAGTTAAATCTGCTAGAACCCTCTCACTGTCCCTGGGAACTGAGCCACTCTACAGAAAGTATGCACTAGAGAACAGGAGCCAGGGGCCCAGTGAAGGAGTCTGTTGGAGAATATGGCGTCTCTGGAGACCTAATATACTATTCCATTTTATTTTAAGTGATCAAGTGTACCTACTGTATAGCTTATTGAGCACTGATATGGATGCTTTTCAATAATATCAAAGAAAGATGAAAAGAATGTGGGTTGCTTTGCATTCATAAGCATAATTGCTTATACTAGGAAAAAAATTGGGGGAATGGAGATACTAAGCTTGGCTAATAAGGAAGAAAATATGCTTATTCTTATCATAGTTGAGGAAAATTTCAAGGGAGGTTTTTATTTTTATATCAAGATTAACCTCACATGTTACCAAGATTTGGATTGGTTGTTACCAGTTTCAAATGAGGACCCAATTTTCAAAAGCATTTCATGGATGGATCGAACCCCAAACTGACAAACAAATGGTAGTCATACTGCTTACTTTTATATCACTTTCAATGTTGAGAGCATTGTAACATATATAATCTATCCCAGTGTGTCCTCTAGTTTCACAGTTTCCTTATGTTTGTAGGATTAAGATCGCTTAGAAAAGAAAAAGTGCCAGTTTGGAGCTAAAAGGGCACCGGGCTAGAGGAAGCAGTTTTCTGCTTCCAGTGGTACTGTACTAAAAATTTCATCTCTAGTTCAGTGAGTGACCAGTAAAAGTGCTTCTCTGAACTCAAGCTTTTTCATTAGTGAAAAGAGAATCACTTATATAGCCCCCAGCTGACAGTGAAGTTTATCTCTGGAATCCTAAAAAAAAAAAAAAAAAAAAAGCCCTCAAGGAACTGTGATGGGGAGAGAGAGCCAGCCTTCCAAGAAGCTGTGTCCATTTAATTTGATTCCTCACTGCCAGGGGTATAGACTATGAATGGAGAGAGATCTTCCCTTAGGGGAGAAGAGATGGACATCTTTGTAGGAGGTTTTAGATGCAGGTAGATGGACATCTTTGTAGGAGGTTTCAGATGCAGGTCTGTTTGGAGAGCAAAAGACATCACGTGATCTCATGTGATCTCTTTTAGCCTTCTCTTCATAGCTAACTGCATCGATACATTCTGGACAACAACAACAATAAAAGATCTGTCTATATTCATCTATTCCATGGGGCTTACTTATTTCCAAGTGTTTAAGTGCGTACTGAATGCCTGAGGAATATCGTCAAGGCCAGTATAAACTAATGAGCTCTGTAGCTTCTGTTTCTCTCTCTTTCATGATCTCTTCCTCTTTCTCTTTCTCTTAACTAAATGCCTTTAATAATAAACATTCCATTATGTCATGAACGCATACTCAAAAGAGATCCAGTGGAAGGGTGTGGTTTCATTATCATCAAATTACATGTTAAAAATAATTAAAAATCACTTAGAATACTGGCAACAGAAGAGATGCATGAATTAATCCGACCTAGTAGCAGGCCCAACTTGTCCATAGAACTTGAACAAGAAAACTATGCTTCACTAATTAACAAACATTTAATAAAACCAACTCATATGTTTGGCAGTTTTATAGGCAGGTGCTTTGCTGGGTTGCAAAAACACTACAAGACAGTCCAAGTCATTTAATTTTGTAAAATGCTGACTTTAGCTAGCAGCTTTTACGCAAATGTTAACTTTGCATTTTAAAACCTAATTACCTTTAGAAAATAACTCTCTGTTCTACAAATTGAGATCTAGATAATTGGGTGTCATGGGAAACCTAGGTTTCCTAAAATACTAAAAATTAAACATAATGCATGCTTTTAAAATGGGACCCAAGTTAGAAATCTACAGTGAATACATAAGAGTTAAATCTCCTCCTTTAAATTTCCGCTGGGGTGAATTGTCATATCTAATGAAACTCCCCTCATTCTCATGCAACGAATCCTCCTGAAATTTAAGTGAGCAGATTAGAGTTAAACATTTGGAATTTCAGTCACTCCCAAGTAATACCTTATTATTGAGTATAAAAGAGCAAAAAGTGTTCTCAAATAGTGGAGTTTACAGATAATTCAAGCCAACTAACATTCATTGAATGCCTGCTCTGTACTGGTCACCCAAGTGTTAAACTCTGCTTTACTAAGACACCAACTCTCTCACAGAAGTTTGCATTACAATACGAGACAAACATGTAGCATTCAAACATTAATAACAGGCAAGTCTTCCCAGGTTTGTCTTATTCTTGCTTGCCTCCTTGAATAGTACACAAGGAGCCCAATGTAGCATTTTTGGGGTCAGTGGGGACCTCTTGAATGGGAATTACCCTCCTGTTCTCCTGCAGTGTTCTCCTCCAGCTTGGCAAGGCTTGGGCAGGCGAGTCCCTAGACTAATTGCCTCACATTACTTTTCTGGTTGTTTCCCTGTATAGTTTTGTGCTGTTTTCTCTCTTTTTCCTATGCAGTGAGGTCTCATTTGTTGCCCATCAGTGTGTCTGCCTCTAAGCCACTCTCCCTGCTCTGGGAGCCTCCTCCCACTCTTTCTCAGCCACATTCCTCCTATGTGCTTTAATTCACCACTCAAAATCAGCAGTGGACTAAGGACCAGAGAACCTAGCTTGATTATGGCTCTTCGTGAGGGCCTGAGGGGCCAAACCATGAGTGAAGTCCATGAACATTAGTGTCTGGCCTTTGCAACATCAGTATGGGCTGTTCACAGATCATTTTTGTATGTGTTCTGTTTCTCATTTCCATGTCAGAGAGTTGAGGTTCAAAGATAAGTGGCCTCTGGCTAAGTTCGAACATTCCCTGAGAATGGGCTGTCCTGGGGGGAGGAGGAGTCATACGGCCTCCATTTTCCTGTAGCATTCTCTCCCATAGGCCCAGGTGGTCACTCTCAGGTATAGCCCCTCATGCGCCATCAATGGCTTGTGGCTATGTGCGCCTGTCCCTTCTGGATCCCTCTCCTCTAAGGGCTTAATAGTGTCCCAGAAGCCAAACAAGATCTAATCACAACTTTGGATGAGGATGGGGATGAGGACGAGGACGAGGACAGTGACAAAAAACACAGCTGACGCCAGCCTGAATGATTCCCTCTTCCTTTTGTTCCCCTGTTTGTTTTGTGGATTGTGTTTCTGTTTGCTTCTTCAAATAAAATGCCCTTCTGTGCTTTTTATGTTTGTTTCTCACTTCTGCATTATGGACTATGTGGTATGTGTCTGTTATTTAGACTTTCATAGATGTTTAGTTTGACAATTTGACAAAAGTATGAAAATGTCTGTTGAAAAACCTTTACATTTTCAGAATTCAGACAGAATCACTGTGGTTTTTCTGTTGGCTCTGGTGGCATTGCACTATCCCTTTCGGTGGAAGAAAAGAGAAAGAAAGAAAAAACCACCACAAAGTGTTCTGCTTCCCAGTACAAATGCTTTTGGGCCTACTAAGCCCACTCTTACTCATGTGCATTAGGTCAAATTCTGGCTGAAATCATGCGACAACTGCAAATTCATACTTTGAAATCTCAAAAAAATCTTGATATACTCTCTAGGGTAGTTGGCAGATCTTTCCTTTTTTGTGTTTTAATTTTCTTTAATATAGACAATTTTTGAAATAAGGCAAGGGAAGAAATGAGTACCTTCAGTGGTGAAATCAGTATATTCACAACTTTAAATATGTAATGCCAAGATAACTTTCTACAATGAAGATTGGTTCAAATAAATATTTGTTAGTGGTATTACTTGTGTCAGGTTAGGTTTCAGTTAACTATTAAGAGAGTTAAAAGGTTATGAAAATAACATGGTGTATACAATAAATACATACAATTTTTGTTAAATCAATAATAAATGTAAAAACAGCTATGTGGTTTCTGAAAATGTTTTTAAAATTTACCAGAGATAAGCAAGTATACAGTTGAAGATACCACAGTTTTAGATTCTAGTGCAATACAGGAAAAACAATTGCAAATCCCAAGTTTAAACATTCTGGAAAGTTAAAGACACAAGACAACTTTTTTGTTACATTGCAACACCTTATCCTAAATGAGTGTGGCTTCATGCCTTCATCAAAGGATTTGGTGGCTAGGACCGATGTGTCTCAATGTGACTCACATAAAGGGGGAGGTGGTTTATGACGAGATCATGTGTGGCAATGTGAGGTCTTCTGGGACCATGTGAGGTCTTCTGGAACTGGGACTGAGGCATGGAAATCCATGAGGAACTATGCAGATGGGATCAACTGTCCACTAAACCTCCTGCTCCCTTTTTTGTCATATAAAGTTGATTCTAGAAGACATGCACCCAGCTAGATACATCCAGGGATACTCCCGGCTCCCTGTACATCCAGGGATAGCTCATGTGACTAGCTCTTGTCAATGGAATATAAGCAGAAGTGACATGTACCACTTCCAGACTGAGGCTTTTAAGAAGTAATTGGCACTTCTTCGTTTTCTTTTTTGTTTCACCTGCAAGATACACCTTACGAGACACATCTCACATCAAGACTGTATCACTCACAAGATGGAAGCAGAGGGTTCCAAAGCCCTAGTGGGTGCAGAGACACAGATGGGAGAAGCCTGGATCCCTAAATCGCACACTGAGGAAAACCGGCTACCATCCAGGAAAACCTGTGTTGTACTATTGTAGAAGTGACTCTACTTCTACGGGTTAAATTGCTGAAACTTAAGGATTTTTTGTTACTGTATTGGGTGTGCCTTAACTGATACAAGGATTGGGATTGTACTGTGACTCTGCCTCTCTATGAGTCCTCTTTAAAGATGGTTCCTCCTGGTCCTCGTTCTTCCTGCTCCCTCATCACACTGACTTTGATAGACTGATGCCAAGTCTTGGTGTACTATGATGCAAACCTAGTGACCATCACTTACTCCTTTCTGTACCACGTGTGCCAAATATCTTTCATCAGCTCTTCCAGATCCACTCTCTACCCCTTTCTTTGTTTTGTTTATTTGCTTAAGAGGGTCTCACTATGTTCCCCAGGTTGGAGTGGAGTGGTGAAATCTCACCTCACTGCAACCTCCACCTCATGGGCTCAAACGATTCTCATGCTTCATCTGCCTGAGTAGCTGGGACTACAGACACCCACCACACCTGGCTAATTTTTTTAGTTTAGTAGAGATGGGGTTTTACCATGTTGGCCAGGCTGGTCTTGAACTCCCGAACTCAAGTGATCCACCCACCTCTCCCTCCCAAGGTGCTGGGATTACAGATGTGAGCCACCGCACCTGGTCACTCTCTACCCATTTCTACTCTGTTCCTTCCCCTGAGAGGTGATTTGAATTGATTGCCTCAAAAGACTCCTGTGTTATCCTACTTCCAGCTGAATTTGGTTAATGAAGATCCCTGGCAGGTGACAAGAGGCAGGAGAATGGGTTTGGCATATTTATTCATCTGGTTCCTTCCCGCAAGGCTTCCTCAGGCTTGCTGGTTCTGTCAACAGGAGTTCACTGTTCCCATCAAGGAGACTTCTCAAAGATAAAGAGTTTTCATCTTTGAAGTTTTGGTCACCTTCTTCACACATGCCTTGGAGTGACAGCTCTAACTCCTGGTGCTGGTAGCCCCAGGATCCTGAGTTATTCCTTGTGGTTTTCTTTCACCCTGCCCACACCTTTACATTTAACTCATGTACAAACTGTCTTCAATTTATCCTACTTTTGGAGTGCCGTCTGTTTCTCTCACTGCAAAACCATATCACAGTTACAATTCTCTAGGAGGTTATCCTTGGGTCAGCTGTCTAATGCTGGTTCCCTTAACCCATGTCCAGGAGATAAGGACATCACGCAAACGTGCTACCAAGCCCAACCCCTTCAGCAGAGGCTGAGTGGTGGTGGCTTGCCAAGGAGGACATTTGCAGACACTTCAAAACAAGTGGTGTGCAAATAGTACACCTTCATATTTTCTGGTAAAACTTTCCCTCTTTTCACTCCTCCTCAGCTAGATGACTGATGTTGTCTGCTGTTGCATTTTTTTTTTCTTCTGGTGGATTGCTTCACCACTGAGAGAGCTGACTATTGCTTTCTACACGACTGTGTATTGTGACCAGTGAATATTTCTAGTAAAACACCATGCAGAATCCAAGTTATTACATTTAAAGATGAAAATGTTTGTAAAAACAATAAGAGAGAAACCATAGAAATAACCACAGAATCAGATTTTCACCACATTACTTCTTAGGCGGAAAAAAATCTTTGTACCAAACGAATTCATTAGATATGTCATAGAGTATTGCATCCAAAGAACTAATCACAATTTACTCTTTCACATTTTTTGAAGATCGTTCATATTTGTTTTACTGGCATTAGTTCACAGCAAAAGATGCTACCTAAGCACCCATCTGGATGAGAAATTATTACTCCACACATCCCATCACTGTTATTCAGTGTGAAAAGTGCCTCATTCGCGGAAGTGAGGAGGGTTCAGTAAATTGTCTAACCTAAGGTGTAACAAAGATTGTGTGAATATCCAGGGACAGAATCCAAACATTCCATTTTAAGAGCTTTTTTTTTTCTCTAATTATTGTTTCCTACTACACTACTAAGTCTTTGGTGATAACACATGTATCCTTTTTCTTTTTTCAGGGAAAGGGGTACTAGACATCAATCATATTCCTCTCTCTGGAAAAAGACAAAGTGGAAGAAAATATCTATTTTCACCCCACTTAGTTTTAAGTTGCATGTTGTATGTAAACTGTCATTAAGTTTGAGTATCAAGATATTTATTTTTCAAAATTAATATATTCCTAAGGCCTAGTACTGCTGCCCTTCACCACACATAGAAACCCACATCATCCCCTCCTCAATATCCCATATTACCAATTTCATGGCTTGGGATAGAGAAAAGCTTAGATTTACTAGGACTTCATCATGGGATTCAAAGTGGCAGAGGGTTATCTGTTTTTAAAAGTCATAGGTTGATCAAATGGCCCCAGTTTCCCCTCTCTCTCAGCTCCCTGCCAAACCCAGCACACACACTTGCACAGCTAAAATCAGGGAAATAAGTGTGTTTAGAGATCAGGCTAAAGCCTGATTTTATTTACCCAGATTTCTAGCAGATATGTAGATAGCAATTTATATTTGTTTTATCATGTTTTTCCTAAACAATGACTACATACAAAATATCATTAAAATAGCACTAGAGCTTTGAGTAAAATCCATAAAGATTTAAGACTGCACTGTCCAACATGGCAGTCACTAGCCACAGGTGGCTATCAAGCAGTTATGTGGCAAGAGCAGCTTAGGAAATGGATTTATTTCATTTTATTTTAATTAATTTGATTTAAATTTAAGAACTAAAGAAGGATAAAGTATTTTTCCACTAAACATAACTTCATTGTTTTTCTAGGACTAGATTTTACTTAATCATTGCATCCTGTAAGACACTGTATTGTAGGAAGCTGTACTTTGTACTTTTAAAAATGTGGCTATTAGCAAATGTAAAACTATATGTATGATTCACATTATATTTCTACTTAAAAGCTCTGGTTGAAAAGCTCTTTAAGGCTAAAATGCTAGTATTTCTGTATATAGCTGTACCCAGATATATGTAGCATTATCAGGGTATATGGGGAGACTTCTCTAGTACATAGAGTAGGTATTAGAATTAGGGAAGAATCCTGAATTTACAAATTCAGTTCTCCTCATATAAACTTGGTGACTGACTGTACAGTCCCACGTTACTTCAGTTATTAATATAAGTTTAAAATAAAAAAGGCTCCACAGCAAGATAATTTTATTATGACAGCTTGGAACTGAAAAGATCAAAATGCTTCCTTTGCTGTTTTCTTCAAACATTCTTTTATAAGATGCATCGAACCTCAGAATGAAGATGTCATGCCTACAAATCTAGCAAACTGTTCTAAGAAATCGAAAATGGAGTCTACTGAATTAAATTTCAAACCAAATTAGGAACATGGAAAAGACTCTAAAATATACAACATTCTTTTCCTTCGAGCTATTTTAGTCACAGCAGAAAAGATCAGTGTAGTCTGTTCCAAGTATAAAATTTTAGAAAGATCAATACATAGATATGCTCAAGTCATTTCCATGCATGTGTCTTTGTTAGTTTGATAAAAGTGAAATAGAATCTTCCAAACATAAGGGACTGTCAGTGTAGTCTTAAAGAAAACCAAATCCTTCAGTGGAAAACAGAAATGGCCGGTTTCTCAGGACAGTACCAGAGAGAAGCTGGAGCTGTTTGTGGAAAGAGACAGTGACTTGAAAATCACCACCAGAGTATAGTGGAAATCAAAAAGTATGTTTTTCTTCCAAATCAACCTAATGATTCTACAAAATAATATATATATATATCTTCATTATAATGAGTTATGAGTTATAACAATGATTTGAGATCTTCCCATATAAATTTTATGCCTCTTTGTTTTTCCCTAGACAGGACAAGAGACAAAAACTGGAAAGTTTGGGTCGTATGGATCATGGCAGCACTGCAATGTCTGGAATTTTCTCATAAATATCCTATTGCTTTGAGGCTCACGGGCCTGACTAAAACAGCAGGGACAATCTTTTTTGCACTTTTATAGTTGTAGAGGGATTTTCAAGAGTTAGAACAATTTTCCATAATATTCCATATTAATTTAATGAATCTGAAGTGTGGTTATTACACCTTTTCATGCTTTCTGCAGGCTGATGATTTGGAAGTAACTAGAAAAACAAACAACATTATAAACAAATGCCAACAGGAAGACATTCTTGGGTACTCAAAAGAATCTACTTTGCAACAAAATTTTATTGCCTGTTTGCAGCTTTATGCCTTTTTAAGATTATTTTTTAAACACTATAAATGACTGTTTCTACCCTTGTGAAAATTATCACTTCAAAGGGACATCTTTTAGCACTCTCTATAATGACCCAAACAAATCTCAGAAAACAAAGTGGATTCCACCCTTTTTTGTGATTAAGCAATAAAGAATATTGTATCAGATTCTATTTGTACTTCATTAAAATAAATTCTCATTGTTTATCAGCATTTAAATAATTTCATTTTGCTTAAAATTGGAAAAAAAACCTGGATTTCATTAAGAGGTAAAACTTCCACAGAAGTTCATTATGGTTAAATTTTCAGTCTATCTATAAAGTGCATAGCAAGCTATATCAGGCATTAAGGATACCAAAAAGAGGATACACAAGGAAGTTTAAAAATCAGAGGTAATGAGAAGGGAATTCAAAGTAAATACACAGCACTATTAAAATAAATTCTATATATATACACACAGAGAGAAAATAAATAAACGCTTAGAGGACATAGGATATACCAACTGAGTTGATGGACGATAGAATAGATGGGGTTAAATGGAGAAAACTAATTTGAAGCAGTTCCCTTGTGATGCCAGGAAGGCAGCTTCTGGGGCAGTGAGCAAGGTGCTCCCTGGGTAGAGGGGAAGTTCAACCAGCACAGAAAAGGGCCTTGTTAGAGAGCTTTAAAAGGAGAGATGTATACCTCAGTCAGGGCTGATAACCTTTTTCTAAGAACTAAACTTGTGATCTTTAAACGCTTAGGAATAATGTTGTAGAAGTTTAGAAAAAATGTACCTGTAGACTCAAACAGAAGTAAGTACCTAAATAACAGGCCAAAATAAGAGTAAATTATCAAATAGTTGATGTGTATCTACTTAGGAAAGGGCACTGGCTTCTACTGAACTTGGCTCTGTGAGGAGAAAATTGTGCCAGACCAATTTAATTTCCTCTCCTAGTACAGGGACAGGTTATGTCCCACCAACAGGAAGCAATAGTAAAAAGAATGTTACAATAGGTCAGCCATGAGAACACCAAAATCTGGAATGCAAATTTGATAAGGGATTTGACAAGGTAAGGATATATGCGGGTACAGCTGTGCTTCTTCTAAAAGTCCAACTTCCCCTATTGAAAAATTACTTAAACTTGTGTCAGGTAGACAGCAAAGCAGTAGGCAGACATCTAAGAAATGTGCATGGGCTGGATTAAAACAGAAAATAAGATATATTGCCTAAATTCAGGAGACTCTTGATTTCTTTGAAATATCTAGAACTAAAAAATTCTGTAAATTCTAGCGTACACCTATCCCCTACCTTTGGACCTTTTGGTCATTTGTCTCACAACCATCTTTTAAAACGCTATAAGTGAAGGTGTGGATTAATTTTGTAATAGTGCAGCAAAGGGAAATAATAGCAACCTAAGAATATAGTAAAAATAAGTCATCATGATGCACATAAATAAAACACGATTAGCAAGAAGATCACTAATATTCTAAACTGCAACTAGGTAAACTGCAAAGACCTCTTGTATATTGGAGGGAAAACTGACTTTCGATCAGGCAAGGTTTTTGTTGCTTTTTCGCATCTTTTTATCTTTTCTTAGGATTAAGTTCTGGAATATGGTAGAAATAAAAAGGCTTTGGAGTCAGACAGACCTGGGTTCAAATCCTGGCTATGCCACCTACCTACTGCATGAACTTGGGCAGGAGATTTAAGCCTTTCTGTTTCTTTATCTGAAAAAATGATACCTACTTTGCCATTTGCAATGAGGATTAAATGAGATAATGTGTATAAAATACTTGGTACCTTGGTACGTTGATTTCTCAGTAAATATTGGCTTCCTTCCACACCTTTCTCAATCCTGACCTCTCTCCCCACTTCTCCCTCCCAACTGCCCTTACACTTTGGAAATAAAGATACAAGAAAAGGCTAAGAATAAAGCCCTGTCTTGTGAAACAGGAAAAGGGACACAGCCTCACTTCCTTTTACTCTTGTTAAAGGTTTTCTGACTCTACAAGGAGCCATTCACACTGGTTTGACATTCTCATGGTGCTTCCCAGTTTTTCCATGTCAAATGTCAATGAGATCAACGAAAGGGCCTTTTTGTCAAGTGACATTAAAAAAAAATCTTTTCCTAGATATATTAGGTAAAGAATAGCATAAACACAAGTATGATCACCAACAAATGGTAACCCTATTAATGCCTAAAAAATAGTCATCCCACCATGTTGGGTTTACAACTGCAAATGTGAACTGGGAAATCAGACTTTTTGTTCTTATAGATTTGTCCAGTTTTCTAAAGTAAACAAAAATCAATTTCCTAGCATGGTCTATAACATCTCGATAACAATTTAGCACCCATGCATAAAGAAAGAGTCAGGGATTATAAAATCACTTAGAATGTATTATTTCTAGACTGAGCAGACATAAGTCTTTGAGGATTAATTTCATGCTGAGGGTTAAATTTCACTTTCACGATAGGCTAACCATTGCCTGAGGCTGCACAGATAATGAACCTGCCAAGGGATTAGCAAGGAAACACTTGTGTTATTATAAAGTGGGTACACTTCCCTTTCTAACCAAGTTCATCCTACATGACATTAACAAATTACTCCCTCTCTCTGCCCACATTTCAATATAATGTGAGCCAGCAAGTGACCCTGAACCAATAGGACACGAGATAAGATCTTCTCAGTGCATGAATGGCTATTAAACTTGTCTGAGAGAGCTGGACCTCCTGCAGGGACACACAAGGCATTTTATCTCCCTAGGGCCCCTGCCTGGGCTGCAGAAACCTTTCATTGGTCATAAAGCCTCTAAATGGCCACAAAGCCAAAAGGTAAGGAAGTCTTAACACAAACGTTTAGCCCACAGAAGAGGCACTCTCCCCAAAACACAAAGGATACAATTCATTTTTTACAAACACACAAGGACCCTAATATCTTCTAAATAAGAACTTAATGACTTAGCATTTGTGAAAATATAACATGTTCAGAGAGATTTCTTATATTTCAGATAAATATATCCTGTCCTCAACAGATTTTTCCTAAAATAATAGGTATGTTCAAGGATGGCAAATCTGCTGGCTTTTTCTCCATCTTCCTTCTCAGAGGGCCAGCTTCTCCTACATGACCAAAAGTAGATCCTTTCCTGTGGGGTGGACCCTCTTTCCTGAGTGGCACTCACCATTGTCTTCCTTCAAATATGGTACCCAGCCACTTGTCTTATTTTCATTCTTCTTACCTTTGGCTCCCCTCCAGAGTTGGACCAAATATCTTTCGCTGAGTGAACAGTCAGCTACTATTGTCAAAACTGAATCTACCTAGTATTTCCATTTGGCAATCTCCCTCCTGACTCCACCGTACAGTGTGGGGCAAAGATAATTTAACAGGTATGAAGAATATGCGGCCTGGTTATCTAGGAAGTTATAATTCGGAAGTGTTAAGTATAAAACGGGAGTGCTCTTAAAAAGCTGTACTGCTATTGAGTGGCCAAACTGCTGCCCAAGTGAGAACAGCTACTTCTGTTGCTTGCTAATAAGCAGCAGGTGGAGAAAATGTAGACTAGTCAGGAAATCATTGGCATTTGCTACAACCCAACATGGTTCAAACCAGGAATCTTATAGGAAAGCAAAATATAGTTTTCTTATGATATATTAGTGCACTTCTGTTCAAAATACTGTCTTGTGATGCGTAAATAATGCTTTTATAAATTCAAGGTTTTTCTTGTCAGCTTGAAGCCTTTAGAATTGAGCCCATGGTGTCTTTACATTTCAGGTATATTATCAGACTAATAAAGTCTATTGCTCTGTACTTAAACGTGTTGATAGCTAACATGGAAGCATTATGTAACAAAGGTGGATGGATGTGAGTGTTGATCTCTGGGCTCTGCAACACTGAGGCACTCCATGAGCCCACGGTTGAGAAGGCAGTTTCAGTAGAATGGTGGAGGTAGGCATCAGGGTACCTAGGTAAGAAAATGAGCAGGTGGCAGAGAAAATGGATATAGGCAGTAAATGTAGCATTCTTCATCAAAAAGTTTGTAGTTAAGAAAAGGGAAGAAAGGCAATGGCAAGATAACAAGGGGGAATTAACAGAAAGTTTTTCTTTTTGGTTTTGTTCTAAGAGATGCAGGAGATGAATATATTTGTAGTTAGAGGAGAAAATCAGATCAGAGGAAAAACTGAAGGGGAAGAAGAGATAAAGTAAATTATAGAGGAGTAGGATTAGGAGGGACTCATCTTAGAAAAGAGACCGGATACACCCTCTTTAAAGGCAAGACTAAAGAAAAACAAGAGAAGGAACACAGACTTTGAGCCAGAGTTGAGGAATTTTAAGAAAATGGTGTCATATGTCCCCAGTTTCCTTAGTAGACAGGAAGGCATGCCACCTGCAGAGTGATGGGAAGGTGTGTGGCTGGAGGCTGTGGTGGGAAGGAAACCTAGAGAAGCCACGGTGGGGAGTGAGGTGGGGACTCACCAAGAAATTAATGACAGGTTTTGCCAAGATGCAAGGAGACTGGAGAACACTGAGCTGGGGCTAAATGTTACTGAAAGGGCCAAGGGGGTGTCCAGACTGAGACCCAAGTGCAGTGAGAAGGGAGTGGAGCACCAGGAGAAGGAGGAGGTGAAGGGCAAGCCTGCCGAACAGTGCAGAGGAAGTGCGGCACACACACGAGAGGGGACCAGGGCAAGACCAAGCAGAGGGGATTCCAAGAAGGGGCTGCGTTTAGGGTCGCTTTGCCAATACAGAGCACAGAGAGGAAGGCCAGGGGAGGAGCAACAATTGTGAGGACAAGAGGTTAGGTGATGGGTGACACTGAGGTTGAAAGCCTGGTGATGCTGCCAGAGAACAGGCCCTGGAGTCCTTGAGGGCTGTGGGGCCATGTCCAGTCAGTGATGCAGGCTTGGCGAGCAATGGCTACAGCTGGAGTAAGTAGGGCTGACCTAGGCTGGGATTGGAGAGCTCAAGGAAGCAATGACACCTTGGCTTTGCAGTTCCTTGACTCTCTCAACACCATACTACACTCCTACAACTCACTTGTATAGCTAACGCTCAAACTCCTCACACTGAAAGACTTCCCACTCCCATGATCTCAGACTTTGCCTTGTTGCTGTCTTGCCCCTTTACTTTTACTGGTGAATGAGCTCTCCAGTCCTGTGATCCAGTGTCCATTACTGACTCTACCTCCCAGTGCCGGGACAGCAGGGTCTGAAGATGGACTCCACACTTAACATCAGCACCAGGAACCAAGTCATCACCACAGAGCCCGTGGAAGTGATTATAGCTACAGGTTTGCTGCACCTTCCCTGTGGAAGACTGATGTGGGCAAGTGCTTTCATGGTCATGGTCCTTGAATCTTGTACCGGAAACACCCAGGTCAATCATGAAGGGAACTGAGTCAGAGTCAGGAGGTGAAACGTAAGGAAATGGGGCTGGCCAGAGGCAGGCACAGTGCACACGGCTGCCAGGGCCTCACTCGGCTTTCTCCTCGGTGTGAGGATACGGGCTTGCTGATATGGAGTTCAGCTAGAGAACAGAGGGGTCACATGTCTGTACATATTTTCTGCCTTCGTCTGGAAGAGTGAAATAAGCACACTTTATAAAAGAGCTGTAGTACAGCACGACACCTTCTCAAACACCAGTGCTGGCAGCTACCTAGTCCTATTGGGGTCTTTGTGAAGCACACTGGGACACACTGCACCTGCTTTTCCTGTGTGTGACCACCTAGCTTCTACTAAGATTGTGTATCTTTTGCTAAATAAATTGGGACTGCAATATGGACTTACAGAATGTGACTTCATGGTCTGTTCCTGCCAAGCCATAGCCTACTTGAGCTAATATGCCTGGGGTATGCAGAACAGGATGCCAGAAAGATGGCCTGGGCTACAGAAAATCAACGTTAGAGACAGGAAAAAGTGAATTTTGTGGAGGCAGGGAGTGGGGGAAATGTTGATTATGACATTGCTTTGCCTGAAGTCTAGGCTACAGTATCACAGAGCTACTACTTGGCACATTCGCCAATATTTCTGTTCATGGTAACGTGAAATGATGCTTCCCTTTACAGTTATGGAGTGGAAAGTCTTAATTATTTCTTAGTAGTCGCCAGTAGAAACACACCTTTCTCCCTTAATAAGAATTTTAGTTGGTTAAGTACATGATGCCAGTACATCTACCAGCCTCTTAATGGAAATTTCAAGTTGTTACAAGGTTAGTATCATTATCTTGTTCAACACCCCAATTAATGTGGAGTGTGCATTCCACAACCTGCCAAAAAGCATTTAGCTGAATGAAGTTCTTTAATCTACATAATTACTATCTACTACATTTACTCTATTTTTATTTGATGTTTCTTTTAAAGGAGTCACTGGAAGTTTATCCAAGATGACTTACTTACAATTATTTACCATTTTCCATATGAAGGTTATTAAAATGTAATTAAAGTGCATTTACAGTCAATTATGACAGACTCTCATTCAAATAATAGTGACAAATTGTATTAGAAATCCTCATAGGATTAACACACTTAACTCATCTCTGAAACCAAATTTCAGAAGCAAGTAACATTTGCATTTGTATATTCTAGGGGGCAATTAAGAAACATTCATTCAATATCTACTATAAGGTGGGTATTGTTTCTAGTGAACACAGAACTGTGAACATACCAGTTTCATTTAAGTAATGGACTTTATTTTGACTGTTAAATCATCTCAGTAACTGAAATATTGGGCAAAAGGGACTAAATTAACTTTCCTATAGTTCGATTTAGTAAAACGCCACACTATAGCATTAAGTGACACTCTTGCTCTAAAAAATTATTTTGACATATCTGAAACTACTTTCTCAATCTGGCTTTGAATCCAGTCAAATGGAGACAAGTACAATTTGCAGAAAAGGTTCCAACACAAAAGGAGATGTGTATCTTGGAGATCAAGGCTTATCTGCAGTCATGTTACTTAATGATGGGGACATGTTCTGTGAAATGCATCAATAGGCAATTTCTTCATTGCACACACATTTTAGAATGTAATTACACAAACCATGATGGTAGAGCCTACTGCACATCTATGCTATAGGGAATAGCCTATGGCTCCTAGGCTACAAACCTATTCAGCATGTTACTGCTGGATATTGTAGGCAATTGTAACACAATGGTAAGTATCTGTGTATCTAAATATATAAACATGGAAAGAAACAGTAAAAATATAGTATTATAATCTCATGGGACCACCATTGTATAAGTGGTTAGTCTTTGACCAAAACATTGCATGACTGTAGCTCACTTCTGGGAGGTGGTCAAAAGTTGGTGAGAAATGGATGGCAGCTTGAGGGGAAAGAGATGACTCAAGCCCTACATTCTCCCACAGCAGCAGCACACAGGTGGCCTTCCACAGGGAAACCAGAGCTCACGGAACTAACTCCCGGAGAACATTCTTTGATAGGCTTCATTATCATATCTCAGAGTAAAACTGAACTATGGTTAAGAATAAAAGCGAGGTTTTTTTTTTTAAACAGTATTATTTTTATCAAATAATTATCAAAGGTGTCATTGGGAAAAACTCATATGAGTCAAGCCTTCAGTGTGAGTAGAGGGAAGAGACTTTTTCCAATTGAAAACAAAAAGAAGAGTTTATTTCAACCACAAATATATTTGTCCTTATCTTTTGAATGAATTGTTTCTGCAGCAAAATAACTGTTATGTTATTCCTAGTCGGAATTATCTTTTATCTACCAAAGGTTTCAGTTTTCTCAACATCATTAAAACAAAAACAAAAACGTTTCCCCCAAATGGGTAACCTGAACAAATTCCTTACTAGTCTCACTAATGAGAGCAGAAGAATCAGTTTGTTTTGGACAGACTTCACTCATACAAACTTTCTTAAAATGTATCATCCTTCAAATGGCTTGATAACATCGATTTCCTTAGACTAGGCTTTGAACAACCAAATGTTGCTATCTAAAAGTTTTCCCGTTTAATATTATAAAATGGAATCATGTAACACACAAGCTTCTTAGTCTTTCTAAATTTCAGTAATTTGTGACTTCCAAAATTTGTAGATGAATAACTTTTCAATAGCTCTGATATCCGACGAGTCAGAAGGAAGGGAGGAAGAAATAAGAATGCATGGGACATCACGGAAAAGAGCGGCAGCTGCTATATTTGTTTTTCAGGGTTTTAATGCTGGTTCTACCACTTAGCTCTGTAACCAAGAACACTGCCTACCCACTCTGAGTCTAAGCTGAAGGACAGAATAAAAATATGTACAGCAATATGTCTGCCATAAATCAGGCACTAAATAAATGTTAATTATTTTTCTTTTTGAAATTTTGAGTAAATGAAATTTCCTTTTCTCCTTTTATGACAAATCAACCCAGATAGCCTTGAGTTTCTTGGAGTATAACTGAAGTATCAACATGCCCTTAGTTTGTCGATTACATGTAGTGTGTAAGGATTTCAAAAACATCAGTTGTCTGTCTCATTAAGACATTATCCTCTTTTAAAAAAATCTACCAAGTATGTTCCAACTGAAAAATACACAGAGCTAAACACAAAAGTATATAATTCAGGTCTCAACACAGTAGAAATAAATCTGGAGCTTCCAATTCTATAAGAATTGCTTACAACTTTTATTACATGTATCTCTTCTATCCGTTCTTTAGAGTTCTTCCTCAAATGTACACAGTCCTCCAGAATTCACAACTCTTACCTTGAGGCCAAGGCTCCACTTAGTCTGCCAGGCTAGAAACCTCCGAATCCTCCTGCATTTTTTTCCCCTTTCTTTTCATTGCTCGATTATCACCCATTGATCTTCCTTTCAAACATCTTTCAGATTTGACATTTCCTCTCCACTTTCACTGATTTCCTAACACAGGATCTGCATTAATTCACAGCTGTGCTCATTGGTTGACTCCAGCCTCTTGACTTACTCCTGTGTGCTATCAATAGTCTTCCTGGTGTGCCACTTCCGCCTATGCATACCTTGCCCAAGAACGTACGGTGGTTCCCTATTGCCTAGCCCATCAAGGCCAAACACGTGCCGTGGGCTCAACAACCTCCAAAATCTGTCCCCATTGCAACTATCATGTTAGCTCTCCTCCAACCCATACTCCCTGTGCAGGCAAGTGAGGCCAAGGCACTCACCTGCAGACTACCCTGCTCATTTCTTCCTCTGTGCTTTATTTGTGCTGTTTCTGCCTCTTGGAAAATTCTTTTTACCAAAACTAAATCTAAATCTTATGCAAAGCCAGAAACCTTACCTGAAGATTTTGGTCCCCTTGCTTCTCTAAGTTCCATCTAGATTAGTGCTAAATTCTCTTCCCATGTTTCCACGTGGTTTGCCTCCTTAAATTAACTGTAAGCTCACAGTGGATGAGGCAGTGTGGGAGATGTGTCCTATTTGTTTATGTATTCCCCCAGCCCAGCATCTGTACACAATAGACATCTGATTCAATGATAAACTAACAGACGCTAGCACATAGATTCTTAATTGCTTTCCAATTTTCTTTCTCCTCTTCTGCCTAACCAATTCCCTGATTTTACCTGGGGCAATGATATGCCCCAGGGAAAAATGCTACATTTCTCAACCTTCTTTGTAACTTGATGAGGTCCTCGCAGAAATAATTAGGTGAGCCTTCCAAGAGATGACTTTAGAGGGGCTGATTCAGCTGAGAGACATGTTCTTTTTGCCCTGCCTGCCTTCCTTGTACTTCCTGCCTGGAAGCTGGATGTATAGGTGGAGTTCTGGCAGCTATTTTGCACCATGAAGTGACTTTGCAAAGTCACAAAGGCTACAGAAGCCATAAGACGGAAGGAGCTTGGGTCTCAAATGATACTACAGAACTAAACTCCTGGTTTATTTGTGAAGGAGGTGAGTTGCCTATTATTTGCAGTTAAACAACAATTTCTAACTTATATTGGTGCCAATAAAGAAGGAGACTTGAATGTAAGGTGCCATAAAGACAGGAGAAGATCACCACCTTTGATATAAGCAGGAAAAAGAGAGAGTAGGGAAGGTCTGAAAACTGGGTAGAAAGACATGATGGCATTTCAAAGGGAACACCCACATGGCACTCTCATCCTGGTGCCACAGAAGTGGAAACTCAGACTGGGGAGGCAGGAGGATGTGTCTATGGCAGCGGTCCCAAAACTTTGTGGCACCAGAGACTGATTTCGTGGAAGACAATTTTTCATATGGATGGGGTGGAGGGTGGGAAGGGGCAGGAGGGTTTCAGGATAAAACTGTTCCATCTCAGATCATCAAGCATTAGTTAGAGTCTCATAAGCAGCGTGCAACCTAGATCCCTCACAAGCACAGTTCACAATAGGGTTCATGCTCCTATGAGAATATAATGCCACTGCTGATCTGACAGGAGATACAGCTCAGGTGGTAATGCTCATTCACCTGCTGCTCATCTCCTGCTGTACAGCCTAGTTCCTAACAGGCCACAGACCAGTACTGCTCCCTGGCCCAGGGTTTGGGGACCCCTGAGTGAGGGGACAGATGCATGAGATTCAGTCTTCTCCATCGTGCCAGAGAGGGAAGAAACTGGATTGCCAGAAGATATATTTGGCAATGGGTTGGAGCCTGGCTAATATAATACAGAAATCCTTGGTTAAAAAAGTCCATTGTCAAGCAAGGACATGCATGACAGCTGACAATTCAGGGGGAGGATCCTAATCAGGTAGGTAGCTAGTCAGTGTATTCACTTCACCTACCTTATTTCTATTTTGTTATTAAAACAGTCCTACAAGGTAAATATTATAAATCTCATTTATAAAACTCATCTAGAGTCATCAATTTTTAACATTTGCCATGCATTTTTCTCTTCCTCTTTCTCACTCTGTATATCTATCAATACATACAGATACATAACATGACAATATTTTGCTGAATCACTTGAAACTAAGTTGAAGACATCATGACACCTCATCCTAAATACTTCACCATGTCTCCTAAGAGTAAAGACATTAACCAACATTACCAAATGTTGTCACTTCATTCACGAAATTGATGAAATGCTATCATTTCATTCACAAAATTAGCATTGGTACACAGTAATTTACCTAATGTTCAGTACACATCCAAATTTCCCCAATTGTCCCAATAAACGTGCTTTGTAGTTTGTTTTTTGCATCCAGTGCAACATGTTGCATTCAACTGTCATATCTCTCTAGTATCTCTTCATGTCAGAGAGATCCCTAACCTGTTGTCTTTCAAGACATTGACCTGTTTGAAGAATGCAGATCAGTTATGTATAAAATCCCCCACATTTGAATGTGACCCCCCAAAATGCTTCCTTACCATTTTGTGTGTTGAAAGATAAAAAATTGTGTTAGGTGATGTGTGCACTTTTCAGTGTGTCACATTAGGAGGCACGAAGCCAGCCTGTCTCAGTTTAGGTGGGCATATAGGCAGACTTTAACACGCTACAGTACTAAAGTCAGCTGTTTCAAAGGCATCTAATTTATGAGCATGCTAATCCAGCATTAATCAGGTTAGTAACAATTTACTCAGCATTCATTTTCTTGTCACACTGTAAGAACACATCCTACCTAATTTACAGCTCCCCTTCAATTACAGAAATAAGAGTGAAATTGTCTGACAATTTGCTCCCACTCCTGGTAACGTGCTGGCACAGACTCACTGCTGTTCCCTTCCCCTGCCCTTGCTGGAAGCTGGGCACAAGTGAGTACCAGCAGTGCTAGCAGCACACAAGGGGAGAATCCAGCAAACCAGGTCACATAAAACTGGATTATCCAGAGAAGGTGAGGTATGAGGAAGGAAAAAAAGACAAATCTGAAACATGATTCCCTGGGCACTCAATCATTTCCATTTTATTTTACCTAATGAGGCAGGAGTTAAAATGTTGACCTGATCAGACTCAGATGGAAGCCTTAGAGGAGTGGGACCCCCCACTGCCCTCCTGTCCCAACACCCTTTGTTACCTCCAAGTGAGCTGAGACCAGGCTGTGAACCATGTAAATAGAAGGCTTCCAGGTTAATGAAAAGCTTCAGCACCATTCGAAAATCTGGACAGAGGGTCATGCCGGATCCTAATCCAAAGAAACTTCATGCAGCTCAGTAATAAAGTTTAATGAATGCTGGTCATTTTTAATCATGAGCCTGAGAGACTGGCCAAGGGCTAATAGTTTCCTTACAGAATCTCTCCTTTAGCTGGGACACAGCAAGAACTCTCAAGCTGCGTGGGAAGCCAGAGGCGTACATGAAATGTAATATTCCATATGCCAAAATCCAAGGGGAAGTTTTTGAAAAGGGCAGTAAACATTTCTTGCAAACTGATGTTTTTATTAGGTGATGGCATGCTTTGTGCTGCATTTCATTAATTATCTGCAAAAGTAACTTTCTTTCAACGCCATGTCAGAGTTGACCTACTGCCATCATGTAACACGGTATAAAGCCAGGCTGCAAAGTAGCTTCTCCATTTTTCTGGGGGCACATATATGTAAGGCAGGCTAACAATTTAACTAAAACTCACCCTGGAAAAATTCACCTCTCCTGAAGAATTAGGCATGGATTTTTAAATATTAATTTTAAAATATGACTATTCTAATTGCATAGGATAACAATATAGAAATTGATGGATTTCTGAAAAAAAGTATGTTCAGAGCATGTGAAAAAACTGGATTGAAAGATACAAAGATCAAATGCTATTTTCATGCACAATGCACACTTTATATCCTTGAGATTCATTGTAAAATACAGTAGAAATGATATGCCAGTAACCTCATACACAGACTTAGATGCCATAAGTCAAGTCATACTCTAAAAAAGTTCTTACTTACACACAGCAGATGTGTAAAATGTGCCAAGTATTGCATGAGGCACTGGGATTTTCAGGAATGCAAAGAACATTTCCACATTTTAAAAAGTCTTAATTCGAACTATTTCAAATACCATTTCTGTAGATGAATATGATCCAATTGATGGACAAACTATCATTTTTGCCTCAAATTCTTCTTTCAACAAATAGGACTTGCTATCAGCTTCCATCTGTTCTTTTAAAACAATTAGCTGGGATTTTAGACATACTCTTGACAGGCAAGTCTGGGAATTCAATGTAAATATGGATTTGAAGATTTATGGGGTGGGATCTTGTGATCGCACACTGGCGCTTCTCCAGTTTTCCAGAGATCATAATTCCTGCCTCTGTTTATTATTCAGTTTACGGTTGGAGTGTAACAGATGATTCATTTTTAATGCGATAAATGTTTGGGGGTTTGTTTGAGGGAAATAAAAGTTTATAGTTCAGCACTGGACATGGATAGTAAACCAGAGTGTAAGGTAATATATTTCTAAAACATGGTGATTAGGATATTTATTTGCTCCTTTATACCCAGAGCTCCAGTGAAGAGTGACTGATAGTGTTTACATTTAAACCCCCAAACCACATTACTTCGCCTTGCAACTTAGTGAACTTTCTAGAAGGAATTATAATTTTCTTAAAAAATTAAAACTTCTACTTTCTAGTTGAGAAAGAATCTATAATTCCTTATATGAGATAGCCTTGACTAACTCTATACGAAGCATGAGAGAATGAGATATGACCAGAACAACGTATTGATATCCCTGATCCATAAGAATCTACAGTCTATGAAAAAAATAAATGCTTAGAAACCCATCATCATTTCCATTATTCAGATTATTTCTATAGCAAGCCAGACTTTTTTTTTCAGTTTTGCTCTTGTCGCCCAGGCTAGAGTGCAATGCTGTGATCTCGGCTCACTGCAACCTCCACCTCCTGGGTTCAGGCGATTCTCCTGCCTCAGCCTCCCAAGTAGCTGGGATTACAGGTGCCTGCCACCACACCCAGCCAATTTTTGTATTTTTAGTAGAGACAGGGTTCCACCATGTTGGCCAGGCTGGTCTTGAACTCCCAACCTCAGGTGATCCACCTGCTTCAGCCTCCCAAAGTGCTGGAATTACAGGCATGAGCTACTGTGCCCTGCCACAGCAAACCAGACTTTTAATTTACATATCTGTCCATCCATCCATTCAACAAAAGTGTGTTGAATATATAGCAAATGTCAGACACAGGTCTAGTCCTGGTGACACAGGAGTGAACAAGACAAGGTCTGTGGCCCACTCAGTTTGCATTCCATGGAAGGAGATGAACAACAAACAAGCAGGCAAATAATGTACACGGGTCTTAGTCTCTTTCCACAATTCCCAAATCCAAACACTCAAAAAACTTCCAAAACTATGATTTTCTCCTAAGTTTGTGGAAGACTCATTTGGTGGCAAAAGCTTACCTGAAAAGAAGCGTGGCCTACTTGTAGTCTTTATTCTACTCAATGTGAATGTTTATACGTCTAGCCGCAGAATTATTGATTATGGGATGCTGCCCCAGATGCTGTTGGGGTCTTTTGTAACATACATGATGAGTGCACCATATTACTTTTTAAAAATACAAAATATCTGAATTCTGAAACATATCTGTCCCCAAGAGTTTTGGTTAAGAAATTTAGGTCTATATACCATAACATCAGACAGTGAATGAATGCATGGTTGAATGGGTGAGTAAACAGATGTTTAGAATTATTTTTTTCAGGTGAATTAGATAATTCCATTAAAATACCCAGCCATCAGAGATGTAAACATTTTTCAATGTCTACAGCCTAAAACTAGGTTATTTGGCAGTTACTGGCCCTAACAGTCATTGGTTCATTTTTTAGAAGCAACTGTCTACTGAGGAGGCTAAAATGAATATGTCATAGTTCCTGCCTTTGCAAGCTACAGTCTAGTAGGGGAAATAGACATGAAAACAGAAGAATGTCACACACTGTGATAAACGCCACAATCACCTTATTCTGCCTGGGAGAGCCAGGCAGAGGAGGTGATATCTGAGGAGCGTTGAAAGATGAGGAGGTGTTTGCCAGGCAGAGAAGGTGAGAGAGGACCCTCTGGGAGGTGGATTTCTATGTTCAAAGGTTCCTAGAATTTGAGAAGGGCGTGCCATGTTTGGGGAAAAGGTGAGAAGGTCACTGTGGCTGCAGCAGAGGGTGCCTGGGGGTAAACAGCTATGAGGTGGGAAAGACTGGAGTTGTAAGAAGGGCTGCCTGCAGCCTTGCAAAGGAAGTTGGACATTTGTACAGGATGTTTCTAGGCATGGGAGTAAGTGAACACTCAGCCTTTTACTTTGTTTCATTGATAATTTCAGGAAAGTAACTCTGGAAGCGGTATGAAGGCTGGGCTTGAATATAGACCAACAGTGGAAGGGGGGCCCTAAGGAAGAGGTGATACACACTGAACAGAGGCAAGGGCAGTGGGGATGAGAAGGCAGATTTGGGAAACCCCGAATGGCGTGGTGACCAACAGATGTGTGCAGTGAGGGGGAGGGAAAAGTCAGGGTGGAGAGAACCAGGTGGAGAAAAACACCACGAATTGGGATAATCATAAGGTGCTGCTAAGTATTACCCATCAGCCTCTAGATGTTCTCTTTTTAGGTTATCACCCTAACTCAAAAGTCAATGATACTCTGTCTTACACAACTGTGGAACCTATTCATAAGGCACAACAAGATTTTTAAAAACATTTGTACTTAGGGACTTTCCAATGGGACAGGCAAAAGAATTATACGTTATGTATATTCTCCATACTGTCAAGGCTCAGATTTGTTTCCAGTGTCATAAATCATCATAATTAACAACCTTTCAACCAAATGGATCCCAAAGCACTTTCCAAATTATGCAACTTTGGAGGTGAATTGCCTCAGCTGTCCAACAGCTGTCAGCAGCACTCTGCAACAGGGACTGAGCAAGAGGGAGGACGCAGATTCTCCACGGAACTCTTCGCAGCATTTAGGTTTGTGGAATGCAATTCCCCAAAATGGAGTTTGGCCCAGAGCAGGGTCTCATCTACTCTCGGTAGAAATGCAGTAAAGCCATTCTTATCCCTAAATGATCAGCAGATTTCTCTGCCTTATAAAATATATCTGTGAATGGAAATTAATACTAGTCTTGTGCCTAGGAAGATCCATTACATATTTCAAATTACATTTCTTTGGCAATGACTTATTTAATAATTGATAAGGGGATGGTGGTTTCAAGCAGAACCTCATTTCCTGTTCACATATTAAGAGATTAATAAACTGTGGAATTAAGTTAAATCAGGCTGTCTGGAATCTCATGTGCTAAAATCCACTCTGTTTTGGTCTAAGTTTGGGTTTTTTGAGGAGTTGTTTTTGCAACCTGATAAAATTCTGACTTTCCATCTCTCGCCCTATTAGTGCAGGCCCAGATGATTCATGGTAAACTTTCCAGGATATTCTCTTAATTCTGTGTTGTCCAACTAAGGAGTACAGGGGATCTGCAAAGTTGTAAAATCAAGGTGGTAAAGATTCTTGGAGCTTCTAATATATTCAAAAGTTTGAGGTAAGTACAAAAATTGATATCTTATGGCATGTGATTTAACATTAAAACACACTTTAAAAATAAAATGTGGGAGTTTGAGTTTGCTATGGGCTGCTTGGGGTACATCCCTAGATAACTCTCCTCTGATTTCTTCCTGTCCTATATGCCCATCTGTATTTGTTCCCCTTTCGCTTGATACGAAGAGGACTTTGGGGGATGATTTTATGAAACACTTCCATATTGAGTACTTTTTGGACAGCAGAGGAATGAATTACACGTTTGTGAAATGACACCCTGATTCAACAAATCCGATGTTAAGGAAAAAATCCTGATGAAAAGGGCTTATATATTTATGTTTCATAATGAACAAAAACTATCACTACTAGTCTGAGAAAAATTCAAAACAATCTAACTCCAGTTGACATAAATTATTTTACCGAAACCCTCCTCAAGGGAAAAGAAAGAACTTATTTCCTTTCATAGTTCGATTCAATGAAATACAAATTTCTGAATTGTCTATCAGACACAAAATGCTTAGCTAATAACTCTTTAGTAAGACAAGGTGAAATTAGATAGAAATGCCATTTCTAAAGCTTGAAGCTGTGCCAATATTTGAGACAGTCTATCTAGATCTCTGGTGGCCCTTGAAAATCAGTTACCCACTGCTTATTTCCTGCTAAAACTCATGCTAGAACTGTAATGAATTCATTAGAACCTCTCATCTTGCTCACTTAAGTTTTCAGAATCTAGGACTTTGACTTCTAAAAATGAATTTCTTTACTTACTTTTAGTTACTCATTAACTCACTGTTAATTAATTAATTAATTAATATGCCTATTCAAATCTTTATCGTTCTCCAGCTATGTGTCAGTCCCTGGGGATCAAGTGAAGGAGGTACAGCTTCTTCAGTCACAGACTGTCTTGTCATGTGGATACAGGTAAGTGAACAGGTAATTGGCAATACTTTGTGTGTGAAGTGCTGTGATAAGAGAAAATTTAGGGATGGGGTGCATATAGTAGCATCCCTTCCAGAGGAAGAGATGTATAAAGGGAGACCTAAAGGATGAAGAGTTGGCCATGGGAAAGGGGAAGGAGTGAGGTAGAGCAAACAAGCTTTTCATACATGCTTCCAATCATATCAATTCATATTTGCAAAGAAGTAATCATTGCAACCAATAATTGACTCTTTGCCAGAAGTTGCAGGGCACTTTACATATATAATAGTATGTGATAAAACTATTCTATGAGGTAGATATGACTTCCATTTTACAGGTTAGAAAACTGGAGATCAGTCAAGTCACACTGAATCAGGATTCAAACCCAGGCTCGTTTTGCTCCAAAGCTAAAATTTTTTTTTATACACACTAGCTTGCCAGGTATAGAAAGCAGGGCAAGAAGGTAAAAGAAAGGTCCCATCCATGGTCTCTTAGAAAAAAGGCTTATGATCCCAGAAAGTCACTTAATCAGACCTCAGATTTGACTGTCTTTTCTTTCAGTCTTTCAAAAATGATGTTCACCAGCATTGTAACCATCCTGGAAAAGTAGTTGATAGTCCATTACATGTTATAACATGTTATTTTCTCCATATTACCTCTACTCTACCAGCATCTAAGATCTACAGATCTCTTGATCTGTAGCACAGGGCACGAAAGCCTGACTAAAGTCTCCAAATGAATTTTAACACTATCCAGCCAAGAAGAGCAGGGATTCAGCATCTATTTAAGAAGCAATATTTTGGTCTTGATTATGCTCCGTCCAACCCCATCATTCACTACTAGAAATTCAGACTTAATGCATAATATAGGGAGTGCACACAGGGACCACGGCTGGCAACAGAGAGTCCTTTCTTCTACCTATTCTTTTCCTCTACTGCAAATGTTAGTCCTGGAAATGGTCACTAAAGATTATGACATTCTACAGTCTGCCTGTTTAAGCGATACAATTCAAGATTTTAAAGTACACTGTATGCTCTGTGCAGGGAATTGCTTGGTATCTCTATTTAAAGGAAAATATTATTGTTATGAATAGGCTTCAGATGCTGGAGTCACTAATAGTTAACTAAACTTGGTATTTTTTTATGCCCAAAATAAAGTATGTAAGATAACCTGGGAGCCATATGTGTCACATGATTTGTTGGGGCCCAATCACACCTAATTTCAGTGGCTGAAGAAAAAGAGCCAAGCAATTAAGGGAGAGTTTGGTGAGCTCCTGTTCAACCGAGGACGGAAACCTGCACAGCTGGAGACAATTCTGAGAAAATTGATCAGAATTCCTTTACCTTAACAAGATGCTGGCTAACAAGTTGATACACATGAGTTTCTATAATCAGGCAGCAAGAATTTAGGAACCCAGAAACACAAGTCACCTTGGAATATTCAATAGCTCCAACCTTTGTCATTTTAAGGAGCAGGGACACCTGTTAGCTTGGGATAAGGCAGACTATTTTTATGAATAACATAATATGCTTGGTAACAAAATGTTATATCCAGGTGTTGGGAGAATTAATCAATTGAATGTGGCTGCTTATAAAATAAATTGACAATAAGCTACACAAAAAATGGGGATTAGAAAAACTGCAAACTATTACTCTCAATGGCATAATGTCTGGGTATTCAAAATGTTGGGTCTCCTGTTTTTTTGTTTGTCTGTTTTAAAGACTTAAATTTTAATGTGTGTTCTCCAAATGAGTAGTTAAGCATTTTCACTGAATTGCTAATCCCCAGAACCCTATGAAAGGTTGCTTGATACACACTGATGTTTGCTTGCTTGCTTGCTTGACAGTATATGAACACATTCAAAAAAGTCTTTTGCTGGGACAGATCAGCTACTTTAAGGAGGTTTTTCTAATTTCTAACTAATGAACATGGGACTCTGGAAGGGTATCAATCATATTAAACATCTGGAAGAGTTAATGAAAACACCATTACATTATTTTTAAAATAATATAATTAATCTACATACTTCCATCCCCAATCTTATGATTATTTTTGCAGTTGTAGTCTTTAACTTCAAATCCAAAAAGTACTGGGAACATACCCTTTCTGATCCAAATGAGCATTCTATGTATCATTTTCTTTATTGCATGGAGCAGGAAAGACCTAACAAGAAAAAGGCATAGCCAAAATGCAAAACCACCTACCTACACAGAGAACAACAGCATAGTCTGATCTGTTTCCACCAGCCAGCAAAAGTGAACCTGGTAAGTTTACTTTAGCCTCTAAACCTGCTTCCTGGATTCTACATCTTTTCTTAACTATACCATTGCTATTTGGGGGCTGAGGGGGAACAGAACAATTAGACACACCTGGTTAAAGTGTCCTGTGCCCTGTTCACACTTCATGTTGTATCTTAAAGTGACAGCATATTAAAATGTCAATGGAATTCCTAGGCATTATGTGGCTATCACAGCTGAAAGTATAATTATAGTTCTTAGCCTACGGAACTAGATTCCACTCATTTCAAGGACCAGAAAGTAATATATAGTGTGAAATATGTAATTTTCACAAAATTATAAAAGGTTAGAAAAATGAAGTGTACCTTCATGTAATCAAAAATTCTTATTGGCGTGTGTGTATGTGTGAGTGTGTGTTTATGTGTGAGCATGTGTTTAGAGCTTGGTCATGGTATTCTTTGGAGTCTACCATCACATGTTAGGCACAATACTTAAAATTTTGGTCAAGAAAAGTGTTACTCTAATAGTTCCAAGACAAACACACAGCTGACCATATTTAGGTTTAAATATATATATTTAAAAGCCATACAGGAAACACTACTAAAATTTTACGTAGAAACTTAATATACTGAATTTGAATATAATAAATATCATAAATGTGAAATGGAATCAAATTGCTTCCATGCACCGAAACAGGAACATTTAAAATCTGCTAGAACTTATGTCCCTGGTAATAAGTTGTGACATTACATTCTTATTGTGAAAACCAGGAGTGCTTGCAAAATACTTGCACTATAAGCTTGTCTCAGTAGCCAAAATAAAACAGAATATTACTAAGGAATTTGGCACTAAGACCAAAACAACAACTGTTCAAGGGGGAAATGGGATAATTAAATTGTTCATTTGAAGACTGTAATGATAAGATATGAATCACATATGCTAGATAAGTGTTTTGGCAGGGCCATGCTTCCACTGACATCTCCCAAGGACAATCCTAAAGTTGCAAAATCAGAGGAGCTGCCCCAGTGAATGCTGTACTTAAGTAAAGCATTTTACAGCAGATTGTCTGAACGCTTCTCATCATAACACTACACTACTGCAATTTGTCAACCTCTTATAAACAAATGCTCAAGCTCTCTCTCACATAGGAGTATGGTTGCTAAGACACACTCTGCTTTTTTAATCTGAGCATTTGTTTCTAACTTCTAGAAATCATTTCCTAAGCTGCTAGGCAGACCCAGGACCAGCTTGATTGCCTCACCTCCCAGGACTCCTGCTACCAGCCCGGGTCATCAGCTCCCCGTTCCTGTGAGTGGCCTGGCTGCTCTCTCACACCCAAGAGGCCCTCTCCTCAGCCCATTTGGACATGTAAACATGCGCTTACTCTACTAAATAGTTGGTTATACAGAAAAACATGTTTTGACGGCTGCAACTGCTCCAACTTGGCTAGTCTTGGTTCTGCTGGACCAGCGACAAATGCCACAGCTTTTTAATGGTCTGACCCCTGGGACTTTCATCAGCCAACACCCTATTTATTTAGAGGCCTCTGTCCTCTGAGACCCTCCAACAAACACTGCTGCATTATGCATCCAGTGCTTTTGTTCCACTTGGATTAGAGAGCACAGTCCATCTAGTCTCTTATTTTTCCCCCTTCTATATAAAAGTAGGTAGGGTGAAAATCTTTTAAACTATAGAAACCAGAAGTATATGTTTAAGTGTTAATTTTAATTCAGGTTTGACAACTAGTAGATCCATGTGACCTGTGTACATTTAAAGCAATATTTAAAGTTGGGATAGATCATTCCTTCACTCCCTCCCTCACTTATTCATTCAGTTACCACCTACAGAATATCTATTTGATACCAGGCACAGTGCCAGATACTGGGAGTGCAAATATAAATGCGACATGATCTCACATTTTAACAGAGGGAACCATAAAAACCTAACATCAAAATGTAAAACGTGCATATGATATATTAATACATTATAGACACATACACACAGAGTTTTAAACAATGTCAGAGAAATGAATTGTTGATTCACTCTGAAGATATAGAAGAGGATTCACAGAAATAGTTATAGTCGAGTTGGGCCTTGAAGGATGAGAGACTTTTCCCCAGATGGAGCTAGGTGAGAGTAATTGTAGCAAACACAAGTAGTGTAATAGATGTTAACTGCTTGTATTTGAATTCTGGCTCTCTCCTTTCTCATTTCTTGAACTCTTCAAATTTCAGTTTCCTCATCTGTTCAATGGAGATAATACTAGTATTTCCTACATGGGCTTGTTAGAAAGATTAAAGTAGACAATATGGTAAAGAACAATGCATAGACACAGCAAATGCTCGAGAAGGTAGTTGCTAGTGATTTTTATTACCATTATCACTATGATGTGTTTTTACAAGTTGTGCTTGGGAAATAATAAATGGTAGTCTGGTGTAGATAGAATGAAAGTGTGTTAGACTTAGCAGATATTGCGGATTCTGGAAAAGACTGGTTGGGATCCTATATGAAAGGCCTTGTATGTCATTCTAAAAAGTCTGGACTCGATATTATCAACAAAAGGAAACCAGGGATGGTCATACAGTTCAGATGACACCTGCTAAGAGACTGACAGTGTACAGAAAGCTGCAGTGTAGGAGGGTAATTGGTGTCTTTTGTTCTTTTCTGGGGCATGAGGTGGGGGGGGGTATTCTGCCATCCTTGGAATTGGAGTGGTGGCAGCAGTTTGCCCAAGGTGGAGGCAATAAGGGGCTGCACTGTCTGTGAAAAATTTTTAAAAAATAATAAGCATCAGTTTGCATTATATTATCATCACAATCTGATAATTCTGAACAATGTCAGTAAAGTAATGTGCTCTTCCCTGTTGGACAAGCCACCCCTTGGCATGCCATGGCTTGGTAGTTTGTTCTGAGAACTCCAAGGAGGATTAACAAGCACCGAGAAGCTGAGTACCCTGTAAGGACTTCCTGACGCTTAGGCATGGGTTAATTCAGGACTAGGAAATGGGCCTGAGGAGCAATCAGCCAAACACAAAGTTTGAGAGGGGCCAAGTAGTAGGAAAAGTTCAGGGTCTCTCCTGAGGAGAAAAAATCAAAGTGGGAGGCAGCCTCAGGGGTATCCTGAGAAAAAGAGGCAATGACACTGGATATTGGGTAGCGAAGAGGATAGACACAGATGCAGAAAATTAAGGAGGGGAGGGAGAAGGCTTACAACAATACACCTTCCTCATCTGTGGCTTCCTCACCATTGGTGGGGCAAGTACCAATCCAGAAAGATCCAGTCCAGTGGTTTTCAGTACTTCCAGCATCAGCATCATCATATCCCAAATGCAAATCGTTGGTCTCCACCCTGAACTAACAGTATGAGCAACTGTGGGGTGGGGCTCAGCAATCTGGGTTTTAACTAGCCCTCCTGGTTATTCTGATACACGCTCAAGTTTGAGAATCACAGGTCTCCCCATGTGTGGAGCAACTCTCTAAATACAGCACTATATCCTCTGGGTTATGATATCATATTCTGATGCCTCACTAATATTTATGACATTTGTCACATATCAATACGTATGCCTCGAACAGTTCCTTCCCTTAACCCAGTGGTTCTCAACAGGGGTGAAGGGTGGTTTTGTTTCCCAGGCGGGTATTCGGCAATGTCTGGAGGCATTTTCAGTTGTCACACTGAAAGGAAGGTATTATTGGCATCTAGTGAGTAGAGGCCTTAGATCCTGCTAAAACAGTCTACAGTGCTGCAGACAGGGCCTTGCAACAAAGAATTATCTGGACCAAAGTGTCAATAGAGTCGAGGTTGAGAAACCCTGGTTAACCTTACCAAGAAAGAGGTATTTTTTAGGAGGATCTCCATTACACTGGGGGAAGGGAAAAGCAGGGTGGGGAAGTCGGCATCCAATCTGGTGTCTTTGAACACAAATCCTCGCTCCTGAGGCAGGAATGTTTACTGATTGGTGACTGACTCTGTTTATTGTTGGTCCGTAAAGGAAGTAGGCGCTTTATGACCCTAACCAGGAACTGCGGGCTTTGTTTGCTCTCCCTCTCTCGAGCTTGTCTTTCTGTATATTGTTTCTATCCTGACCTCATTCTTTGATTCCAAAGCGGTCAGGCCAGTCCTGATCTGGATCTCGAGCATTAAGTCCCAGTAGCTCAGACATGGCTTGTAAGGGAGGAGGAGTAATGGTGATTCTGGAGACTGCTCATTCTGCGAGTGGGCACTGGGGAGGACAACCCCACTTGGGGTTGGCCAAAGCCAAGACACCAGAGAATGCTTGATGATCTCCCACTGACTGCTTCCTCTTTAGACTGCGAGAGGCCAGTGGAAAGGGGGCCACTGGCATCACCCTGGAGAGAAGCTAGTTAGGGCTGTGCCAGACACATGTGTGAGTGATGTGTGGAAGCTCCACCCGCCCTGGCACGTTGCTGGTATAGCAGAGGCCGGCACGCAAGGGCTATCCATTGAGCAATTCTGCTAGAATCTGAATGAGGCAGGAACTGGGCTTGATTGTGGGGTGGAGGGGCATGAAGGAGACAGATCTATGGAGCCTGGAAGCACATCCCACATAGAAAACATGCAGTCAGATGGAAAGAACGAATGAGAGCTATGGTTGACATGAATATCTGGCTTGCTTTCTTTTCATGTAATTTGGGAACCTTGTCTGCTGTGCTATCCAAGGAAGCTCACTGCTGGTGCAAAAGGACATTTAATTCCTGCAAACAATGCTTGGCATCTTTTTCTGCAATGATTTTTACAGCCCTCATATTTCCATGGGCCTTTTCACATTTACCACTGTTTGACTCTAGAATACACTCTAGTAGCCAAATGGAATAAAGTCCTGTTTTTATTTTAATGGAAATTTGTTGTGTTTAAAGCCTAAGACATGCTTTATCTTAGACCTGGGGTCTGGTGTGCCTGGGTTTGGGTCTCCAGCATTTCTTAGCCTCAGCTGCAGTGGAGCTCTGCAATGGGAAGACCCCTCTGGAGGGCAGGCCCAACACTGGAAACTCACTTCCTAAACACCAAGGGAGCTGGCGAGCAACCCTCCGATGCAAACACCTTTCAGGCAGCACTGCGGGAGTCTCTATTTAAACAGGTGACCTTGCAGAGAGAGGCTCCAGATCCCATTACTGACTGCCCGGCTGAGAGGCAGATTTGTTTTTATGAGCTCTCAAGGCACACATTGGGGGCCAGGCGTAAATATGGAGAAAACTTGCTGAGACCTTGCCCCCTTTCCACAAAACGTAAAGAAAAGAAAATCATGCCGAGGCTTTTGAGAATCATGACTTATCACTAAATGACCAGTGAACAAAATGGTCATCATTTAATTCAAGGTTTAAATTTACTTTATCTCTGGTGATGAAAAGCAGTATCAGATATTTCAGCCCTCCTGCGTCCTTCAGGGAATGGTGGAAAGAGGAAAACAGCTGCTTGTATATGAAGCAGTTTAAGGGTCAAATATTACTCTGCCCAGAGGTGCTGACATCACTTAACTCTCCCTAGGAGAGGGGCATTGGCATCATTTGCTGGGCTGAGGCCGCAGGCCTGAAGATGGGCGGGCCACAGCCCCCATCTTGTTTCTCCTTGAGCACCTATAGGGTCAACAATTGCAAGTGAACATTGCAATTAAGACTCTAAAACTTTGTTTTTATTGGCTTTCGGGGGGAATATTTTTTTCACAATTAATGAAAACACAATACAGCCAGTAAGTTAAAATGTGAATGTGAGTTTCAAACGTTGCATAGTCATTAGGCTAATCATTAGTCATTAGTCATTTGTGGTTGACAAGGAGGGTTATAATTTGACACCTGGCAAAAATCAAGTAGATTTCAGAGAACTTAGAGTTGGGAAATGAGATGGAAAAAACACCCTCTTTTTCCCTAGGAGGTCCCATGAAGTAACGTTTGCAAAACCTCTTTTCTCTCCCCAGAAGTGAATGACCCATGATTCAGGGCTGTGGTGTCTCCATCTCTGCCTGCTGGACCACCCCTACCCCCACCCTCCAGAGCCTTGTATGCACTGGCCAAAGAATTGCCTCAGAAGGTTCTCCGAAGTGAACCTCTGGGAGTTGAGAGAAAGAGATAAATAACTTCTCAACCTGATGTTTAAGCAACAAGAAACCACCAGAAAGTGTCGGCCTCAATTCTGAAAATATTTTTTGAAACATCATAGATTCATGGGAGAATGACAGAATGACATGAGAATGACAGGATTCTTAGTTCCTAACTTTTCTGTAAAATCCCAGATTTTCTTCTGTCTATCGTCTATGACCCATTTTCTTTTGTGTGATGAGAGCAAAATATTGAACCCTGAGTTTGTATTTTCTGACCCCTGACCTCTCCCAGGTGTTCTGGCTCATTTCCTGAGAGTTATGTTTGATTTGGGAATGCTTCCCTCTTTTCTCCCATTCCCCTGTTACCGCTTGAAACCTGGAACACCCGCAAACAAGACCCTGACTATCTCCCTGTACTACCCAAAAACACTCTTAAGTGTTCTCTCAGAACTTGGCAAGCATCTATACAGGGACAGTTTTCTCACACTCTGGGAAATCAAAATATAAAACAATAGCTCTTTTCCAATTCTTCAACCTGAAGATAGATTTTAGGGTCATTTCTTTTTCCTTCCTATTTAACATGAGTTTCCGTTTTAGTACTAAGAGGAAATCAAATAAATAATCGACTTTGGTTTTCAATGTAACAAGGAAATAGAAATTCTAATTTGATCCAAAAGTTATTCCAAGATCATCTCCTCAGAAGTTGCAGTTAACATTTTCCTAAAAAATCTCTCCCTTTCCTTTTCTTTTTCAGATTTCAGAATAAAAGGCTGGAAAATATTACTTATGAAGTTAAGCATTATTTTTGCTTTAAATTGAAGCTGAAACCCTGCTTGACACCGCTACTCTGCTAATCCTGGTTGTCTTTTAAAAAGAAAATGCTTAGGATACCTAAACAATCTTGATAAAAAGATTTCTACATCTTTTAATTAAATGAGAGGCCAATCTACTAAGCTAACAAAAAGAACTACATTCAGGAATGCAACAGATTCTGCCTACTCCATTTGGCATGATTCCTTAAAAATAAATAACTACTTCATGAGTTGTGCAAGTAAAAATAAGATATTGTGTGCACTAAAAACATTTCCTCAAGGAGCATCCAGGCTGGGCTCATGAAGCCCACTTGTCACCAGCATCAAGCCGCCCATCCAGGCACCATCCAGGAGGGTGAGTCTTCTCTTCCTAGTCTAGGGCGGAGGGTCATTCATGCACTGGACTGGAGTTAAGAGGCTTGAACCTGAGCTGACAATGAACAGGACTGGGAGAGGCTCAACTATCCTGGGTTCAGATGACAGTTTGTAGGTATCAGAATAAGTACAGGGGCAGCTGGTGCACAGACCCTGGAAAATTCACTGACACACGGTGAATATATAAATATCATGTCTCATTCTCTGTGGTGTAAAACCACACAAATGCAACTTAGGCTTTATAAAATGCCCAGATTACTAAGTAGCCAAAGAAATATAAGAAAAAAATCTGTGAATTGATTCTGTGTGAAACCTGGCTCATGATAGTAAAACAGGCTTAGTGTGTTTGTGTTTTATTTTTCCAAATACATAATTTGAAAATACACATGGCTGTGCCCATTTTTAAATGACATTTATTCAATCATTCATTCACCAAGTGTTTATTGAGCACCTACTTTGTGTTCAACACTCTTGTAGGCACTGTGTAATATATATACATATATATATCAATGAAGGAAGGCCCCTTGCCTTTAGGAAGCCTACACTCCAATGGAAGTGGGCAAAAACAGTTAACGTGTACACAAATAAATAACTTTGATAAGGTCAGAAGACTAAAACAAAGCCAAATAAGGTAATGAAAAAAAAAAAAAAGAGAGACACACGGGAGGCCACTGGAGATGGGGCAGCCAAAGAAGTTTCTCTGAGGAGATGACAGCTGAGCTGAGGTATGAAGGTCGAGAAGAAGCCAGTCACTCCAGGAAAAAGGGATTCCAAGAACACAGGTCCTGAGACAGGAGAGGTATGTACTTGCAATCACTTTATTTTTAAACAATGAAAACACTGCCTTGGAAACAGAATATCAGATTAGAAGAAGCCTCCAAGACCATGTAGGGAAATGCCCTCAGTTTCCAGGTTGGGGAGTGAAGTCCCAGAGCAGCTCCATTGACTTGCACAGTGGGGCCAACAGTGCTGAACTAGAACGCTGGTCTCCTGTCTTTAGTGGGTGTGTCTTCCCACATGATCCATTGCCTTAGTGGATCTGTGTTAATTACACTCCCCCTGGACACTGACAGCCTGTCCGCAAAGGAATCATGTCTGCTCACCTGACCTTTCCAAATGAAACTGGGTCAGAATTCTAACGAGTTCTCACTTTAGGAGAGCATCTTAGGAAAAAGTCAAACTTTTTTCTAACGCGTACTTCTTACTTTTCAAAATTTAAAAGAACACAAATACAGAGACAAGAAATTCTAAAGTGTATATTTTTCTGAGAGTATTTGGAAGTACTGAGTTGGATCATATAATGAGAAGTTCATCGCAATGTTGTATTATTTCATAAAAAACAGAAATGCATATCCCAGATAGATTCTGATTACCAAAAATGGATGATATTCACAATAATTTTGTGTGGTTTTTGCTATAATAGGGAAGTATGTAACCTATTAAGCTCTCACAAAAGTTTCACTGAAGAAAATATTATTCAATAACCCCCAAATGGGAAAAATTTATCCTGTAAGAACTTGGCCCAGAGTATGTAGAGTTGCATCCAGCTCTATTTATCATCTTGCAAACTTCTTCATTATGTCAAAACTAAATCTCAGCTGTGCCCTGACTGCAAAGCAAAAGCATAAGGCTATTTTAGCCACCTCAACAAGAATATTCTGAGAACTAATTGATTTTCCAAGAATGTTAAACACTTTTTATCAATCTTTGGTCAAGGTTCACAGTTATGATATTATATTATCAGCCTCAAATTTGTTTGTCTAAAGAAACTTATGATTTTACTCTTGATTCACAGAAAGGAAAAACAATCTTCTAGAATGTTCATGATAGCCATAGCCTTCCGCTGTGCTAGAATCTCAACAATTTAGACTTCATTCGGCTTGATTCCCATATGCTCGACTCAAAAGTAGCTTTCCCATGGGCCTAGCCTGAGGTTCTAAGGTTCAGCTCACAGTTAGAGTTTTCTTCTCTCAAGCAGCCTCTTTCTCAACACTTTCAGGTTTTCTCACGCTGCAGGGAGAGCCCAAGTAAGAATCCTAAAGTACTTTCTCCATGGTACATGACTTTTCAGGAATATTTCAGCCCTTTTGAGACACGCACCTGCTCTTTACAGAGGCAGCTAAGGAGCAAACACTCTGGATAAAGATAATTTTACTTTCACTGATGGCAGATTTCTTAGAGCTTAACTAGAAAACATTTTTAAAACTGTTACAATAGCAAAATAAACAACAAACATTTTGAACTTTTGCTTTACTTCTTGAATTTTAAGCTAGAGCTAATCTCAGATAGACCTTGAATAGACACTGAAAATAGGCATGGTATTAGTTCCAAATTCTCTCTCCAAAAACTTGCCCTTAAAATAGGAGATTATCCATCTGAAAAAGAGCTAACATACAGAATCTACAAGGAACTTAAACAAAAAACAAACAACCCCATAAAAAAGTGCACGAAGGACATGAACAGACAGTTCTCAAAAGAAGACATTTATGTGGCCAACAAACATATGAAAAAAAGCTCATCATCACTGGTCATTAGAGAAATGCAAATCAAAACCACAATGAGATACCATCTCATGCCAGTTAGAATGGCAATCATTGAAAAGTCGGGAAACAACACATGCTGGAGAGGATATGGAGAAATAGGAATGCTTTTACATGGTTGGTGGGGTGTAAACTAGTTCAGCCATTGTGGAAGACAGTGTGGCAATTCCTCAAGGACCTAGAACCAGAAATACCATTTGACCCAGCAATCCCATTACTGGGTATATACTCAAAGGATTAGAAATCATTCTACTATAAAGACACATGCACATGTATGTTTATTGCAGCATTGTTCACAATAGCAAAGACTTGGAACCAACCCAAATGCCCATCAATGACAGACTGGATTAAGCAAATGTGGCACATATACACCATGGAATACTATGCAGCCATAAAAAAGAATGAGTTCATGTCCTTTGCAGGGACATGGATGAAGCTGGAAACCATCATTCTCAGCAAACTAACACAGGAACAGAAAACCAAACAGTGCATGTTCTCACTCATAAGTGGGAGCTGAACAATGAGAACACATGGACACAGGGAGGGGAACAACACACACTGGGGCCTTTCAGGGGCTGTGGGGCTAGGGGAGGAATAGCATTAGGAGAAATACCTAATGTAAATGACGAGTTGATGGGTGCAGCAAACCACCATGGCATGTGTATACCTATATAACAAACCTGCACATTCTGCACATGTATTCCAGAACTTAAAGTATAATTTAAAAAAAGGAGATTATCTGAGAAAAGTTTATGATGGCATAACACTTAGAAAAATATCCCGTTTGTTTTTAATTCAATATAATCTCACATCAATTTATTTTATTTGCATATTATATAGTTATTAAATTATAGTAACACGCAAATTGGAATCTAAGCTATAGCTTAGGCAAACTATCTCATAGGGAAACTTGTGATGGGCATTGGCTAAATAAGTAGATTAATGAAATTGCTGGAAATTTGAAAGCAGTTGGGGTAAAACCCTGAACGGGGACTAGGGGGAGGAATGAAGGAAACAGTCATCATGCTGATGCTCATTTTAGAAATAATTCACTTTCCCGTGACAAAGATAAGAAGGCCATTTAAGAATTATTTACCTCTCAGCTTAAAAAAGAGAAAAAATGATGTCTGGAGAACCCCACTGACAGGCATGAAGAATGCATTGTCGCTCTTCCATCTCATCCTCAGGCTGGGGTAGGCACAGGAGAAGGCTTTGCAGTTAAGCAGGGAAGAGAAGCAAGAAGTATCCAAACAGAACACACCTTACCTTATTAGCTAAGGGAGAGTCTTCTAAGACCATTTAATTAGTCGAGGAAAAATAGCTACTATACTCTATACAAACACTAAATCTTCATTTTTAAAATTTAGACAAAACAGAAATTAAAGAGAGATTACACACTTTACAAAGGTTCCGCAATGTGAGTCATAAAAATAGCTTGTTCCTCTAGGGGGCGATTTTAAAAAGAATCCCATTTACAAAAAAATAAGTAAATAAATTTAGAAACAGCCTTTCCAGATTATAAAGTGAGTTACAGTTGATTTAACATAATAGAACTTTGTTATTTTATGTGGGGAGAACTGACTGCATTTTTTTAAAAGAGGATTTTCCTCCTTATTAATAAGATTAAAAAATAATTTTAGTCTATGGCAGCAAGATTCTTCTGCACATAATCTTGGGGACCAATTTTTTCCTCAATGCCTCAGGCAATGAATCCTTCAGCTCCTCCTTTTTCCTGGGTCACAGCAGCAGCAGAAGTGGGCGTGCGTGGAGCACTACCTATGGATAAGGCAGTTATTGCAACCAACCCGGCCTAGGGCCTGGGTCTGTATTCAGTGGGAGGACCTCCAGCATGTGAGAAAGATGCAGGGGCAAGACTTTCTACTGTGGACTCTTCTGAGCTTTCCAGAGTTTGGCTACAACCCTTGCTAGCCCAAAGAGAGGTGGAACATTATCAAAGCAAAAATCTCAGAAGTAATACCAATGAAATCTCTTCATAGGGTCATGGCCTATCATCCTCAAACCCTCTGCCTTTCTCCAGAGGGTCCCATACATCTAGAATGTAGACATGCAGCTTTCTGTAATACTGCAAAAAGTAAGATTATTTTCTCTTCGTTTTAGGGTCATTCCTAGGTTATATTAGTCACTATACAAATGTGAGACCTTTCAAAGTTTGCTATGAACTCATAGGCAATGATGAATTTAATTTGTATTAATGCACTTAGGTTGGAGCAAGTGGCATTTTAAAGCACATATTAATTCATTTAAAACCACATAATTCACTGCAGCTCTATAATGTGCCAAGTGGAGCCTGGCCAACTGGCACCTCTATTCCTTCCAAATATGTTACCCATCTTGTGCCCTGTTTTTATTTGATTATGTTATTAAACAAAATCTTTACTAATGACTGCATGGAAAAGAATGACTTAATCAATACAGTATTGTGGTCCACCCACTACGCAGTACTTTCTTGCTTGGGCTTAGAAATTACAAAAAGACATTTCAGTTAAATGAAACAAATGCCAGAGAAACCCTATTATGGTCATGCACCTTCAAAAGCAAAGTTGAAGTTGCACTCACAATATATTTGGGGATCCTGTAACCATTCCACACCATTATATGTTGCCATGGATTGATTTAGCTACATGACAAAATCCCAATTAAAATACAGTTTATAAAACTATGGTTCTACTCCTTGTTTGTTTTACTTCAGAAACATTCTATCCATGGTTAGAAAGAAGCCATGACAGTGGTCTAGTCCTGAATTTCTATCCATGGTGAGAAATCAGGCATAACCATGTTCTAACCCTGAATGTGATCTTAATGTTTTATACCACGGGCAAATCATTAACATATGGAAATAACCTTCCCAGCTGCTCTGTTATTTATTTATTTTTGAATCCTATAGGTTCTACTGCCTCTTGTCTATACCCCATCCTCACCTTTTCCTTGTATTCTCTCCCCATTTTAAAAAGATTCCTTTCTTTTCTTTCTTTCTTTTTTTTTTTTAAAAGATCTATTGGGGAAAAGAGACTTCATTCCGTGTTTCCACCCTGCTGTTCCGTTGGCCCAACATCCCCTTTCCAACCTCTAAATTAACTGTTCATTTTAAAGTTCAAGGCTGTTTCCCCTCCTCCCTGCTAGAGGAGGCAGTGGATACTTCACAGACCCTGGCTTCACACTCTCTGCTGGGCTCCCCACAAAGCAGCCTCTCACCATACCCCATCCTCAGGTTTCTCTTTTTAATAAAGTTTGTGGTGGGCTTATGCCTCTAAATCATTTTCACCCCTCAGAGCCATTTACCTTCCCTCTGTAACAACCAATATACTCGCTCCTTTCCCATCCTCTGGTGCTGATTTCTGCCCTAGTACCCCACTCAGTAGGACAGAATGTGTTGTTTCTGGCTGTGGATAATATATTTCCATATCACTCTCAAAAACCACGGAATGAGCTCTGCAAGGCAACCGTTTTGTCCTCCCACTTCCACTCACGGTGAACAAAGCAGCAGTTTACATAAATAAAACCAATGAGAATCACAGGTTAATGAAAGGTTCAACACTTAAGAAAAAAAAAAAGGAATTATTTACATGACTTTTTACAAAACTGCCTACAGGGTATTCAGCAGTAGTTCCCAAAGGCTGACCCAGTGACCAGTCTGGGTTCGCTGCATAAGAATCACCAGGGAGGTTGTTAAACATAAATATTGGTGGGACCCACCTCTAGAGTTTCTGATTCAGAAGTCTGGGGTTTGGGAGCCACCAATAGAGAGTGTAAATCAATCTCCACAGATTGAGTAAAAGCCCCATAAGTGCATATATAACAACACGTGGATGCCAAATTTTCAACTCATGTGAGTCTTCAGAATTCACCCAGTGATTAATATGTTTTGAGAGAAGTATGAAAAGATTTCTTAGTGCAAGTTAAGTCCTGATGGGGGGTGAGAAGGATGACAGCCAAAGTATGCATTGGCCTATCCACTCACCACTAGTCTTTAACTATATGTCTATGAGCAGATGTGAAAATGCCCCCCACCCCACTTTCTCCCATTCCCCAGCACCACCAGAAAACATGCTCTCCAGTTCTTTGAGGTATTTGACACGGGGTTTCTTTAAAAATGTTTTTGTTTTAGAGATGGGGTGTTGCGATGTTGCCTAGGCTGCTCTCAAACTCCTGGCCTCAAGCAATCCTCCCTCAGCCCTCTGACTAGCTGGAACTACAGGTCCACTGCTGTACCTTTGGGGCACTTTTAAAAAGATCAGTCCTTGTAGGATTGGCAGTTTATGTAGTGTGCACCTGATTTATGCTCTGTTCAAAACTGAAAACAAAAATGATAAAAAATGATTCAGGGCGAAACAGAACAAACACCTCAGTCATTCTTTCTTCCTGAAGCACAATGGGCCATTTCCTTTCCTGGGATTAAAAATATGAAAGGGATATAAGCTACAACTCTCTCAGATTGTGACTTCCATAAATCCTTGGGGTTTTCGAATGCCACTTTCTCCACACAGGTACAAACCTTGAAATGCCCATGTAGCAAAATTCCCCCCACCTAGGACCTTGCTTATTTGCAACCATCAACTCATTCCAAGCAAGAGTATTCTTCTTAGGAAAGAACCACTGGACTCTGTCCTTCTCTGTAAAGACCTTCCTTTTCACATTGCATTCTAGGCTTGTGCTGTCTAATCCAGGGACCTCTAGCCCCATGTGGCTATGGAGCATTTGAAATGTGGCTTATTAGTCAATATTGAGATGTGCTCTAAGTGTAAAATAGGCAACAGATTTCAAAGACTTTGTATGAAAAACAAAAGAATGGAAAATATTCATAGTTTTTATGTTGATTAATATGTTGCTATGGTAATGTTTTGAACCTATGAGGCTAAATAGGATTTATTATTAGAATTAATTTTACCTGTTTCATTTTTACTTCCTTAAATGTGGTCCTTAGAAACCTTAAGATTACATGTGTGTGGTGCATTTTGTTTCAATGAGCCAGCGCTGCTCTAGATGGAGTCTGGGGTTTCACTTCCCATCTCAAAGCTTGTTCCACACACTCCCTCAGCACCCTCGATCCCTCTCCCCACTTAGTCCACCCACCTCTGCTCGAGGTACAGCTAATGGGAACCTTCTTACATTACCTACTTCTTTCCCAATCCAGTCACTGAAACTCCACCAGAGGCTTGTAATCTTTCGCCCACCATCCTGTCAAGTAATGTCTCCCTTTTTATCTTAACAGATTCTAAATTCCCACCTTTTTCATGAAATCTTCCCTTTTTCAATGAAGACGACACAATGAAGACTACCTATTATTCACTTTATAGACATTTCAGTTTGGCTATAGAACTATTGAGGTAATTATTTTGATTATTACCAAATACTCACTTCTTCAACAACATTCACTGGGCACCTCCTGAAGGCCAGGCATGGTGCTAGCTCTGGAGGATACCGAATAATGTCAGCACACAGCCCCAAAACGACGTGTGGCACGAGGCCAGCAGGAACACAGACACTAAACCAAGGCTCTTCTGCCCAGAAGGATGCTCTACTTGCAAACACCTTGCTGAGGAAGGATTTGAATGTAGTGCTTACATAACACGTAAGTCTTGTAGCTTAGAAACTTGAAACTGCTTGACTGCATAGTAAACACTTCCCCCTCCCATACTTGTACCCTCACTCAGGTTTCTTCACTAACCTGTAGACTCCATTTGTCTTTGTATTCCCCCCATTTTTGCTAAACCAGGATTAAACACCATGCTTTCGTGTGTGTGTGTGTGTGTGTGTGTGTGTGTGTACACTCATTTATTTTTCATAATAATGTGGATGCCATTATTGCTCCTATTTAAATATGAGGAAACTAAGGCACAGAGGAGATAACTTAATGAGGTCACATAGGTAATGAGTGGAGGAGTCAGGATTTGAACCCAGGCAGCCCAACTCTAGAGCCAAAGCTATTTACACACACACAAACACCAAGGACCATGCAAACTTGAAGCTGCCAAGGCTATCTAGTGCCAAATGAGACAAGCTCCCCCAAAATGAAGCCTATATAAGAAAAGGAGAGCGGAGAAAAGGAGGGAGAGAGGGAGAAAGAGAGTGTATCAGAGAAATATAATTAAAGATTATTTTATTTGAACCGCTGGAGAGTATGAAGCCAGAAACTACCCTTTGGCCTTCCCATTTATACAAGTGAATGAGGTCTTTTGTCATTTGTAGCCATAGGTTCTTAATGAGGGGTCCACTCACAATTATACACACAGCTCTGTTTGTGTATAAACAGAACTATAAAACAATATATACAGATGTCTCTGGGGAGGTTCTCAAAGGAGACCTTGATTCTACATAACTGCCATATGTACAGCTTCTTAGTCAAATATCCTCTGCTAAAATTAGCTGGGGACCCTTAGAACACATCACTTGTCATGCGGCTGGCCTCTGCTAACATTAGGTCTATCCCTGGTGACATATTTGCATGGAGCAGAATAAACTTTTTTCCTATATTAAGTGCCACAGTGCCTGGAATCTCGCCATAAAATATGTATCAATGATAATTTCTAACCATCTTTTAAAATACAAAGTGAGTTTGAAGCAAGCCTCTTGGCAATTCAACATGCTGAACTGAAAATGCATGTTTCTCTTAATGCTTTCTCCAAACCCTTCAAAAACGACAGTATGTCAGTCCCCATTCTGCTTATCTTCAAATCAATTTCTTACTCCTGCCTTGTCCTACTCTGCTCTGTAATGTGAAGGGGCTGACCTCTGCAAGCCTGGTTTCCCAGACTTCCCTGGGTTCAGCAAATAGGAGCACTGGTGAGTGGGATTCTGAAGGTAGGGAGAGAAGGGAGAAAGCAGAGGACTTCTCCCATCCCTCTCTACCTCAGGCAGGCAGTGGCTGCATCCTGAGGCTCCATCTCCCACTGGAGAGACCTACCATGATTCTAGCTCCCAGCAGGGTTATCAGGTCCTGGGCTCTGGCAACACCACCTTCTCCCTTTGTCCCTTCAGCCTGGGGTGGTGGTGCTATTACTAATCTCTAGGTCGCCTCACAGTCCTTTGCTGGCTCCTTAGCAATTCTGCAATCTGGACAGAATTGAGGCAGGGACACCATTCAACTCAATACAAAGCAATATAAGTATAATATTTAGAAATATCAAAGTGAATTACAACAGGATCAGCTAAAAGTCAAAGGTCCTTACCTCTGGAATTCCTTGCATTGACTTTGCATAGTTTCAAATACTCAGAGTGGGTGTATTCTCCTGATTGGGCCATGACTAACACAGGCAACAAAAGAATAATAATTATCAATAAGCATAAACCCACAGGGACAAAGAGGGTGGAGCAGGAAGTAACAGTGAATGTACAATGTCAACTCATTTTTGCAAGATTTCGGATGGAGGAATGGTCACTGCCCTAACAGGGCAGAGAAGGCTGCACTCTAAGTACCTAAAGAAGGGATTGCCAGGAAAGACCCTGGGATATCCCTGGGATGCCTCAGGCCTCGGAGGTACCAGATGACTTGAAAAGTGGGAATATGTAACTAGAAGCAAGAGCACTGCTTGAAAGTCCATATATGTTTTCTCTCCCACCTCACACTAAAGACCTGAGGCTTACTCTTTGGAGACTATAAGAACAGCTTCAGACTGGGAGCCACTAGGTACAGTGGAGGGTAGGAGAGTGGCCCCATACCAGAAACAAGAGGATGACGATAATATTTTCATCCTTAACAGTGGGACCCTCCCACACACACAATCTTGATTGAAAGATTCTTCATTGGAGAAATAGTATCCCCAGAAAAGACATTTAAATCTTGATATTGGAAGAGAGATGAGAGAGGACCTAACAAAAAAGCCAAGTAATTTCCAAAATTCCACGTTCAACAAGCCCCACCACATTATCTGCTAAGAGTTTGACAATGTGGAAATAGTAGGGAAAAGGAACCTGAAGAAACATTTAGGAAGACATTGCAATTAACAATAGCCTTATAGAGAACTAAATAATGAAAATATGAGGCAATAATTAACTCCAGAAAAATAATCCTTGAGCACTACTTGGTTCAGCAGTGAACAATGTTTGTGTACTCAAAATAATGCAAACAATTGATTATGGATCAATAATGCGACAGATGTAAGAAGGGGAAATGGGGACAGTGTGTAATTCTAGACGTCATAAAAAACATTTACAGTTGACAAATTAAGAATGAGTGATGTATTAGTTTCCTAGGGCTGCATCACAAATTACCACAAACCCTGTGGCTTAAAACAACAAAAATTTATTCTTTCACAGTTCAGAAGTCCAGAAGTCCAAAATCAAGGTGTCATCAGTGTTGGCTCCTCTTAAAGGCTCTGAAGGAGAATCTGGTCCATACCTCTCTCTGAGCTTCTGGGGATTGTCAGCAGTCCTTGGTATTCACAGTCTTGTAGCTGCAGAATTCTAATCTCTGCCATCAGAGAAGATGGCATCCGGCCATCTTTACAGCATGTCTCTTTCTGTGAGTCTCTTTCCTTGTTCTTAGAATACCAGTCATAGTGGACTTAGGGCACACTCTATTCCACATGACCACCTCTTAAGTTGAATAATCACATCTGCGAAGACCCTGCTTCCAAATAAAGTCACCTTCTGAGGTTCTGGGAAGGATGTGAATTGGGGCAGGGACACTGTTCAACTCAATACAACCAGTATATGTATAATATTCAGAAATGTTGAAGTGAATTACAATGAAATCAGCTAAAAGTCAAAGGTCCTTGCCTCTGGAATGGGAACCGGTGGGTGGAGAGGACATGGTAGGGGAATGATGTTCATGCTTATAAGGCTTGGAAAAGACATACCTATGGCACACTGACACCATGTCCCTTCCTTCAGGCCAGCAGGAGTATCATATTTCTTCTCCTTCTGGTTGTTTAGGTGTGGTCAAGTGGCTAGTTCCTAATGATAGGTTGGGTGAAAAGGACACGTGTGGTCAGAGCTCTAACCACCAGGGTGAGACCGTTCAGCTCTATTCTTCCTGCCACAGGGATGGGGAAAGCACGTGTTCAAACAGAGCTTCTTTCAGTCTGAGCAGAGTGTCCCCTGGCTATGGTCTGAATGTTTGTGCCCCTGCCCCCCCAAATCCATATGGTGAAATCCAACCCCGCAAGGTGATGGCATCAGGAGTGGGGCCTTTAGGAGGTCATGAGGGTAGAGCCCTCAGGAATGGGATTAGTGCCCTTATATGAGAGACCCTGGAGTGATGCCTTGCTCTTTCACCATGTGAGGACACAGCAAGAAGGCACCCTTTATGAACCAGGAAACAGGCCGTTACCAGACATCAAACCTGCCAGCACCTTGAGCTTAGACATCTCAGCCTCCAGTATGGTGAGAAATAAATTTCTGTTGTCTATAAGTTACCCAGTTTATGATATTTTGTTATAGAAGCCTGGACAGATGAACATACCCAGTTGTATCAGACATGAAATCCTTGTTTTTGTAATCTGCTGAGATTTAAAGTTTGTTGATGTTACAGCCACATAACCTAGCCTGTCTTAATTGACACAAGGCTTGGAGTATTATTTGAATTTGATACAACATACATGTACTATTTTGATAAATATTAAAATAAATAACATAAACCATAAACTGTAAGAGATAATATATGAAACCACTTAGCATTGGTGATTTTAGCAGGTCACTTTTTAAATGACACAGTATTCCGAGAGTACTGGATTCTAAGTTGTGGCAGGCATTGTCAAAGTGGGGCATGGGATACATGAACCCAAACCTTACTTCACAATTTTTTTTAATTGGATTTTATTTTATTTTTTTACACTTTATTGTTTTATTCTGAATTTTAAAAAATTTAGTATAGAAAACTTAGAAAGCACAGAAAATCATAAAAATTACAGGAAAAATTACCACATTCAGAAATAACTATATTTCTAGGTATTATCAGCTAGGTAAAATTTCAATCAGCAGGGATGAGAGTGCAGGCAATTTTGGGAAAACAAAGGCAGAGAATTAAGAAAGATAGGATTGTATTCACGTAAGCTATTTAAATTAACTGGATCAAAAAGAAGTGGAAAGTAAATCTGAAAGATTAGATTGGAGGATTATCATCATAAATGGCCTTAAATGTGAGGGTGACTATTATTACTTAAGGAGAAGTATACTGAATTAATCCAAATATGGATATGGCTCATTTTCCACAATATCTCATGTGCTGGAGTATGGCAAAATAAATGTGTCTACTTTTTGGAGTCAAGTCTTGTTTTGGGGTTCTATTTCTGCCTAATCTTTTTCTTGCTGAATGAATAACAACAGGTTCTAAAAATTTACTTTCAAACTCCTCTTTAAAGTGGATTTTTAAAACTCTATAAATGATCAATACTATTCCCTGGGTATGAATTTGTTTCTATTTAGAAACACAGTCATCTCCTGTATAATGTGATGGTGAAGAGGTTCCCACATGTGAGTCTGCTCCTGCCTACTTGATGTCATCTCTCTGTTAGTGCCTAGGTGATAAATCCTATCAATCTTGCATATTCTACTTCTGTTGCAGTGTCAGTTGCCCATACTTGTGGCTTTCAGTTTACTCTATGATTGTGAATCTTTATTCAACATACTTATCATTATGCAGGTCAAATACCACCCAGTATCCAATTCCCCTCTCCTTCGGAGCACCTGGAAGGACTGTATCTTCCTCCCTGCTGAAGTTAGGCAAAGTCATGTGACTAACTCTAATGAATGAATGCCATTTTAATGAAAATATTTATGTAACAAAAAAGATATAAAGCCCCAGTAACTTGTTATATCCATTTCAAGAAGTTTTCAATTCAATTCCAGTACAACAAAATGATACAGCTTTTGAAGTTCATTGTGATGAGATCTCAATTAGCTAATCAGACTGTGAGCTCTCTGAGGGCAGAGCTATCCTGAAACCCACATGCACTAGATGCTCAATACACGTGTGTTGAATGGATGAATTAAACATTGAGTGAATGAGTGACCATAATTCTAATATTGTGTCTTGATTAAATCATTCTTATTTCTCCTCTATGTTCATTGGAACAGTTTACTAAGTTAGGAAATTACCCTCAAATGAAAAAGATTATTTTCTCAGTGACATTAGCAACAATAATCTGGCTTCTCAAAGAAGGTTAACATGGAATCTAAGAAGGAAATCCCAGGGAGTTTTGCTTTCTGTTTCAGAACCTTGTAATAAAGATGGCCCAGGGGTGCGCATACCTTACATTTGAATATAATTTGTGGTTTTCTTTTTCTTTTTTCTTTTATTGATTTATTTATTTTTTCTTGAGATGGGGTCTTGCTCTGTCGCCCAAGCTGAAGTGCAGTGGTGCGATCTCGGCTCACTGCAACCTCTACCTCCCGGGTTCAAGTGATTCTTCTGCCTCAGCCTCCTGAGTAGCTCGGATTACAGGGGTGTGCCACCATGCCCGGTTAATTTTTGTATTTTTAGTAGAGACGGGGTTTCACCATGTTGGCCAGGCTGGTCTCAAACTCCTGAACTCAGATGATCCACCTCCCTCTGCCTCCCAAAGTGCTAGGATTACAGGCGTGAGCCACCGCGCAGGGCCCCTGGTTTTCTTCTTTCTCTTTGAGTTTAGTGATTTGAGGCTGTTACAAACTGAATGTTTGTGACCCTCCAGAATGTGTATGTTGAAGCCCTAACCCACAATGCAACGGTATTTGGAAGTGAGGTCTTTGGGGGGTGATTAGGTTTAAATGAGGTCATGAGGGTCTTGCCCCCATGATGGGATTAATGGCTTTATAAGAAGAGGAAGAGACAACAGAGCTTCCTCTCTCTGTCATGTAAGTATACAGCAAGAAGGAGGCCCTCTACAGTTAGGAAGAGGGCCCTCACCAAGAACTGAATCAGCCAAGACCTTAATCTTGGAATTCCTAGCCACCAAAACTGTAAATATGAATGTCTGTTGTTTAAGCCACCCAGTCTATAATATTTTGTTACAGCAGCTCCATCTAAGACAGAGGCCAAACTCCCATCTTCCCTACCTCTATTAGAAATGTAATATTATTTTTGCATGCCACAGTCACCTTCTCTTGCTTTCAGCAACCAGCCTAAGATTCTGCTGCCTTTTTAGGTAGAGTAAGTAACACATCCATCCAATGACCAGCCTGAATTATCAAATATTTCCTAATTGAGGCAGTAATGGTTTCTTTAACCACCATTATTGCACAGCATTGTTGGCTGTTAGGCTCCAACCTAGGCATGGTGCTTTTGGGTTTCATATAGTGCAAATAAATGGAAATTTTCACTAGACTCCAAGAGCTTCCAATTTGAAAAAATAGAAAGTTCAGTAATTCAGCCACAGGTTTAACTTTTTAAAAATGCTCTAGATCATATTATACCCCACAAAGTTTTGTTATTTTTCTTTTTTTCCCTCTTGGTAATAGATTTAATACATTGCCCTGGCTTGCACTGACCATATTATGCCCCTGCAGTTTCCTGAAAATATGGCATTTTGCATTGGCAAACAGTAATAGGAATAAATTCTTTAAGCACTATGTAAAAAGCTTACTTGAAATTTTGAAGTCTCATACCAAAATGCTGACTATTAAATAGAGATCTGTTAGGCAATGCCAAATGAAAATGTGCTGTCATAATCCACTGGATAAAGTTTAGTTTTTACATCATTTTGATAAATTTACCTCATTTACCAATATAGCTACAAATCATATCTTACGGTTGTCATATAAAGGCAGTAAAATATTACATACTTCAGATGACCTTCACCCAGAAATGCTTTTCACTGTTCACATTTTATCTGTCAAATAGTACTTTCTTTAGAAGCAAATATAACTGCCATTACAGAGAGAAGCTACCGGCCTGGGACAAGTCCTAGCATTTAGTGCTCTGACAGATCTTAATTTGGATATTAGCCAAAGTCAATAAAACTTGTTCATGCAGAACCTTACCTGGTTTTCACCACATCTAGGGGGTGCATCAGGCAAATTTCTACAAGACCTGAAAGATGATAAAGAAAATCCAATAAACACTTATGTAAACACTGGTTCTTATTTCCTTGATCCCGTCGATTTCTCGAGTGTGAGGGTTCAGATAAAGAACTTGGGACTTCGGATATGACAGCTAATAGTAATAGGCTAGTGGCAAAAGACAGAAGCATAATATGATTTTATTTCAATGGAAGTAAGATATGTGAGCGAGTACTTTCTTACAAGTGCTCTGGCAGGGAGGTAGGGCTGGAGGGGAAAGAAAATTTAAAAAATAATCAGACGTGCTAATTCAAATCAACTGGGTGGGAGTTATGGCTTCCCATTCCAACCCAATAATAAGGATATGTGGAAGGAAGGGAGGAAAGAAAAGAAGGAAGAGCAGGAGGCTCTTTGAATCTCTCCCAGCTTTGGTATGTTAGTAAACATAGCAAATCAGAAACCTCAGTTTCAGTATCCATGAAACAAAGAAAATGATGCCTCTTCTCTCCCAAGGTAGTTATGAAAATACAATACATATCAATACATTAATAGCTTAATAGAGAATATTTCTTGTGGGATCACTGTGTGCTAGGCATTGTTCTAAGCAGTACTTAGATTACCTCATTTAATCGTCACAAGAACTTTATGTGATAGAATGTAGTATCCCCATTGTACAAATGAGAAAATTGAAGCATATAAGTTAAATAACTTGTCTAAGACGTTACATCTAGGAAGTAGTTTTAATTCCCATAAAGCCCTGATCTTAACCATTGCTCAGTGAAAGAACTATAACTTCTTGCAAATAAATTGTAACACTCTCTCTCCTATCATCCAACTGAGCAGAGAAGACTACTCAATTATAATACAAACTACTGGCATGTAACAATAGGAGTAGTACAGTAGTATTAGGTACTAGTAGTTGTAAAAATAATTATAGTAGTCATCATTATGGTATTATAGAGGTAATAACAGTAATAGTTACCTATATATGGATGGTCATTTAACATACACGGTCACTGATATGCACAACGAATGGACAAGGTAAGTATCATTATCATCTTTCCTTTAAGATAAGAAAACTGAGGTTGATAATGTTCAACTGATTCGCCCAAAGGCCATACAACAGTATTTGTGAGTAGTTTCTTATAGGCAGAGCATTTACCTCCATTTATAAACTAACTCAACTTGAATTTAGCCATGATGTAGTTTATCTTCCCCATCCCATATTTATCCACACAAATGTCTTTTCCTTCCCATACTGACCAGGTCCAGAAAGCTCAAAGGGCCTGTACCTACCTGAAGGCCCACTTTGCTTCTGCAGAAGCCTTAGGAAGTTTTCCCTGCATATGCCTGCTCTAGGTTGCAAAGTCCTATGTATTGACCAAAACTGTCTTACTTTGGCTACAACTAATAAGATCCAATATGGATGATGTTTGTGCCAAAGGCTTCCCAAGTCAAGCACCCAGTTGGAGTCTCATTGCCTAGAGACAGGAGGAGACAGGCTCAGGTGAGCAGAGGCCACAGGATCGCTGGACATGACAGCAAAGCCTCTAGGTACTGTTTTAGCTTTATTATTAAGCCCTGTTACTCAAGGTAGCATGAGCAGAAATCTTCCTTGCTAACTGTTAAGGTCTCCATATACTTCTCCTTGCTTGAGAATTCACATTTACCCCCAAAGTAAGAATCAGGTGACCAGAATTTTTGTTCTGGTGCCTTCATGGACTCATCATTTACCCATGATGATACCAGTTCCTTATCTGTAAAGCAAAAGATTAAATGGCCTAGAATAACTTTGAGGTTTAATATTCTATGTTTGTTGCTGTTTTTGAATCTGACTCACATATATATATATGAAATATGTATATATATGAAATATATATATATGAAATGAGGTCATGAGGGTCTTGCCCCCATGATGGGATTATAGATAGATAGATAGATAGATAGATAGATAGATAGATAGATACACACACACACATACATATACATATATTATTTATAATTCTAATTTAAGCTTTATTATATTAGTTATAAGATAAAACCCTAATCCTATTTAAAAAATTTACTCTGGGAACTCAGACTTTAAAAATAGCATCCTTACCACACACTGTAGCAGAAATTCATTAAGTGCACTTCCACGCACATAAGGAAATAAGATACTCAGAATCAGTTTACCAAAGCAAGTACACAAAGCTTCTCCCACTGACTTGACATTAGAGTAGAAGCAAAAAACACACACCAAATAGCGCTAGTTGGTACATTTCTCAAAAAGTTTACCAAAAGAACCCACAATACCAACAACTTATTAAAGCTTACAGCAAGACTTGGAGAATCAGACCACATTTATATAAATCTGTTTACCTATTTGCAAAATTGTTTCAGTTTTCTATGTGCTAATGCACATTTCTGGTAGTAAACAGATAATAGATCAGATGATTATACTTCAGTGATTACTTAAAATTATTTTCAATCCCCTATGATGGTCCCCTAGTATGCACCAAAACACTCATTTATTCACTTGACAAACTTGCACTGGTTGCCCTCTATGTGTCTGGTATTGAGGATAGAGTCTAGTGAGGGGAACAAACAGACATATAAGAACAAATAGTAATGCATGGGAGGAGGTGCAATGCTCAGAGTTTATGGGAGCACCTCAGAGAGAGGCCCCTGACCTAGCATGGGAGCAGGTGAGGGGTAGGGAAGGGATTCAAGGCAGACAGAGGACAGCATGAGCATGAGGCATGGAGGAAAGATATTGCACAGAAAAAAGAAGAAAAGAGGCAAGAAGCACTTGAGCATTACAGCAGCCTAGGGTTGAAGGCAGGGTATGGCAAGAGATGAGGCTGGAAGTGTGCAGGTGAGGCTCAAGTTCATGTTTAGTCACTTCCACTTTATCCCATAGGCCACGAGGAGCCAGTGAAGGATTTTCTTTTTTTAATAGCTCTTGGTTGTTTTTTCTTATTACCAATGTACTCCATGTTTATTGAAGACATTTCGAGGAGTTGTAAGCAGAGGAGTGGTATTGACCTCTGCTAATGTGCTCTCCCAATAATCTAATCATCTTCTCCATTTAATCCCCGCAGTGCTCCCAATCACAGTTATTCACTTGCAAGTACAACAGCACTGATGTCCCAGCCCTCTCTCCATTGGTAAACAGTTTACCAGTAAAAACACCTTCTCTCATCATAGCATAGATGTCTTGGTGTCCCATGCACCTCTAGATTTGAGAGTCAATGGCCATCTATGAAACTACCTGCAAAACTGTGACATGGCCAAAAGGAAAATGGGACCTAAATGGTCAAATATAACATATTTGGTCCAGGATCTCTATGTGATTATTTATTCACTGTTATTTTTAGTCAAAACAAGTAATTTGTAGAATTTAAGTTAGTGATAAAATGCATTACAGGCAGAGAGAACAGAAATGTTGGAAATTATATGGAAGCTGTGACTTTAATCAGAGTTCAGAGTTAAATCTGGATTCACTCAGAGTGGGAATGGATGCTTGCTGTCCTCCACAGACAGCTAAAGACTGTGAGACCCTGATTATTATTTATGAAGATAACCATATAAATAGAATCAGATTAATCGTGTTACATAGGCCTAGAAGTGACCTCAAGAAACTGAGTGGTACCATGTGCTTATTGACAATTCTATGACCTACTATGAAGGCACAAACTAAATAATGAGCTAGTGAGCACAAATTTTAATAATTTCTCTATTCTCATAAAATTAAAAATCTAACATAGAAAAGAAGATGACTCTGAAATATCAGCTTCCATTTAATAATCCATCCTAATTGCGATTTTAAGACACTCTGATATCAAGACAAATAAGACCTAGAAGTATTGCTTTTACCAACCTGGCATTTATTACACTCACCAGCCACAGAGGAATTAAATGATTCAATCTCCCCTACTCATTCATGATATAAAAATTGTACTGCCAACCACCAACCATAGTAACACCTTCTCTGGGGAAAAAAGTTACAACTTCATAGTATTTGAGAAGGAATATGAAAAAAATACATAAGAACTTAAATATAAATTTAGATCAGTGCTTTTCTTAGACTCTCTAGCTGATTTTACATTTAAATTTGGTGTTTGATCTTAAAACCAGAAAAAAGTCATTTTAGAGATAAAATGTCTTCAAGTCATGCTTAATTTTAAATGGGCTGGACTATTTGTAACTTCCATTCATTTTGGGAATAAAAAGCAGAATCAAAACATAACCACATGACAGTATGAAAATAATTAGAAAAACATAAAACACATATTTTCTCAAATAACATACTACATTTCAGAAAGCTAAAAATGTTCCATATGTTATTTTTATTTCAGGCAACTGCTGATTTATCACAATAACAAGTAAACAAGAATTACTATTAGATTTGTTTAAACTAGACAAAATACTGATTTTATAAGGCTGAACATTATAAAAATTAGAAAAGCCCCAAAGCAGACTGATACTGTAAATTTAATATATTGTAAATGTTTTCATTGTTTCTGCAGATTCATGTCATGTTAGTGAGCATGACTATATCTCTAAGATTTGAATGAAACTGGTAATTTGACCCTACCACAGGCACAAAAATGCATGGGTTATCCCCTGAACTTTTACCTTGGGATAGCCCCTGGATGCCCTGGCCCTTGAACTGCCTCAAGTACATGCCTTCGCCTGAGCCAATATTGGGAAAAAATTAACACCACCATGTCATAAACCCTTCTCCCAGACTTCATCTTTTCTGAGAAGATCCCCTGGGCAGCCTGTTCAACCACAAAACTTGACTGATCATTAACACCACCCCCACCTTCCTCTGAAATAACCTGCACCACACTCTTTTCCAAAAAAAAAAAAGTACAAACATTGTCACACAATGATTAATCATGATTGGTGAGAGACCAGTTTCTTCTCAGTGTTCAATTCCTAGAACTTTTTCTTTACTCAGGAATGTTTTTCTTCCGTAAGGACACATGTACATATACTTCTGAGAATCCTACTAACCTTCAGATCTCAATTTAGGCAACCATTTTCCCAGAAATCCTGGGGCAAAGATGGTTAATTTTTCTCTTAGTAGGCATCCCCTCTTCTTCCTGGCCACTCAGAAAAAATATTGCATTTCCCAGCTTCTTTTGCTGCTCAGCATCACAATGTGACTAAGTTCTGGCCAAAGGGATGTAAGGGAAAGTGGTTTGAGCAACATCTGGGAAGTTTTTTAAAGAGAAGGAGCCTGGTCTTCTCTTTCTCCCATCTTACTAGTGGAATATGGACACAGGCTGCCATGTTAGACAACAAGGTAACTTTGGGCATAGAGGCCACACACAGCACAGCAACAAGACAGACATAGTGGAGTTCTGGGTTATCTACCTCCAGACACTCATGTTGGAGAAAAATTTCTATTTTCCTTAAACTACTGCGATTTGGGTTTTCTTCCACATATGCTAATCTAACTCTGAAACAGGAGCTCCCTGAACTTGTATTATTGTGTGACACTACCACTGTTTCTTTTCTTATCTAGAAGCTCCACGAGGACAGAGACTCCATCTGCCCTCTTCATGTTTGTATCCTCACCACTTTGCACAATGGCTGGTACTCAGTATGCTCAATAAGTATTTGATGAATAAGTAAATTAATGCTCATTAGGGTTTCTGCCGATGCCATTATGTCAGCTAAATTCTCAAGATAAATTGAACTGGCAGCTATTTATTCTGCATTTAATTCATTAGTTTGAACCTTATATAAATAAGCAGATAAGGACAGAGAAACATTCATAAAATGATAGTAAATAAAGCACAGTAAGGACCTGAATACAGAAGTATGATATTGTTAATCACATATCCTGCTGTGTAAATGTTGGAAAACAACTAATCAATCAGCATCTAATAGACTGACAGATGATTGTCCAGAGCTGTGTGCATGCAGAGTAACGTGCTAGGTGCTGGAGAACACAGCCTGACGCTGCAACAAGGATGCTTGAAAGCCTGAAGGATTTCAAAGCTCAGCACAGAAGGGACACATTGAGAAAGGCTTTACATGTAAAGGGAAGACATTGAGCAGAAAATAGCAATACGCATAAAAATATGGTTCAGGCCTAGTAATTTAGTGTTGCTGTTGACAGTGTGAAATGTTACCTATGTTCTGCATCAATTCTAGTCTTACATGACTGCTTACGTTTATCCCAAATTGTCTACCTTCTTTGAGGAACTATGTTATTGTTCTGACAAAAACTAACGACAGAAAACACAGATAATCATTTAAAATTTTAAAATCAAAATGTTACATCATCTGTGGCCTGCGTATTCTTTATATTTGAGATTACTTGCCCTAAGTCACAAGGCTGATTTCTGGCAAGTAAAGACCATTTAAAATGTAAATGTGTGTGTGTGTGTGTGTACACATGAGGAAGTAGTTCTTAAAACTGTCACCAACTTTGCCCATGACCACTGATAGATATCTCATAACTCAACAATATCCTTTTTTCCTATGAGCTAGGAGTGGAAAAACCACATCAAAAGTATCACTTCCCAGAAAACATGAGGTTGTTCTTTTTCATTTCAGAGATTTAGAATGCTTACAACGTAAAGCAGAAGATCTTATCTCCACCCTTGCCCTTTTTTTCTACCCATTCCTTTACAACCTAGGTCACAGAAAAGAGACAATAGTGAGTGTGTAACTACATAGACGGACTGATTGATTGTGGAACATACCTCATCCCTGCCAACTCCTAATGGAACACATAGGTACAAAAATGTAGAATGCTGATGTCATTCCTGTGCTTTCCTTCCCACACTACCTCTGCCTTTACCTAGGAACAGTGTTGCAATGGGCTTTAGTAACCGTTTCAGCAATAGGAGGAAGGGATGTAGAAGACAAGCCGGGTGACCCAAAGTAGTAGCCATAAACATAATTAAAGGACAATGTTGAATGATCCTTTAGCACAGTTTATTTTACTATACACAATGTTATTATACACTGTTCTGTTCTGATACATTATTTGAGAACAGAGTATTCTAAATTTACTCTGCTTTATTATTACTAAGTCAGTTGACTGCTCCTTTCTCTACAGTTCCATTGCATGCACTAATTATTTTACATTGTATCACATATATCAAGAATAGCATATATCTGGCTGGGCATGGTGGCTCACACCTGTAATCCCAGCACTTTGGGAGGCCAAGGCAGGTGGAGCACTTGAGGCCAGGAATTTGAGACCAGTTTGGCCAACATGGTAAAACCCCATCTCTACAAAAAATACAAAAATTAGTCAGGCGTGGTGATGTGCACCTGTAGTCCCAGCTACTTGGGAGGCTGAGGCAGGAGAATTGCTTGAACCTGGGAGGCAGTGGTTGCAGTTAGTTGAGACCATGTCACTGCACTCTAGCCTGGGCGACAGAGGGAGACCCTGTCTCAAAAAATAAAAAATAACATTTATCATACAATACTCTGTCTCTCCACACTGCTCCCCGATTCCCCAGCCATTGCAGCCATTGCAGTATTCAACACCAGACACTGTAGTCTATGTGAATGGTATCTCTAGGTTGTGAACAATCTGTGTAGCCAAAACAAATGATGAAATCTTTGAGAAGAGGGAGCATTTATCTTTACTCACTGAATAAATTACATCAAATACCTGAAACCCACTGAAGAAGTTCTCTACCTACACTCACTCTCTTGGTGATCTCATCCAAATCCATGGTTTCAACTATGCCAAAAAACAATTCACCAATTTACATTTCCAGTCCAGACTTCCCTTTCAAAGTCAGGCTTAAATATCTGATTGCCTGTTTGACATCTCTGCCTGGATATCTAGTAGCCTAGATATTCAGTCTAAAACTGGATTCCTGACCCTGCACACCTCCATCCCCTTCGGAAACAACATGCTCAACCTTAGAATCATTCTGGATGCTTCCGTCTCTCTCACAACTCTCTTCGAATCTATCTGGAAATCTCTTTGACTCTACTTCAAAATATATCCAGATTTCTACCATCCCTCATGACCTCTACTTCTCCTACTCTGGTCCAAGTCATGATTATCATTTCTCAGCAGATCAATGGTAGCAGGCCCTTTACAGGTATCCCTCCATCTACCTTTGACCTCTCCCATCTGTTCTCACCCCACAGCCTGAGTGATCCTTTTAAATTAGAAGTCATTTCATGTCATTCTTCTGGTCAACAATGGCTCCCCATTATATTCAGACGAAAGCTACCTGTAACCCCAGCTTCATTACTCCTCTCACCTGCTGTCTTACAACTCTCCCCTCCACTGGCTCTACTCCAGCCACACTGGCTCTCTGCTGTTTCCCAACCTTGCCAGGCCTTCAGTAATAGGCCTTTGGTCTAGCTGTTCCCTCTGCCTAGAATGCTCTTCCCCCACATTCCACTTGGTCAACATCCTTCACGTGGACCAAGAGTAGTCCCGACCACTCTAACATAGACCTGCCCCTCCTTAGCCCAGCACTGATAAATGTCTTCACGCTGCTCTGCTTTTTCATTTCTCTCTAGTGTGTACCAACTTCTAACATACTATATCATTTATCTATTCATTGTGTTTATTGTTTCCTGTCTGTCTCTTCTGATGGAAATAAACTTCAAGAGAGCAGAGACCTTCATATTATCCATCGATATGCACTAAGTACCCAGAACATGCCTGGCACCTAGTAGTGCTCAATAAATGTTTGTTGAAAAAGAAACTGAATTATATAAGAGAATAAAACTGCTACAATTATGGGATTCCATTTCAGTGATATGTAGAGGACAAGGTTTTAAAAATTTAGTGTACCGAAAAGGAACTTCCAATCCAAAGAATCCACGATGATAATTTTTTAAACTGATCTTACTTATTTTTTTAAAAAATTATTTTATTTTTTAATGACAAATAATAATTTTATATGTTTATGGGGTACAATGTGATGTTTCATACATGTATAAATATACACGTATACATTGTGGAATGATTGAGTCAAGCTAATGAACATATCCATCACTTCATATACTTACAAACTTTTTGTAGTGAGAACATTTAAAATCTAATCTTTATGCAACTTTGAAATATGGAATGCATTATTATTAATTATAGTCACCATTCTGTGCAATAGGTCATGGAAACTTATTTCTACTGCCTTGCTGAAACTTTGTACCCTTTAATCAACATCTCCCCTTTCCCCATCCACTCTTCTCTCCCAGCCTCTGGCAACCTCCATTCTAGTCTCTATTCCATGGGTTCAACTTTTTAAGATACTGCATGTAAGTGCGATCATGCAGTATTTGTCTATTCATGTCTTGCTTATTTCACTTAGCATGACGTCCTCTGGGTTCATCCATGGTATCACAAATGACAGGATTTCCTTCTTTTTCAGGGCTGAAGAGTATTCTGTTGTATACATTTTCTTATCACTCATTCACTGATGGACATTTAGGTTGGTTTCATATCTTGACTACTGTGAATAATGCTATGATTAACATGGGAG